>NC_000002.12:106580527-106883557 GCF_000001405.40 Homo sapiens
TGAGCATGCCTTATATCCCTCTCCTCCCCTCCCCTCCCCTCCCGTCCCCTTCTTTTCCCCTTGTTGAAAGACTTTCACTCATAAATCCACAAATCAGAAAAAATTCTTCGTTGGGCCATACGTCCATCTTTTTTCTTTAAAATACTGTTTCTGCAATATTAAGCTTAATTACTCCTATCCGGGTTATACTTAATGCTAAATTGTCGTAATCTTAGTGCCGAGTCCCCCCAAGCAACTGCAGTTTTGCTAGAAGCTCTTTAGCTCAGCTCCTCTGAGGGCTCTGCCGTCTGTCCCTCAGCTTCCATGTCCTGTGGCTCCCCGGATGGCAGTGGCTTCCTCAGCCCCTGCAACGTTACCTTTTATGCTTGTGGATTCTAATGTCTACCAAGCAATCCTCACTTAGACTCAAGGAAGAAAACTGGGTGAATACCCCAATCTCGCTGCAAGGCCCACACCTCACAGGTGATGACAGGGGCAGGAAGGAAGCCACACTGAGTGGAGGGTGCTGCCGTGAGCCTGCCCACCGCGTCCTGGTTTAGTCGCTAAACTTACATTTCCCTGATCTTGTCAGAAGTTCTCTCTAGGGAGGAAATGTTTTGGATATTCACCTCATTTTGATGGTGAGCGGCTTGAAGCAGTTTGGAAGTTGCTGTCAGTACCGAAGCCCTTCAGATCTTCACGCTAATTTCCGTACAAAGAACTGCTAGGGAAATTCCTACTCTGTTTCTCATCTTTATTGAAGCTTAAACTCAAATCCTTGAGCCTGTGAAACATGTCCTTTTCCTCTATAGACGCTTCATTTTCACAACCCTGCACGAAAACTGCTTAGAAGCATTCCTTTCCATCTGTCACCCTCCTTCACTTGGGTTTCTTCATTCCTAGTAGGGTTTCTTCAATTACCTTCTGCAGAATAGCACTAGGTCCAGTCCCCAGGGATCGGCAACGTATAAGCCCACAGCCAGCACCGCAGTGGAGCCTTCTGTTCCTTCCCATCCCTGATGAGATGAGAAACTTGAGTGGCAGATTTGCTGGGAACCGGATCGCAGGGTTGCTTTTTAGCCACCCCTGTCTATCAATCTGCCTTTTCCCTCAGCATGTGCGCAGTAATTTATCCAGCTCTCCTTCACTACACTTTGTTTGGAGTGTGTGTGTGTGTGTGTGTGGGAGAGAGACAGAAAGACAGGGACAGAGAGAGAGACAGAAAGATAGAGACAGAGAGAGCTACAGAGAGTTAACTGAGATACAGAGACAGAGGTCAGAGACAGAGAGATAGGGAGATACAGAGACATAGAGACAGACAGAGATAGAGACAGAGATCAGAGACAGAGAGAGGCAGATAGACAGACAGAGATACAGAGACAGAGACAGAGAGAGACTGAAAGATAGACACCCGCCCCCCCACACACACAACGTATTTCTTCAATCAGTTTCATTTCCATACCATAGGTTTTATGCTTAGGGGAAATCTCATTTCTTCCAGATAACCCTGGGCTTTTCAAGCCTCTAGTCTAAATTGCTTCTGTGAGGATTCATTTATCTCTTTTTCCATAACCTGAGTTTTGAACTTCTTGTCCGTTTTCTCCTCCCAGTGCTTTCTTTTCCTTTTAGCCTGGGAATGGAGTTTTAAAGCTGAGAGTCTAGGTGGACCGCAGGGGAGTCCTGCACAGCACCGCCTCCACCCCACGCATGGCAGGGAGACCTCGCTCTCTCCGCGGGCCCTAGAGGTGCTGCGCTGCTCGCGGCCGGCAGGAGGAAGCGGGCCTCCCTGCTGTTGCCTAGGATATGTCCCGAGGTGCCTCCCATCGGACATCTTACGTGGGTGTTTTTGCTGATGCGTTTTTGAAGCTCAGTTAGGTCAAGGAAGTGCCTATCTGTGATTGAGCTTGGGAAGCACTCAGGACATATCTGGCATTTTTCTGGCTCATAACCAAACAAATCACAGCGCCCCTCCACCACAAAAAAAAAAAAAAAAAAAAGAAAAAAAAAAGAAACAAATGCCTTGGCTTGTATGTATGGAGTAAACGGACCAAAGTGGGGTCAGATATCTGCTTCTGTGAGTTCGTTCAAGTGGGGAGAATCCTCCTAACTGCAAGTGGGGCTTGAGCAGATGCCCGTGCCCGGCTGATTCTCCTACATGGAAAACTTCCAATTTCGCTCGGATTCAGGCTGCTTCTGGAGCTAGTCTCCCAGCTGGGGGAAGTGAGCGGATGCTGCCATCTAGAGTCAGGATGAGGTAAAGCGGCCAAACCCCTTGGGTTAGCGTTTTCTATTTCCTCTCGCTTTAGAATTCTCTCATTATTTGTTTTATATTCTTACATCGCATTGACAATACCCGGAGGAAAGAATTCCAGGCAATGATTCTGTCCTTAGCTGTCTGGTGGGATGCTATTTATTCACATATCTATAGACTCCCCATGTGTGCCTTGCACAGTGCCAAAATCTCTGAATTCAAGTAGACAATAAATATTCTTGTCAAATAATCTGTGCCCTAAGGTCACTTATTAAATCAGTTATTTAAAAGGAATGAGTTTATCTGTGAAACCAATTTTAGAAAGGATGATAGCTGGGTCATTGGTTACATGCATTTAAAATGCTTACGTATTTGACAAATTCCAAATTCCAAAGAGGCGGCGCCTGTTTACCTCTAACAGTGTGTAAGGGTACCTTTCCCTCCAACACTGCAAACATTGTGTATGGTCAAGCTGGTAAAACAATTTTTACTTGGATATGTGAAAAAGGATCTCTTATAATAACTAGTTCGTGAATTTTAAAATGTGAGGTTGAAATTGCTAAGAACTTATTTAAAGTCATCTATTTATGTATTTATCTATTTAGGATTGTGTCCTATCATGTCATTTGCTTTATTTTTATTAGGTTTTTGTTTTACTTTTTGCTATTGATTTGATACTTTTTTTATGTCATAAGGAAATTGGGTTTTCGTTAGATTCCTTGTAAACACAGTTTCTCCAGTTTTCACTTGACTTTTGCATTTGCCTATGTTTTGAAAATAATTTTGTCTTGAAGGCATTTTGAAATACTCTGGTTATGTCCATGCATCTTCTCCTTTATGGCTTTTGGCCTTGGGAGTACTGTTGATCTAGATAAAGAGATAAACAGAGTCCTGGCGCCTAGCTAGTGATAAATCATTTGCTGAATGATGAGTCCTTCCATGAAGCCTTTTTGTGATTGTGCTGATTTTGCATCCTTCAGATGATCAGTGCGGATACTTTCCCTGCCCACACTAGAAGACCATTGGCCATGCCCATGGCAAGGAATAGAGTGGAGGGAAGTCCCAGGGCGTCAGGCTCCGGCTCCACTTCTCTGCAATGCTCCTGGCAGGTCCTGCATGCCTCCTGTGACTGCTGTACCTCAGGTTCCCTCCTTTCCTGGTGTCAAAACTGTGGCCTCAGGTATGCACTCCCATCAAACATAGCACAATCCACAAAGAGGCTATGTCTTTCCATCAGTGCTTTTCAAGAATTAGGAGGCTTCTTTAAAACAGCACCTCACCTGTCATGGCCCAAGTGCGTCAGGTGCCTGTGCGTGGAAACACAGAAGCTGGAAGAGGCCTTGGCGGGCTTAGGATGGAGCGAACCTCAGCTCTTCAAAGGCAGGGATGCCTTAGGCATCTAAGGCAGATCTGTTAACAGAATAGTCAGTCCTCAGGTTAGCTGTCGGACACCTTTTAAGTAAGAAGGGCCCACTGATGTGGTGGCAGTGAGAGGTGACAGCAGCCTAGCAGCCCTCGCTCACTCTCAGCGCCTCCTGGGCCTCGGTGCCCACTCTGGCCGCGCTTGAGGAGCCCTTCGGCCCGCCGCTGCACTGTGGGAGCCCTTCTCTGTGCTGGCTGAGGCCGGAGTCAGCTCCCTCTGCTTGCGGGGAGGTGTGAAGGGAGAGGCGCCGGCGGGAACCGGGACTGAGGGCGGTGCTTGCCAGCGCAAGTTCCAGGTGAGCGCGGGCTCCGCGGGCCGCGCACTCCCGGGCAGTGAGGGGCTTAGCACCCGGGCCAGCAGCTGTGGAGGGCGCGCCAGGTCCCCCAGCAGTGTGGGCCCGCCCACGCCTTGGTCGAATTCTCGCTGGACCTCAGCCGCCTCCCCGTGGGGCAGGGATCGGGACCTGCAGCCCGCCACGCTCGAGCGCCCCACCTTCCCGCAGTGGGCTCTCGCGCAGCCCGAGCCTCCCTGACCCGCGTTGCCCCCTGCCCTGGGGCGCTACCCCCTGCTCAGGGGCGCTGGGTCACCTCCACCGCCCAAGGGCTGAGGAGTGCAGACCTGCGGCCTGGGGGACTGGCGGGCAGCTCCACCTGCACCTGGGGCGGGATCCTAGTGCGCTGGATCCTAGGGCAGGGGATACACTAGGGGAAACCAGCTGAACCCCTGAGTCAGGTGGAGACTTGGAAAACTTTTATGTCTAGCTGGAGGATTGTAAATGCACCAATGATCACTCTGTGTCTAGCTTGGGGTTTGTAAAGGCACTAATCAGTGCTCTGTGTCTAGCTAATCTAGTGGGGACTTGGAGAACTTTTGTGTCTAGCTAGAGGATTATAAATGCACCAATCAGCACTCTGTGTCTAGCTCAGGGATTGTAAACACACCAATCAGCACCCTGTCAAAACGGACCAATCAGCTCTCTGTAAAATGGACCAATCAGCACCCTGTCAAAACGGACCAATCAGCTCTCTGTAAAACAGACCAATCAGCTCTCTGTAAAATGGGCCAATCAGCAGGATTTGGGTGGGGTCAGATAAGGGAATAAAAGCAGGCTGCCTGAGGCAGCAGTGGCAATCAGGTTAGGTTCTGTTGTGGGGCTTGTATGGCTTGTTTTTTTTAATATTCGCAGTAAAGCTTGCTGCTGCTACTCATTTGAGTCCGCAGTGCTTTCATTTGAGTCAGCTGTACCACTGACTGCAGAGGTTTGCTGCTTCACTATTGAGGCCAACGGGAGTACGAACTCACTGAGAGGAATGAACAACTGTGGACGCGCGGCCTTGAGAGCTGTAACACCGCGAAGGTCTGCAGCTTCACTCGTGAAACCAACAAGACCACGAACCCAGCAGAAGGAAAAACTACGAACCCTTTCGAACATCAGAAATAACAAACTCTGGTCACACTATCTTTAAGAATTGTAACAGTCACTGTGAGGGTCCGCAGTTTCATTCTTGATGTCAGTGAAACCAAGAACCCACCAATTCCGGACACAGCACCAGGTCCAGATTGGCAAGAAAGGACCCTGGGCTTGCTCAACCGAGAGGGACAGGAGAACTGGGAGGGCAGCCTTAAGGAAGGGTGTGACCCAGAGGCTGGGCCAGGGGGCGGAACCATGAAGGACGAGCGTAATGCCTGGCTCCTTCCACCTCTGTTCATCACCACTCTTTTTGCTGTGATTCCAACAACATTTCCTATACGTGAAAACATTTTGAGGGAAGACTCACGAGAATCGTTTCACGAACTTATAAGCAAGAGTTCAGAGAAGTCCCAACGTAGAAAGTAAGTAGATAAAAGTCAATTGTTTTCCTTACACTGCAATAATAATGTTGAATATGTTATGGAAAATATTTTGTTTACAACAACAAATAGACTAAGCCAACAGAAGCCATAAAATCGTAGATAAAAAAACTGGTATTTACCGGAGGATCACAAAAGATTTCAGTAAAAGGAAAGATAGTATTTCTGCAGGGAAGAGTACTGCAAGTATGTCAATGCTTTTGACAATGATTTTATATTTGTTACTTAGAATGAGAGGTAGGTTGTGAGCAGGTATGTGTTTGGGGAAGGTAAGTTAATAAGCGTGGAGTTAAATGAGTGGAATGGGGTACGGTGTAGATAGTGCGTGGGTTTACACGGGGTGTAGGTGGGTAGTGGGGTCCGGTAGGTAGTTGAGTGAGTCAGGGCCGAGGGTAGCGAGTTGTGTGGGCTAGGGGTGGATACTGAGTAGGGGACGGCAGCGTGTGGCTTAGAATTGTTGCTTGAAAAATACTCTGCTTTGTTGAGAAGACTGTTTTGAATCTAGTTGTGTTATACTATAGTAGCAGTAGAAATTTTAATTGCTTTAAATAGATTTTATGTATGTATTTATGTATGTATGTATTTCATTTATGTATGTATGTAAGAGGGTCTTCTTACTCGGTGGCTTAGGCTCAGTGCAGTGGTGCCATCAAGGCTCACTGCGGACTCAAAATCCTGGGTTAAAGCAATTTTCCCACCTCAGCCTCCTGAGTAGCCAGGACTACAGTATCATCATGCTCAGCTAATTTTGTATTTTTGTAGAGACGGGATATTGTTGCTTGTAGATGTTGCCCAGGCTGGTTTGGAACTCCTGACCTCAAGCAATTTTCGTGCCTCGGCTTCCCACGTAATAACTGCGTGGGTTTAGATAGTGTGTGCTGTTGGTTTTTCTAGGTGACATTTGAGAGTTTAATTATTTTGCCTCATTTTTCTTTGGCCATACAGATCTAGCCAAGCCTAGAATACTCAGTTTGGCAGAGGACAATTGGTCCCTTTTCTTTCCTTTTTCTTTTTTTTGTTAATGGGATTTTAAAAAAATGTATAATTGACACATTATCATTGTACAAGTGTATGGGGTACAGTGTGATGTTTCAATGCACACAATGATCAAATTGGAATAATTACCACATCCATTACTTTAGACGTTTATTCTTTGTGGTGACAACATTGAGTATCTTCTGGTTATCTTGAAATATACACTACATTATTTCCTATGGTCACCCTACTGTGTAACAGAAATCATTCCTCCTAACTGTGACTTTGCCCGGATGACCAACTTCTCTGGTTCCCTGCCTCCCCCCTGCTCTCCCCAGCGCCTGGTCACTATTTTACTCTATACCTCCATGAAATCAACTTTTTAAGGTTCCAGATAGGAGTGAGATCCTGCGGTGTTTGTCCTTCATGCCTGTCTTATTTCACTTGACGAGAGTCCTCTGGGTTCACACACTGCCCCTCTTTGGGGTGAGCTTGCAGTGTTGTGGATCAGCTGCGGGGTATCAGCCTCCGGGCGCTGTGGTCCCGGTCCTCTTGTGCTCCGCTGCCCCCTGCTGCCCATCCAGGGTATGCGCAGCGAGTGGGGAAATCCTATGCCGCCTGTGAACCTTCCCATTATGTTCGTTTCTTGTCTAAAATATGAGACTTAGGTTTTCATTGCTTCTGTTCACTTCAGAAGAATGAACAGAAAGCACTCGCCACCCTTTAACCTAAATCAAAGTATAAGCCAACATTTCTAACAAGAGTACGGATTCTTTCTTACCTTTGGAGTCCACGGACCCTTAAAAGGTATGTGGGTCGTGGCCGGGCGCGGTGGCTCACAGCCGTAATCCCAGCACTTTGGGAGGCCGAGGCGGGTGGATCACGAGGTCAGGAGATTGAGACCATTCTAGCTAACACGGTGAAACCCCGTCTTCACTAAAAATACAAAAAATTAGCCGGGTGTGGTGGCGGCGCTGTGGCGGGTGCCTTGTAGTCCCAGCTACTCGGCAGGCTGAGGCAGGAGAATCGCTTGAACCTGGGAGGGGGAGGTTGCAGTGAGCCAAGATGGCGTCACTGTACTCCAGCCTGGGCAACAGAGTGAGATTCCTTCTCATAAATAAATAAAAATAAAGAAATAAATATGCGGGTGGGCCTCCTGGAGGTGACCAAGCCCTCGTGACAGTTAGCATGAATGCGTATTTATTTAAGGTTGCACCTTTGGCTTTCACCAGATTCTGTATAGGGTTCATATTCCCAGAAGTTTAATATACATTGCTCTGGAGCAGTGACATTGAAACTTTTTGGACTGTGCACCCCCAATATGTATATTTACTCATAACTTGTATACGAGTACTAAGTGATGAGCTGAAGGTGAAATAAGGATGTCTTTCAACATCCTTATTCACGTCTTTCAATGTCTTTTAGTGTCTTTGTGTCTAGTGCTGATGGGTTCATAATAGCATTAGCCGATATCGCAAGTCACACAGGCAGAGGTTTGCCACCAATGGTGGAAATATAACCATACTCCTCCTTGACAGTTACCGTTCAACTTCTCATTGCTTCTATCTTGACATGTGGTTGATGAAGAACTAGTATTAGAAGTAGTCTACTCGGGAGGCTGAGGCAGGAGAATGGCATGAACCTGGGAGGCGGAGCTTGCAGTGAGCTGAGGTCGTGCAACTGCACTCCAGCCTGGGCGGCAGAGCGAGACTCCGTCTCAAAGAAAAAAAAAATAGTAGTATTAGGACCCTTCTCCTAATATTAGTTATTTTTTTGAGGTTCACCTGGGCTGGCATTATTAGTACCATATTGAATCTATAGTGAATACACAAAAATCTTTTTAAAGCCACTTTTCCATCTCGTGAAGTTATTTTGTTTAAAATGAATCAGCAATCCAATCAACAATTGGCTCTGATATAAGCCCTTTCTTTATAGTGGCTGGATAATATTTTTAAAATATTGTTTGAAAGTCTGATTTCTTTTTCTACCTCCCTATTAGTCTTGAATATTACTACCGTTTACAAAACAGCTAGGTCGGTCTGGGATTCATTGCTTCTAGGAAGGAATGTTTTGATATTATTGTGTAAACATCTATATTAAAAAAAACCGTGAGAATTAATTCAGTATTATGACTAATAATAAAATTCACTAAGCTGGCTGAATACCAACATGTATGTACATGTACAAGTACATATGTGTACAGCACCATTCCCCTATGTCGGCAAAACCAGCTGGGAAATCGAGTTCATTCAACATGTATGTATTGAGTGTGGATTTTCCTCTAGGCCCCTTTAGCCTTGAGACTATAGCCTTGAACAAAGCAGATGAACCCCTGTTTTCACTGGCATTTATATTCCAGTAAAGATTGACAGAGAATTAACAAATAAGTAAAATATGCTAAGCGAGATGTGTTATGGCCCCTGGAAGATGCAGAAGTGAGGAAGAAGGAAGAAGATTGTGGGCGTGGGGCTGCAATTTTAAATAAGGGATCATGGAAGGCCTCATGGAGAAGATGTAAATTGGTAAAAACCCGGAGGTGGGGAAGGAGAGAGCCATACAGGTTTCTGGGGGGACAGCATGCCAGGCAGAGGGTAAAGCAAGTGCAAAAGCCTTGAGATAGAAAGCTTCCCATTCTGGAAGGAGCAGGAGGTCAGTGGGGCTGGTCAGAGTGTGTGCATAGGAGATGTGTTGTAGGAAATGGGTCAGAGAAATAGGTGGAAGCCAGGTCTCACAGGATTTCAGAGACTGTTGGTGAGACACACGGAGGCTTCAAAGAGGAGTGGCATCATCTGGCTTTTTTTTTTTTTTCCACGATGATAGCACACTGCAGCCTCTAACTCCTGGGCTCAAGTCATCCTCCTGCTTCAGCCTCCTGAGTAGGCGAGACAACAGTGTACCATCAATGCCCAGCTGATCTGGCTAAATTTTTAACAGGACATATCTGCCTGCAGAGCAGAGACTAGGCAAAAGATGGAAGAGCAGAAGTGACTTTGGAAGAGCTGATATTTTTTAATAATAAAATGATGTCATTCTTGGGCACCGTGTCCCTCAGAATCCTGAGGCTTATGGGCAGTCAGGGGAACTAGCATATCCTCAGCTATGTGCCTCACTTGTCAAATCTTTGCCTGCTCCTGCAATCTCACAAAGTCTTGCATCCTCTGAACCTTGTTAGTGCCCATTCCTCTGTTGTCTTTATGTCTTCTTCCCTAGGACTTGTCCTTAAAGCATCTTGCTTATGTATCTGCCTCCAACTTGGAGATCCTTTTGCCCTGATGCTTGTGGAACCACATTCCATTTGAGAAGAGGGCTTTTCTTTGTATTTGCCTAACCATGAATTCTATTTGGCTGTATATGGACACAGCTGTCTTTCTCCTCAATGTGAGTTTAGGTTCAGAGGACTAAGATGTGATGTCCAGTCAAAAACTGGGTTATGTAGTGGTGTACCTAGTTACAGATCAGAAGGTATCTTTGAATACAGGTTTTATGCTCCTAAATTTCTTTACCCTAAAAGGAGGCAGGGCCCTTGTGAGTGGATTAATGCCATTATTCCTGGAGTGGGTTCCTGATAAAGGGATGAGGTTTGGCCCTCTTCTTTCTCTTTCTCATCCTCACACCTCTGCCACCGGGTGATGCAGCACATGCTCTTGTCAGATGCCAGCACATGCTCTTGGACTTCCCAGACTCCACAAACATGAGTTTCTGTTCATTCTAAATTACCCAGTCTGTAGTTTTATTCTATAGCGGTCTAAAACAAAGACACCCCTACATATAGAAATACTTTTTGTATCAGGACTGATGTCATTTGAATAAACACACAGGCTACACACTGCACAGCTCTGGAGGGCATCGTTTATACAGGCTGGAATGAGGGTTGATATCTTTGGGATTAAACCCAAGGTGACCTAGATTATCTAAAAATTTGAAGCAAAATCTTTATAAATAAGTTACCTTTACTCTCCATGATGCATTGACATTATCCTATTTTCTCCTGTCCAATCCTGTCCTATCTTAACTATCAGTCCATTTTGCATTGCTATAAAGGAATATATGAAACTGGGTAATTTATAAAGAAAAGAGGTTTATTTGGCTCTGCAGACTGTACAAGAAGCATGGTGCCAGCATCTACTTGGGTTTTGGGGAGGCCTCAGGAAGCTTTTTCTCATGGCAGAAGGTTAAACAGGAACAAGTGTGTCATATGGTGAGAGAGGAAGCAAAAGAAAGAGGAGGTGGTACTGGGCTTCTACAAAAACCAGCTCCCATGTAAACTAATAGAGTGAGAACTCACTCATTACCGTAGGGAGGGCACCAAGCCATTCATGAGGAAGCCGTCCCCATGACAAACACCTTCCACCAGGCTTCACTTCCAACATCGGGGATCAGATCACATTTCAACATGAGATTTGGAGGGGGCAAATATCCAAACCATATCACTAACCTATGCTATCCTATTCCATCTCCTTCCATTTAATAAATGATGGTCAAGCCAGGCATGGTGGGTCATGCCTGTAATCCCAGTACTTTGGGAGGCTGAGGCGGGGAGATCACTTGAGGTCAGCAGTTTGAGACCAGCCTGGCCAACATGGCAAAAACCCATCCTACTAAAAATACAAAAACTAGCCTGGTATGGGGTCGTGTGCCTGTAGTCCCAGCTACTCAGGACGCTGAGGCACGAGAATTGCTTGAAGCTGGGAGACAGAGGTTGCAGTGAGCTGAGATTGCACCACTGCACTCCAGCCTGGTTGACAGAGAGACTCTGTCTTTAAAAAAAAAAAAAAAAAAAAAAAAAAAGATAGTCAAGACCCACTGCATAGGGTCCAATCAGGGAAGCAGAGCCACCATGAGTATTATAGAATATGAGATTGCTTATGGGGCTTGTTACTTTTACACAGTTACACAATTACAATTGTGGTGCCTGGGAAGCTTTGCTTAACTGGAGAAGTAAAGGTCTGAAAGAGGACAGTGATTCAGAACTACACAGGGGAGAAGTGGACAAGTCTGAGGAAAGCTGTCGCCTCTTCAGCTATTGAGGTCCTGAGGTGGTGGTTGTGGGCCCGCAGAGCAGGCAGCTGGGAACAAACACTGGACATAAGGTGGAGAAGGAGAAAGACTGGAACTCATGGAGATAAGCGAGAGAACACCCTGGAGCCTGGTCTGTCTCTCATGGAATCTAACTTTGAAGATGTGTTTGAACAGCAGAAAACTCATCTTGGAACTATATACATGTCTGGCCTGGGAGCACCGAAAGAGATTATCTGGCAGGTGCTGGGGGAGCTGCAGGCCAGGCTGCTACCCCGTGCAATCCCGCGTTAACAGGCTGAGCCGACACATCAGTGACAATGCGCATAATCCGCTGCTGTGTTGGGGCCGTATGTTGAGCTTCTGACCGTCATGGCAGCGGCTTCATGTCAATTTCCACATCTTGCACAGATTTCTCTTACAGCCAGCTCCAATCTGGTGTCATACATGGAAGGGAAATTTGGAAAATAGGGGTCTAGTTTACATAAGATTACAGTACAAAATCAGCCCCTCCAATAATGAGGTAGCTTCAGTGATGTGCTGGAGCCAGCTTGAACCAGCTCGTGGGAGCCAGTTGTTAAATTTTCAGGAATTTTGCTAGCCTGTAGTTAAGCACAACCATTGTTAAGGTTCAGTTATCTGAACTTATAATTATGCTAAAAGCAAGGACAATACAATACTCCAAACTCACGCTAATACTTTCAGTTTTGTCTATTGTATCTTAATGATGGGTAGCAAAGTCTTGGCTCAATTCTTCCAGGTTCCAGCTGCTACGTTTTCTGTTGGCTTACTGGGGTCTCACCCATACATTTGAAGTTTACTAGTCAGCCAGACATTTGGAGGATAATTGCATGTAGATTCTGGGGTATGCTTTCTCCCAGGATTTTCCTTATACTTTTCTAGCTGTTCTATCAGACTCTAAACTCTGTCTTCTAGCACTTCTTGCCAGAACAGCTACAATTTTCTGACCCTCAAAAGCTGTGCCCATGTATCGGGTGGTATCCATAGGCAAAAAGCCACAGACTCATACATGTTCCCTTCTAGGTTCCATCTTTCAAGGCTGGACATCCCTCCAGTTTCTGCTTGCATTAGCCTGGGCTCCAGGTGCCTTCCATAGTCATTTTGTTTGGTTTTAACTGTATTTTATTTCTGAAGGAGACTTAGTCTGATCAAGCTACTTTGCCATTACCAGAAGCTGGATTATTTCTGGTTATTCTGGGAATTCTAGTTATTTTTAAATTGAGATTAGACTTTATGCCTGAAAACACCTGGACAATAGAATTGCTGAGAAGAAGTCTCCTATTAATTTTTTTAAAGTGGTAGGGCAGGTGTCTTTTACTTCTGGTAGGCTTTTAGATTTTCCTCTCATCCCTAATGTTTTGCAGTTTCACCACTGTGTGTCCAGGTGTGATTTTATTTTAATTTTGTTTCTAAGAATTAATATATGGAATTGACTTAATTTTTCTAAATTAATTATGAACATGCAGTTTTAAGAAATAACACACAGACAACCTATATACCCCTCACCCAGTTTCCCCCATGGTAACATCTTGTGTAACTATGTAGTATGATTTCACAACCAGGAGGCTGACATTGATAGGATCCATTGACCTTACTCAGATTTCACCAGTTTTACATGCACTCATTTGTGTCTGTGTGTATTTTTTGTTCTATGCAATTTTGTCACCTGTAGATTCCTGTGATGTCACCACAGTCAGGATACAGAACAGTTTCATCCTAAGAATTTCTTTTGCTACCCTTTTATAGCACCACTTTCTAGTGACTGCCTACCACTAATCTGTTTGTTATTTTTTTTTTTACAATTTTAAAAATTGATGCATAATAGATGTACATAGTTTTGGGGGTGCATGTGATAATTTAATACTTTCATATAATTTGTAAAGATCAAATCAGTGCACTTGGGATATTCATCACCTTAAATATTTGTCATTTCTTTATGCTAGAAACATTGAATTATTCTCTTCTAGTTACTTTGAAATGTACAATAGATTATTATAAACTATAGTTGCCCTACTGATCTACAGAACACTCTTATTTTTTTGTTTTCTATCTGTATAAATTTATTTCAAAAACATTAAAGAACATTAAAAAGTTATGCATTATGTCGCCTTTGCAAAATATTTAACAAAATATTTAATAAAAATAAAAAATTTAAAATATTTAAATAAGTCTCAGTGGGACGGTTGATCTGAAGCAACTTAATTTGCCATGTCTGGGACTCGTCTTCAGAATTTGATTTAGTTTTCTGTGAACTAATATTAGAAACATGGCTTTTAATAATTTTCCTTTGCATTTCTCTCCTCTCAGTGTCTAAAAGAGACAAGCTTGAGCCCACTCAAACATTTTTCATGTTTGAATTGATTTTAAAAATGTGAGCCTTTTTTTAGTAGTGTTTTCTTCTGGAGGGAAGCATCCTTGGAGAAAAAAAGTGGAAAACATTCAAATAATCTTCACTATTTCTTGTAGATACCGCATATCATCTTCAGTTACCATGCTGGGTTCTCAATGAACCTTGCAAATTTCTGATGCTATCAGGATTTTCCGTTGCTCACTCAAGCTGTTGATTCTTGATTTAAAAATTCCTCTACTCATTGAGAATCTAAAGTGTATTCCTTGTTCAGTTTGGTTGTCTTAACTTGTAAACCTATATCTTTTATCATGATGCTGCTTTTGCTTTGTTCATTGTTCTCTAAAGTAAGTAGCTATATCTGCAGAGTGGGGCTTTCACAATAGCTTCTGAGATTGGCCCTCTGGCTTACTATATAGACTTCTGCTTGCCTGATGTTTTCTCACTGTTTTCTCATGTACATGTTAGAGGGATGAAGCTGCCTCTGGGAGCAAGTGGCTAACCTGCTGGGATTGCTTGCCTTTGGCATCCTGTGAGGTCAACCATGAAGTCACGACTTTCCAAGATTATAATGGAGCAATTGCTCATTTCCTCCATGTCCCCTCATCCTGTGTTACCAGGAAGCCCACAGACTGCCCAGGGACCAGGCTCATGGCTGGAAGTGGCAGCTTGAGGTTGGCCAGACCACACCCTCACTATGATCTCCACAAATACTGTTTTTGGGATGTCTGTTACACAGATATTGGAGCCTCTCACTCTGTCCTCCATAAATCCTACCTGCTCTTCCATACATTCTTTTCTCTATGTATATGATGCATTCTGGGTGAATCTCTTGGTACCTCTATTAGTCCATTTCACACTGCTGATAAAGACATAGCCAAAAATGGGCACTTTACAAAAGAAAGAGGTTTAATGGACACACAGTTCCACATGGCTGGGGAGGCCTCACAGTCATGGCAGAAGGTGAAAGGCATGTTTCATAGGATAGCAGACAAGAGAGGAAAGCTTGTGTAGGGAAACACCCCTTTTGAAAACCATCAGCTCTTGTAAGACTTATTCACTATCATAAGAAGAGCATGGGAAAGACCTGCTCCCATGATTCAATTATCTCACACAGGGTCCCTCCCACAACATGTGGGAATTATGGGAGCTACAATTCAAGATGAGATTTGGGTGGGGACACAGCCAAACCATATCAGTACCATATTCCAATTAAATAATTTTTCCCTATTGTGTCCAGTTTACAGTTTATCCCATTAACTGAGTTTACTTATTGCATTGATAATTTTTTTATTTTCCAAATTTATAATTTTTTATACTTATCTAACATTTTATAAATTTATTTTATACTTTTATTGATGGAAGCCATGTTTTTATCATCTTAGATATCATAATTATACTTATTGAACACAATGCTTAATCATTAATTTCAGCTGGTGTGAACTCACAGTCCTATTTTTAAAATGTTATTGACTGTTTTTCTTAGAGAATAGCTCCTTTGAGTTGGATATTTTCTTGCTTTTGTTCAGTTCTATTCTTTATTTGCTTTTCCCTGAGTCTCTTTTCTTATCTGCTAATTTCCTAGTTTTGCTCTTGCTTTCAGCCAGCCCCTAAAGCCTGCTTGCCTTAAGTAAATACCATGATGGATTTCAAGGACTTCTGTTCCATTATGATACTGGGAATATTATTTAAAATAACTAGAGGTAGCTAGGTTTAGTTTCTCATCTGGAGTTCACATTTTTGCCAACCACAGAGAGAAGGTGGCCATAGAGTAAGTGGTCAGCTTAGTTCTTAGTCAGCAACCATGAGCTGGCTCCAAGATACCTTCTTGCTAAAGAACTTCTAGTGCTTGTTCCCCTGCAGTAGCCAGGTTACTATTCACCTATCTCTTGTGACCCTGAAGGCTAGGAGGCCCACAGCCTCTGCTCCTCTTATGACCTGGTATTTGTCTTTTGATTTGGTTCACAGAACTGTTTTCTTGGTTTTCAGTCCAGCTATAGTATTTGGGTTAACTCTTTCTGTATTTTACCATATTGCTGGGGTTTGGCACAGAGAGTATGGTCTTAGCAAGGATACCTAATCTCTCTAGATAATCTGAAAAACTGGGATGATAGTAATGTTCTTTACTTTGTAGGGTTGTGTTAAGAATCAAATCAGTTAGTGCATATAAAACGCTTGGCACATAGTTATTTTTACCACAGTATAAATAATACCTAGCACAAAGTACATGATTGATAAATATTTATAGGGTAGAGTGGATTCGTTTAATACAAACAAATGTATGAGGCTCTCCTGGTTACATCTGATAATGATTGTATTAGTCAAGGTAAGCTAGGTTATGCTGCAGCCACTAACAACTTCTGAATCTTAGTAGTTTATAACAACAAAGGTCTGTTTCCGACTCTCACTGCCTGCCCATCACAGAAAAGTTGGGCTTTGCTCTGCTCTATTTTTATCCATACTCTGGGTCCCAGGTCTTTGGAGGAGTCGCTTGCTGGAACACTTAGACACTATGGTAGTAGGAAAAGAGAATGGCCCTTAGCACTTCCTCGGCAAAGTGGTAATTGATGATACTGCTCACATTCTTACCAAAACAAGTAATGTGATCATTTGTTCGGTGGGGCCAGAGATGCAATTCTACCATGTGCCCACAAGGGGAGAACTGAATATTTGTAAGCATCGTGATGATTTCTGCAATGATCACCATGAATAAACATTGACTGGATGCTTACTTTGAAGTAAGGTATTGTACTAGTCTACAAAGAGGTGGAAGTAACTTTTAACAACAGGACTCTTTTGATAATAGCACCTTTATCCTTACTCAAGAATAAAATTTTTAGTAGTTGGTGACAAGTATAAATTCCTGGCTATAAGAAAAGAGACATGATCGCGGTCTTGGCAAAAATACCATTCCAGTGCAATAACACATTTGTTATAAAGTCTTGGAACTATATGATCTGTTGAAATATTTATGGTTGAATTTAACTCTTTGAAATAAAAACACATCTCATACAGTGACAGATACAAGGTATGGCCATAAACTAGAGTCTTAGAGAAAACAATGCATCTTATGGTAAATGATTAGATGCATGCAGTAATTGCTGTAAGCATACCTACTCCAAATTTTCCCGTGTACCACCTGCAATCCTTGCTACAAAATGAAATCATTACCAGCTCAGTAAAAGAATGATTAATATTTTTGTGAAGTGGGTTTCTCATATCCTTGGCCTTTCTGCTATGTTGCTATAGCCTCACTTTGAGCTGAGGAAAGAGAACTGTTGGTGTATTGGGTTAAATGCTTTTATTTTAAAATCTAATTTTCTCTTCAAAGATACCTCGTAGACACATCATGTGCATGCTTTAAGGCTGCAGGTACCTGTGAAGTTTCCTCATTTTTATAACTAAAGGTTTTTAAGTCTAGTAAATTAAACTTCAAGAAATAAAATGAGAACTCAGTTAATAAGCTGACAGTCTGCCCATTGAAATTGCTGGAGGCTTTTTAGGTTCTAATGTACTAATTTCATTTCCTTACTAGTGTTTGCAATTTGGCTGGGCTTAGAAGCAGATTTGGTTTAAATTGAAGGTGGGAAAGGAAAGAGATGATGTTCTAACATAAAATAAGAGCATTTACTTGTCATTTCACCCTTACAGATTTATTGTTCTGGATTTTTAATTTACCTTTTGGTCTTTGAATTCAAAGTAAATATCCTGCAGAATATGATTTAATAACAATATATGATCTACTGTCTTTAAGGGAGTTATTGGCAGCCAAAAGAGGAGGACACTGTGGGAATAAGACAAAGACCAGGCTTCTGGATGTATATATAGTGTGTGTATGTATGTATGCATATAACATGAATGTGTATAATTAAGTTTGCATGTGTATAATTAAGTTTGAATGTATGCAATGGGTGTGCAAGAATGCATGTAAGTTTGTATGTATGTAATGCATGTGTGTATGTATGGACATACACGTGTGTAATTGTATGCAATGTAAATGTTATGTGTTCATATATAATGTAAGTGCAACATATAATGTATATATACATGTGATGTGTATATGTACGTATGCATGTAGTTTCGTTTGTATATATATATATACAGAAATACATCTATCATTGGATCCCATTGAAGCTCTGCTTTTGCAGGATGTGACATATTTAGTTTTCAGCATCAGATGTCTCTAATTTAATTTTCATTTTAAAGTTGCTTTTGATGTTCTAATTCTTTTGTATTTCTACATACATTTTATAAGCAATTCGTCAATTTGTACGTAATAGCTTGTTGGGATGGAGTGGAGTTGCATTACAGCTATAGGTTTAATGAAGCCATTAAATGAACCAAAAGTTGACTTTGTTGGAAAGTTTTTAACTATAAATTCAGTTTCTTTTTTTTTAATTATTAGTATTTTTTGAGACGGAATCTTGCACTGTCTCCCAGGCTGGAGCGCAGTGGCGCAATCTAGGCTTACTGCCAGCTCCACCTCCCAGGTTCATGCCATTCTCCTGCCTCAGCCTCCCAAGTAGCTGGGACTACAGGCACCCACCACCATGCCTGGCTAATTTTTGTATTTTTAGTAGAGACAGGGTTTCACTGTGTTAGCCAGGGTGGTCTTGATCTCCTGACCTCGTGATCTGCCTGCCTTGGCCTCCCAAAGTGCTGGGATTACAGGTGTGAGCCACCGCACCTGGCCAGTTTGTTTAAAAGATACGTAAGTGTTCAAGTTATTTCTGAGCTAGATTTGATAGTTTTTATCTTTCAAGGAATTTGTCAAATTTATTGACATAGGATTTCGTAATATTCTTTTTATTCTTTTCTAACAGCTTGAGATAGAATTTGTATACCATACAATTCAAGTAAAGCATACAATTTAATGGTTTTTAGTATATTCGCGGACATATACAACCATCACCTCAGTCAATTTTAAAACATTTTCATCACCTCAAAGGGAAACCCCATGACCTTTAGTTATCACCACCCTATACTCCCCATCTTAGCCCTGAGCAACACCAACTCCTTTTTGTCTCCTTACTTGGGACTTCTACATGAATGGAATCATATAGTATGTCATCTTTTACAACCAACTTCTCTCACTTAGCATATCATTTTCAAGATTCATAAGTATTGTAGCCTACATCAGTAGTTTACTTATTTTTTTTGACCAAATCATATTTCATTGTATGGATATACCACATTTTGTTTATCTGTTCGCCTGTTGATGGGCACAGCTTGTTTTCACCTTTTGTCTATTTCAGTAGTATTGTTACAAATATTCATGTACAAGCTTTTGTGTGGACATATGCTATTAATTCTTTCTTTGGATATATGACTGGGAGTGAAATTGCTGAGTCATATGGTGACTTTTTACTTAATCTTTTGATAAACTGCTAGATTGTTTTCCAAAGCAACTTTGCGATTTTACGTTCTCACTAGCAGTGCTGAGGGCTCCAATTTTCCCATAATCTCACTAACATTTGTAATTATCTGACTTCTTTATTGTAGCCATCCTAGTGCTAGTTGAAGTGATACCTTACTGTGGTTTTGACTTGCGTTTCCATGATGACTAATGATGTTGAACATCTTTTTATATGCTTATTGGCTATTTGTGCATCTTCCTTGAAGAAATGTATATCCAGGTCCTTTGCCCATTTTAAATCTGTTTTTTTCTTTTTATTATAGATTTTTAAAAGTATTTATATGAGTATATCTTAGATTATTTAATAATATTTTTATTGTTGAGTTGTTCTTTTGAATCCTGTATATACTCCAGATACAATTCCCTGATCAGATATATGGTTTGGAAATATTTTCTCTCATTTTGTGAATTGTCTTTTTATTTTTTTGATGGTATCCTTTCAGGTAATAAGTTTTCCATTTTGATGAAGTCCAATTTATCTATTTTATATTTTGTTGCCTGTGCTTGTAGAGTCATATCCAAAAAATTATTGCCAAATTCAATGTCATGAAGATTTTTCCCTATTTTCTTTTAAGAGTTTTATAGGTTTGGCTCTTACATTTAGGTCTTTGAGCCATTTTAAGTTACGTTTTGCATATTATATAAAGTAAATCTCCAAGTTTGTTCTGCAGGTGGCTATACAAATGACTCAGTGCATTTGTTGAAAAGACTATTGCTTCCCAATTGAATGGCCTTGGCACCCTCATCAAAAATCGGTTAACCATAGGTGTATGGGTTTATTCTAGACTCTGAATTCTATTTCACTGATCTACATGTCTATTATCATGCTAATACTACACTGTCTTGATTACTGTTGCTTTATTCTAAGTTTTGGAATTGAGAAGTATACATTGTTCTATTTTGTTCTTCTTTTGCAAGAGTGTTTTTGCCATTCTGGGACCCACCCATGAAATTCCACATGAATTTTAACACTGGCTTGTTAATTTCTATAAAGAAGCTCCCTAGGACTCTAATAGTTATTGCCTTGAGTCTGTAGATCAATTTGGGAAGTACTGGCATCAGTGTTAGTCCATTTTTATGTCACTATAAAGCTATATCTGAGACTAGGTAATTTATAAAGATAAAAGTTTTAATTTGCTAATGGTTCTGCAGGATGTACAAGCATGACAACATCTTGGCTTCTGGTGAGGACCTAAGGAAGCTTACCATCATGGTGAAAGGTGAAGCAGGGGCAGGTAGGTCACATAATGAGAGTAGGAATGAGAGAGAGAGAGAGGAGAGAGAGAGGTGAGGTGCCACACTGTTTTAAATAACCAGTGCTCCCATGAACTCAGAGTGATAATTCCTTGTGATCACAAGGACCACACCAAATATTCATGAGGGATCCACTCCTGTGACCCAAGCACCTCCCACCAGGCCCCACCTCCAACACTGGAGATTACGTTTAAATATGAGATTTGGAGGGGACAAACATCCAAAGTATATCATTCCACCCTGCTCCTGCCAAATCTCGTGTTCTTCTCACAATGCAAAATATAATCATCCATTCTCAATAGTTCCCCAAAGTCTTAATTCGTTTCAGTTTTAATTTGAAAGTCCTAATTCCCAAGTCTCATCTGGAGATTTTTTTTTTTTTCCCCCACTAAGAGCCTATAAAACTGAAACAAGTTATGTTCTTCCAAGAGACAGTGCAGGTACCAGCATTGGGTAAACATTCCTGTTCCAAAAGGGAGAAATTCACCTAAAGAAAGGGGCTATAAGTCCCATGCAAGTTGGAAACCCAGCAGGGCATTTATTAAATCTTAAAGCTACAAAATAATCTCCTTTGACTTCACATCCCACATCCAGAGCACAGTAGTGTCAGAAGTGGGCTCCCAAGGCCTTGGGCAGCCCTGCCCCTGAGGCTTTGCAGGGTCAGCCCCTGTGGTTGTTCTCACCGGCTGGTGTTGAGTGCCTTGGCTTTTCCAGGTGCAAGCTGTTGGTGGATCTCTATTCTGGGGTTTGGAAGATAGTGGCCCTCTTCTCACAGCTACACTAGGCAGTGCCCCAGTGGGGACTCTGTGTGGGGACTCCAACCCCACATTTCCCCTCATCACTGCCTTACTAGAGGCTCTCTGTGGGAGCTTCCCCTATGGCTGGCTTTTGCCTGGGCACCCAGGATTTCCCATACCTCCTCTGAAATCTAGGGGGAAGCTGCCAAGCTTCTTTCATGCTTATATTCTGTGCAACTATAGGCTTAACACCATGTGGAAGCCACCAAGGCTTATGACTTGTGCCCTTCAGAACAGAGACACAAGCTGTACTGGAGGCCCTTTGAGCCTCAGCTGTAGCTAGAGCCGCTGGGATTCAGGAAACAGTGTCCTGAGGGTGAGCAGGGCAACAAGGCCCCAGACCTGACCCCTGAAACCATTCTTTCCTCCTAGGCCTCTGGGCGTGTGATGTAATGTGTTGTCTCTAAGATCTCTGAAATGTTTCCACAGCCTTTTTCCCATTGTTTCGGATATTAGCACTTGACTCTCTTTTAGTCATGCGAATCTCCTTAGCAAATGGTTGCTACATAGCCTACTTACATTCCTTTTCTGAAAATGGTTTTACTTTCTGTGCCACATGGCTAGGCTGAACTTTTATGCTCTGCTTCCAACTTTAAGTCATTTCTTTGCTTCTGTATCTGATCATAGGTTGTTAGAAACAGTCCAGCCACATCTTGAATGCTTTGCTCTTTATAAATTTATTCCATTAGATACCCTAAGCCATCACTCTTAAGTTCAAACTTCCATAGATCTCTGGGACATGGACATAAATGCAGCCAAGTTCTTTGCAGGGATGTAACAGGGGCGACCTTTACTGTAATTTCTAATAACTTCTGCATTTCCATCTGAGAATTCATCAGCACAGCCTTCACTGTTCATATCTCTGTCAGCATTTTGGTCACAACCGTTTAACCAATCTTTAAGAAGTTCCAAATATTCCCTCATCTTGCCATCTTCTTCTGAGTCCTCCCAACTCTTCCAGCCTCTGCCTGTTACCCAGTTGCAAAGCTGCTTCCATATTTTCAGGTATCTTGACAGCAACACCCCACCCCTTGGCAGTAATTTTCAGTGTTAGTCCATTTTTTCATTACTATAAAGGAATACCCGAGACTGGGTAATTTATAAAGAAAAGAGATTCAGTTGGATCACAGTTGTGCAGACTGTACAAGCATGACACCACCATCTGATTGGCTTCTGATGGGGGTCTTAGGAAGCTTATAATCATGGTAAGGCAGGCACATCACATGGTGAGAGTGGGAGCAAGGGAGAGAGAGGGTTGAGGTGCCACACATTTTTAATCCATCCGATCTTGCAAGAACTTAGAGCAAAATCTCATTATCACAAGGACAGCACCAAGCCATTCATGAGAGATCCACTGTATGACCCAAACACCTTCCACCAGGCTCCACCTCCAACATTAGAGATTACATTTCAGCATGAGATTTGGAGGGGACAAACATCCAAACTGTATCACCATACTAATGCCAAATCTCCTGATTCATTTATGTTTATTTCCCATTTATTTTGATTTTCTATAATTTTTAAAACAATGTTTTGTAGTTTTTTTAGAGTATAAGTTTTGACTTCTTGGCCACACTCACCAGAAATTAGTCTCTGCAGGTTGAGTTGGAGGATAAGAGAAATAGTGGCAGCCTGCCCATCCTGGGAAGACACATAGCAGTTTTCTGGAAAATCAGGAGTAAAGGGCCCTCTTCTTTGTTACACTCATGTGGAGCAGAGCTCCTGTCAAGCTGTGTAGCAGGAGAGAGAGAGCAGTTTGTGGCTTAAGAGCTATAGATCTTCACTATTTTACTTGAGTTTAGTAGATTTGAATAAATTATTCTTGGGTAATTCTTCTTTAGCTAAATTGTTCCTTAGGACAATTTCCAAGGTTTTAGATGCTTTGGTTTTTTTTTTTTTTTAATAGTTTCTACTAGTTATGCTTTTATCAGTGGATATGAGTTCATGGAGCTCTGCATGCTGCCAGCCTCCAAATGGAACCTTTTTAATCATCACTTTAAAAAGCCCCAGAGGATGCACACATAAGAGCCTAAGGCTCCCTGGGAATTGCAGGCCTGAGAATCCACCTGACACCAGTGCTTCAGTCCTGAACAATTGTAAGGTTGGCATTACTATTCACTGAATGGGAAAGCCTGCAGCAGAAGCTGGTTTAGGTGCCATATGAGGAGTTTGATTTTGGAAATGCTGAATTCAAAATGCCTGTCAGACATCCACATGAGATATAAGTGGGAAGATAGGTGTACAATCCTAAAACTTAGACAAGAGGCCTTTGATAGGGGTTTAATTTTGAGAAAGAACCATTTAGAAATAAGACTACTTAAAGTGACTCATAAAAATCATTTGCCCAGGTAAGATCTGACTTACTTCTGTTTTCCTGGTGTAACTATTAATGGCACCCTCTTTCTTAAATGTCCTTATTTAGAGAACAACTTACATGGTTATCCTCTTCATGAAGTGAATAAAATATTAAATCAAAGATGCCCATAATTATTTATGGCATCACACATTTTGGTGAAATAATTCAATAATGTCTTTTGTATAATGATATATTTAAATTATTTTGAGGAAGTTTTTAAGATAAAATTGTAGATACATACCTTTTGCATATTCCTTGATGATAAAAAAAAGGCATTGAACTTTTGTAAAGTGGACTTTTTTATTGGAATATCACAGATCTATAAAACATGAAATATTGTAACTAAATTCAATTAAGAACAGACAATCAATTCAGAAATCTTGAAGAATGTGGGCTCACTGGTGGAAAAAATAATTTAACAGACCTAAAGTTAATGCAGTTTGATGAATGAGAATCTTTCAAGAGTCACAGTATATTAGCATTTGATGTTGATGCTTTTAAAATACTGAGAATCATTTCGGTCAAATATTTCTCCTATTTGTGCTTTAGTTTTAGTGACTTAAATAGTGTCTAGCACATTGTATTAGTTCGTTGTCACACTGCTATGAATAATTACCTGAGACTGGGTAGTTTATAACGAAAGGAGGTTTAATTGACTCACAGTTCTGCAGGCTGTACAGGAGGCATGGCCAGGGAGGGCTCAGGAAATTTACAATCATGGCAGAAAGCAAAGGGGAAGCAAGCACATCTTTGCATGGCAGCAGGAGAGAGAAAAGGGGGAAGTGCTACACATTTTCAAACAGTCAGATCTCATGAGAACTCCATCATTATCAAAAAACAGCAAGGGAGAAGTATGCCTATATGCTCCAATTACCTCCCGTCAGGTTCCTTCCCTGACGTTGGAGATTACAATTTGACATGAGATTTGGGTGGGGACACAGAGGCAAACCATATCACACATAGTCCATAATCAATGCATACATGTTGAATGAGTGAAGAGATAATTTAATGTGATAAGACACTGTATCAGCTGTAATATATGGAATGTGTATGCTTTAATCAATTTTTTGAAAGACTACTGTGTTAAAGAAAGATAACATAATAAGGAAGGGTTAGTTAAGGTGGATAGATCTTCATAAACTCAAGTTTATGAAGTTTAGCCTCAACTGGGGCCCTAGAGTGATGACCAACTGGCACTAAGTTCCCTTTAGGGGCCCAATTCAGGTCCATTGTATAATTGCTCACTTCCAGTCATAGAGGATAGTCTTTGAACAGGAGAGACGGAGATGCCTGGAATAAGGTAAGTAATCACACTTGCAAAATGTATTAGAATGGGCTATTATTTCGATTGTACATGACTCAACGCAGATAAATCAAGCATTAAGAATTTTTTAAAAAGTCAGGGTAATGAGTTTCATTTTACTACTCTTTCTAATTTTGCTGTTTGAAAATTTTTATAATAAAAAATCTAAATGTAGATTACCACCAATTTGAACCAGTTGAGTTTATTAAATTCCTTGCACCCATGCTAATAGTAAAATAGAAATTTATATAAAGTATGTCGTACAGTACAGGGTTGTATGCACATATGTTTCATAAGCATTAGAAAATGGCATTGATATATCTAAATTAGTAATATTCTCCATTCATGGCATGGCTATTACTCAGGTTATCTAACTTGTTAATTTGAAGATATTTGGTTCAAGGGTCTCAAGGAATAAGCAGGTACTTTTAAGGAGGTGAGGTCTCAATCTTTGTTTATGACTATTTTCAACTACTGTGAGAGAAAAGAAAATATTACCAATCTATGTATGGAAGATTATTGTGTCCATTATTGTTTCTAATATTACCACCAGTTTTTCAGAGTTCATTCACAATTTACAAAACAATTGCTTTAAATAAGATTATCTTATTTTAATTTGCATTGTACAATGGCATACACTCAGTAACTAATTAAAATGGTTTCACATGGTGTTTTTTTGGTCATAAGGTCATATTGCAAGGAGTGGTGAAGATCTAAACAAATGGGTTCATTAAAAAAATCAAGTATTGATGGCTTCACTTCTGTGGCCATGATGATACAAAAATTCCTCCATTGTTTATTGTCCTCTCCCCCAAAAGTCAGTACAATATTGTACCACAGGGAGCCAACAGGGTTATGTGGAGGTATCAGGGAGAAAGTGGAGGGAAATCAGAAGAAACTAAAGTGAGGAATAGGTGTGTAAAATGAGATTCATTGTAATATACAGTTATCCCTTGGTATTCACAGGGGTTGGTTCCAGGACCTCCATCAAATACCAAAATTCAAAGATGCTCAAGTCCCTGGTATAAAATGGCACATGGCATTTGAGCATCACCTATGCACACCCTCCCATACACTTTAAGTCATCTCTAGATTACCTATAATGCCTAATGCAGTGTAAATGCTGTGTAAATAATTCTTACACTATATTTTTTATTTTTATCTTGTTTCACTGTTGTTTATTTATTGTGTTTTTTTCTTCTGAACATTGCTGAATCACACAATGCAGATGGGGGGATTAATTGTCAGTGAGGACATGTAGGGGAGAGTGTGGAATCTAAGAAGCAAATTATTTATGGACGAGCAGCAGTTGCTAACCGTTTTATGGTTTGAATTTACTGTAGCCTGACATCCATCAGGAAAGTGTTCTGTGCTTAAATGGATTCCTTGCTGATCTCAATCGTTCTGAAGCAGCAAGGGGAATACACATTTTTCTCAAACTATCCATTAGAAGCATCTATATCTAAGTAAGTGTACTGGACAGAAAGCTAAATTACATATAATATCTTTTTTGCAATTTGGAAAAAAATTACAAATGGACTAAAATGGCTTTGTCCAGATTACATAATTATGTATATTGTAATAACTTTTTGGCACAAAGAAGAAAATCCTTTTAAATAATACATGATATATAAGAGATTCAAATTTCATAAAAACCAAAAATGTAACAATGATCAACGGTGGCATGCCAAAGGTGGGACAGTAGGAATGCCCATCGTAGATTTATTTAGTAATGGGGAGGGGTGGAGAGGGTGGGGTTTGGGAGGTGGGAGTACATTATCAATGGAGAATAATAATAAAAAGAAAATCTAACCCGAATCTGTCTGCTTCTATTATTACTGTGCTTTGCCTTTTGTTGGCTTAAGTTCTAGATCAGGGCTGCAAACTTTTTCTATAAATGGCCAGCTAGAAAAGATGGTAGGCTTTACAAGCCCTACATGTCTGTTGCTGCAGCTCTACCTTGTATCTGGAAAGCAGCCATTGACAATAAGCAGATGATGGGCATGGCTTTATTGGCTCCTGCTTTCCCCAGGAAAAGAGCAGGTGTCCCCACCCAGAACTGTGTGCCTTCTGAGTGCCTGGTGTGGAGAGTGGCTTCCTTTCCATTGGCATCGGCCTTAGCCATGAGTCTTGTGAGCAGACAGGACCCACAATGCATCCATGTGGATGCTTTAGGAGTACAGTTGGGCTGCCTTTGACCTCTCCCCTCTGCAGTGAGATGAAGTACAGATGGACCAGCTCCTTTTACATGCAGGCCGGAATGAAGAAAACACTAGGGAGAGGAGCAAAAGTGCCTCTCTTTTGGAGCCGACTGTGAAGCTTTTTTGTATGGCAATGCAAGTTTGAGATAGCATGCTTCCACAGTAAAACTTAGTGAAAGACGATGGATATATTTTCATCTTAACCCGTATCAATCTTAGACTGTAGGAAGAGGGGAAGCCTGAAGGCAGTTTCAGAAACTGTTTTTTGCTCATGAGAAACATGATTTCACAGTATTTCCAACTTCTAAATGAGCTGCCAGGGAGCAGAATTTTAAAGCAATGGAACTTCTGTGAGACATTCAATTCTTCCTTCCACGTATTAATCCTCATCTACTGAAATAGCAAACTCAATAAAGATTTGAAATCATCCACTTATGACTTAGGTTAGACTAAAGCCTTACATCTCTTCTTCCAATAATCTCTATATAAATCTATCTGATGCTGTGATAGAGACCATTATTTTGCACCTACTGAACAGACTCATGCAGACTTCTGAGCAATATTTATTAAACTTAATTCCTTTTGTTGACTTCTGTAGGGGACAGAGATGGTTGGAATTATTTTAATATTATAAGCCTTACACAAATAGGCTGTAGTTCCAATATATTTTATTAGGAGAGAGAATTTGCCCAATAATAATTATTGATAGAAAGATGCTTGGAAAAAAATGTAATTTCAAGCCACTTGAAATCTAATTATATAGTTTCCATTTTGTTCCAATCAGTGCAAGATGAAGACAGGGATTTTGTTTCCATTGTAAATGGCTCAGAGTGGGTCATTGTCTTAGTCAGTTTGGAATGCTATAACAAAGTACCACAGACTGGGTGGCTTGTAGACAACAGAAATTCATTTCTCACAGTTCTGGAGGCTGGAAGTCTCAGGTCCGGGTGCCAGCATGGCCAGGTTCTGGTGAGGGCCCTCTCCAGGGTTACAGACTGCCAATTCCTCATTGTACCCTCATGGTGGGAAGAAGTCAAGAGAGCCTTCTGAGGCCCCCCCGTTTTTAAAACATTGTACTTATTTATTTGAGACAATGTCTTGCTCTGATACCTAGGCTGGAGTGTAGTGGTGACATCATAGCGATCACTCAAGTGATCTCACGCCTCAGCCTCCCCGCCCCCAGTGAGTAGTTGGGACTGCAGGTGTGCACCACCATGCCTGGCTAACTTTTTAAATTTTTTTGTAGAGAGGAGGTCTCACTTTGTTTCTCAGGCTGGTGTCAAACTCCTAGCCTAAAGCGACCCTCACACTTCAGCCTCCCAAAGTACTGGGATTGTAGGCAAGAGTCACTGCCTAGCCTGAGGTACTTTTTATAAGGCACTAATCCCATTCATAAGACTCCGCTCATGACCTGATCACCTCTCAAAGCCCCCACCTTATAATACCATCACCTTGGGCATTAGGATTTCAACATATGAATTTTGAGGGTACACAAGCATTCAGTCCATTGCCATTCTCAATAAACTGAATCCATCTAACAAATTCTTACTGAGCAATGTGCTAGACATTGGGTGTTCAATGATGAGCAGAGCAGACAGAAATTTTGCCATCATTGAACTCTGGAATAACACACACACACACACACACACACACACACACACCAGAGAGAGACGTGAATCAATTAATCACACAAACACAATTAACACTGCAATTCTCTTTAAGGATATGAAGAAGAAAAACATTGTGTTTGGAGAATGTATTACAGGGGAATTTGCCTAGCTTGAGGATCCAGGAAGGTTACCCTGAAGACTAGACATTTGATCTACTCTGGGAAGAGTAACAGTCACTAGGTAAAGAGACGTAAAGAAGTGTTCCAGGCAGAAGGGACGGTGTATACAGAAATCCTATGGTGGAGAAAGCATGCTGGATACTTATGCCTGAGGCAAGGCCAGCGTGTACCACCTGGTGGTAAACATGGTGCAAGATAAGACTAGAAGAGGGGGCCATACCCCACAGGCCTTGTAGGCCAAACTAAGGAATTTTATGTTAATTAGAGTGAGTTAATATTCCCCATGAGGAGGAGAGGCTGGATGCCACCAAATTGTGTTTGGAAAACCACTCTTGTAAGAGTGAAAGGTAACATAGCTGACTCCATCTTGCTTCCAACCTCATAAGCAAACTGCTTTTACTCATTCCTGAAAGTAGGCCAAGCTAACCATGAAAGGTATTTAGTTTATAGTTTAACTATAACGATGATTACAGTCTCTTCCCAGTACTACCCCTGAAAAGGTAAGGAGGGTGTGTACAAAAGTAATCACGTTTAAAGATTTATAGAAGCATTGTGACCTGACCAAGTGCAAAGACATTTTGCCAACTTCTCCAACCTCTGCTGACACCCAGATATCTGTGGTCACCTGTTACCTCCTGACTTCAATGCCCTCCTTATTCCCCTTCCACTAATATAAAAAGAAGCTTGAGATTCATGTCTTTTAAGATGATTCTGTAGGACATTAGTCCACCATCTTCTTGGTTTGCTAGCTTTCTGAAATAAAGTCACCTTCTTGCCCCAATACCTGTCTCTTGACTTGTTGGCTATCAAGTGGTGAATGGCACAAGCTTTAGACTCAGCTACACTCTGGCTGCAGGAAGTGAACAAATGGGATGCAGAGCAGGAGAGGGTGCAGGTGTACTATCTAGTAAGTTGCTGCAAGTGCACAGTTAGGAGATCATTGGGGTGATCCAGGTGAAAGTCTACTGGGTCATAGGCTAGGGATGGTGGCTGTGGAAAAGAGAGAAGACATTAAATTTGAGGTTAGCTTTTGACACACACAAGAAGAGATGTGAAATAAAGAGTCAAATATAGAGGTCTGGAGCTCAGAGAGTTCTGAACTGAGACACAGACAGGCAAGTCATTAATATCTTACACACAGATATCAGGTTATTTAGGGAGACAGTACACAGTGAGAAGCAGAGAGAGTTTAGGCTTGAACTCTGAGGGAGGCTAACTTTTATTATATTTTGCAGGTTTTCAGCCATAATTTCTCTGAATATGTGTCATACTCTTTTCTCTGTCTCCTGTCATTCTGTGACATCCATTATGCATATGTTGCTGTGCTTTACAGTGTCCTACATTTCTCTGGGCACTGGTTTTGGCAGGGGTCTTTTTGCCTGTTGCTTGTCCTGACCACACCCAACTGGTAGACTCTATTAATTGCTGGCTGATTGCCCTGTTGTTTTCGTCAATGCCCTGAGTCATCAATTGCCCCGTAGATCAAACCAATCATATTAGGCTTCTTTAAATGAATAATTTCTGTGGTCCATGTACGATATTTGTTCTGATCCCAGGCGGGTTCCTCCGGGCTATCTCTTTTCTGGGTTCTCTTGGGCAAACTAGCTGACCTGCAGTTTCTTGTGTATTTTCAATTAGTCTAATCTTTCAGTTAATCTATCTCCTCTTAGTTGGCTTTGATGATGACTTCCACTATTTTTGAGAGTGCCCTTAGGCTTGAACCTCTCTACACGCTGTTGCAAATGGAATCAGTTTCTTTGGGAAGGGATTAGTAGCTTCAGGTTTATGGCCTGTTTCTCCCCTTAGGCAAAACTTCTGAGCCAGGAATCTGTAGCTGAGGATGAGGACAACAGTGCACTTCTTTCTGAGCGACATTTCCACTAAAGGAGCTGAGTGCTTGGTGGAGGTAGCAGGCAGTAGATTCATGTCTTCTTGGCTTGCCTCTCCTGGCAAGGAACCAGTGCCTTATGAGCTAGCACAAAGGCAGTCCAGACCCTGGTATTCTCAAGGTAGAGCGTCTGTCATATGGGTGAGGGCTGGGCAGAAGAAGGGGGAGCTTGCACCTTTTGGCCATACTCACCTGGAACTTGGAGCCTCAACAACAGTTAGCTTGAGGCAGAATGAGAAATGCTGACATCCTTCCCCTCCTGGGAAGAAAGCCCTCTTACTAGCTGCTAGGAGGAGAGGAGCTGTTTTCTTGGCTGCCCCAGTCTGTAGTAGAATTTCTATCACACTGAATTGGGACAGGGGAGGAAGGGAGTGAGTTTCAATGTAAATACCACAGACTCACTATTCTTACCACATTTTTAAAGATTTTCTTCATTTATTTCTTCTTTTGCTGTATGCTTTTGGGACCATTTCCAGAAACTTTAAATGGTTGTTTTAAAAAGATGTTTGCCATTTTTGCTGGTGGCAGGGGTTGCGGGGGGGCAGATGTCTGCATGGTTTCTCATAGTGTGATGCTGGAAGTTTCTCTCTGAAAACCTAACTTTGAGCAGCAGGGATAGAAGAGAATCCCTGCTGTCCTTCAGCAAGCTGCTGAAGGAAAGAAGCATAGACCAGTGAGGTAGAGAAAAATGAGAAGCTGTGTCATCAAAGCCAGGAGACCATTTCTGATAGGTCAAGCAAGACTGAAAATGTGCATTGTGATGTACACAGGAAGTCAGAGGCATTGTTAGTTTTGGTGGATTGGTGGTTCTGGAAACCAGTTAGGAGTACGGTGGGATGGGAGCTAGGCAAAGAAGTGGATATAAAGACTATAGATAACTTTTGTATTTTTAAAATATAAAATATGTAATTAGAAAATAATGTGTAATGATCACCTATGTACCTGCCACCTAGCTTTATCAGTTCTTAATGTTTCATCATATTTGCTTTAGATTAAAAAAATATACAGAGTGACTCGACTTTCCCTGTATACTCCTTCTCAATCCCACTTCCTACCTTCCAGAGATAACCATTATTGTTAATTTGGTGTGTTTCACTTCTGTGTATTATATGTAATCCTATCACTTCATTTATATGTTTGTATAAATAACATACACTATTGCTTTGCAGGTCTGCAATCTGAATAGAAATGGTATTATATATCATATTGCTTTCTGCAACTTGCTTTTTTAAGCTCAATATTATACTTTAGAAATTTATTGATGTATCCATTGAAGATGTAGCTCAGGTTTATTTATATTATAAACATGCCTTAATTTAGCAACTTGCACTGATGAATGTTTAAAATGTATCCAAGTTTTTATAATTACAAACAGAGTTGCATTGAACATTCCTGTATGTGCCCCCTTGCATGCCTGTGTCCAACTATTCCTGGGAATGGGAATGCTGTGATGGGAGGTCACATACCTGGAGTTTTCCCAGAGCATGCTGGTGGCTCTCACAGTAACACCCACAGCAGTGAGCTTCTGTTACCTTCACATTCTCATCCTCAACACTTGGTGTTGTCAGACTTTCTAACTTGGCCTTTCAGATGGATGGGAAAAGGTATCTCACTGTGGCTTTAATTTGTTTTTCCTTACTTTTTTTTTCTTTAAGATGAGTTTTCACTCTGTCACCCAGGCTGGAGTGCAGTGGGGTGATCTCAGCTCACCACAACCTCTGCCTCCCAGGCTCAAGCGATCTTCCCGCCTTAGCCTCCTGAGTAGCTGGGACCACAGGTGTGTGCCAGCACACACAGCTATTTTTTTGCGTTTTGGGTAGAGACAGGGTTTTGCCATGTTGCCCAGGCTGGTCTCAAATCCTGAGCTCAAGTGATCCACCTGCCTCGGCCTCCCAAAGTGCTAAGATTACAGGCGTGAGCCACCACACCTGGCCTGTGGCTTTAATTTCTTTTCCCCATTACTCATGAAGTTGAGCATCTTTATGCTACTTTCTGGCAACTTGATTTCCTCTTCTGAATTGCTTTTTTATCTTGTTGCCTGTTCTTCTCTGGAGATTTTTATTATTTTCCTTATTGACTTACAGGAATTCTTTATGTATGCTGGGCTCTAATCTTTTGTCAGGAATGTGCATTACAAATACATTTTTCCAATCTGTGCCTTATTCCTCAGTTTGTTTTGTTGTCTTTCTTTGAACAGATGTGTTAAATTTTAATGTGTTCAGGCATATAAATGTCTGCTTTTATGGTTTGTTCTTATTGTTTTTGTTATTTGAAACAGGCTATTTTGTTTTGGTTTTCTCTTTTTATATTATCACTGATGTTAGAAGAGGGGGTGGATCAAAACATGAATTTATTACTCCATCTGGATATTCGAATTAGCTCTTAAAGACATGAAAGGCCAAAGGGAGATATGATACTGTGTTAGGTACAGTGAGGGTCACATTAGAGTGCACTTAAAAGTGTCAGGAACTTACAAAAAAACAACGGGAAGGATCTTATCAAAGTAGGAAATGGCTAATTCAAGCCAGCAGAAGGAATTCATCTACTCGGGATGAAGAGGTTGAATGTGCAGAGATAAGATTAGATTACTGTGCATATTCACACATAATCATTATATAGGTGTACTGGGTTCCTGAAAAACTGGAAAGCAGTGGAACAAATGGCCAGGGGAGTTCTGGCCCCAGATAGGAGGAAGGGCAGCATCCCTACTGTTAATGAAAGACGGGAAGCCGGGGTGTGTGAGATGCACCTGGTTCGGAAGGCGAGGCTGTCTCACCTGACTTCTTTTTCTCTGCAAATAGAAATAATTCATCCTCTGCTGAGAAAGAGGCTGGGATGGAAGAAGAATGATGACTTTCATCTTTTGAGAAAAGCAGAGCAACTATGAAACACTGAAGGGTTGGGAGAATGAGTTGAGTAGAGGAATCTAGTAGGTTTTCCAGTGTCATCAAAGTCCCACATGAAGTATTTAAAAATTCATAATAAAATCAGTTATCACTGTGGTGTGATCTTCTTCAGCAGCAGTTGGTTCTCAGGGGCAAGCATAGAAGCAGAAAGTCAAGAGGAATTAAGGCAATTGTGCCACTGGACAATGATCGTGGAATACAGGCTGAATAAAGTAAGTAAAGGAAGAAAATGATCATGGATAGAGGGAAAGTGGAGAGGAGATAAAACTTCATAACTCAGGGAGGAGTTGCCAAGCAGGCTGGAAAGAGAGCAATTGTAGGCGAGTGGTGTCTGAGTTAATGATTTTTGGACTTGGCACCGTTACAAGAAATGAAAAGGTCCAGAGTGCAGTTATGTGTTGGACACCTGATAGCAGTGGAGGAAAATGGGTTTTGAGATTAGCACTTTGTGAAAATCAAAATGTCAAATTCAACTATTGGCAGAGCTTGGGGGTAGGAAAAAATGCAAGCCAGGTGCCAGAGTTGGTCAGCCAGTGGGGAGGGTGAACCAGAGTTCAGCAAGGAGGAGCAGCACGTACAGTTTTAAAAGAGCAAGGTTATTTTTATTTTTATGTATTCTTTTGATTGCTTTACAATAAAATGGAAGGTTGAGGGAAGTAAGAAGCATCTGAACTCTACTTTCTGACCCTGAGGTATCTGAGGTGGCAGGAATGCCTGATCTCTATGTGGAATAGGGTACCTACAGGAAGGGTCACTGGCAAAGGCTTGGGAGTGCTGTTCTGTGGTCCTATGAAGCTGGGGCCCATAGGTCACAGTCGAAGATTTGGGGAGGTAGGAGGGCTGGGGCAGGGCAAGGACGCATGCAACACTGAGGGCATGAGGGTGCACTCAAGGATTGCAGAATGTGGCAGGAGTGGCAGCTCCACTTCACTCACAGGCTGAAGAAAACTGGTATAATTACATCAGTGGATTCAGACTGAGGAGAAGGGACACTGTGTCTCCCCACCAGAGGACCCATCGCATGTGCTTGGGTGAGGGCAGCCTGGGAAGAGAAAGATCCCATATCCTGCCTGGACAGCTAACAGACCAACACTTTGCAATGGCTGACTTCTGAGTCTCTGCCTGACAAGGGACCAGCATTGAACAATTCTACACAGCTCCTGGGGCTAATGGTGGAGAGAGGAGTTGCTTGGAGACGCAGCTCACTTAGGACTCATGTGGCAGAGTGGCAGGAGTGGATTTGGGGAGAAATTGGGCCTGCCTAAGGCGATAGCTGCCTGGTGATCATGTGGAACCATGATACCATCTTCTTAGGCCAGTGGAACAAATACGATATTATTTATGTATGATTAGCAATTCGATTGCCATTCAGATTTGAGTTTATTACCTTATCATTTGTTTAAATATCAGTAAACTATATTTTTATACAATTTTACATTTATAGGAAGTTGAGTAGAAAGTACAGAGATTTTCCACATACTCCCTCTCCAACCCTAGAGTTTTCTCCATTACTAACATGTTGCATTGGTGTGGTACATTTTTTACAATTGATAAACCAACATGAAAGTATTGTTAAAGTCCATAGTTTACATTAGGGCTCATTGTTTGTGTTATATATTCTATAGGTTTTGAGAAATGTATAATGTCATGTATCCACCAATACAATATGATATGGATGGAATAGCTTCACTGTCTTAAAAAATCCTCTGTGGTCCACCTGTTCATTCCATCCCACCTTTCACCCACTTCTCAACCCATGACAAACACTAATCTTTCTGCTGTTTCTATAGTTTTGCCTTTTTCAGAATCCCCTGTAACTGAAATCATACAGTATATAGCCTTTTCATATTGGCTTCTTTCACTTTGGAAAGTGACATAAGGCTTCTCTATGTCTTTTTGTGGCTTGTTAGCCCATTTCATTTTTATTGCTGAATAATATTCCATTGTATGGATCTACCATACATTGTTTATCCATTCATGCATTAAAGGATGTCTTGGTTTTTTTCAGGTGTCGGCAATGATGAATACAGCTACTCTAAACATGCATGTGAAGGTTTTGGTGTAGACTTAAGTTTTCATTTCACTTGGGAAAGTACTAAGGAGTGTCATTGCTGGATCTTACAGTTAAGATTATGTTTAGTTTTGTAAGAAACTGTCAAACTGTCTTCCAAGGAGTTGTTCTATTTTGCATTCCTACCAGCACTGAATTTCTGTTGCTCCATATCTTTGGCAGCACTTGGTGTTGTCAGTGGTTTAAATTTTGGCCATTCTACAAGGTGGGCAGTGGTATCTAATCATTGTTTTAATTTACAATTTCCTAAGATGCTGTTGAGCATCTTCTCGTATGCTGATTGTCAACTGTATTATCTTCTTTCATGGCTTCACATTTTTTTGGCCACTTGTTTAATTGGGTTGTTTTCTTGTTGTTGAATTTTAAGAGTTCTTTTTATATTTTAGATAACAGTCTTTTATCAGATACGTGTTTTGCAAGTATTTTCTCCCAGACGGTGGGTTGTCTTTTCATTCTCTTAACAGTGTCTTCCACAGAGAAGTTTTAATTATGTCCAATTTATCAATATTTTATTTCATTAATTGTGCTTTTGATGTTGTATCTAAGTCACGCCAAACACAATGTTAACTATTTTATCTCCCAAATACAACCTTCCAGAAATTTTATAGTTTTGTATTTTACGTTTAGGTATATGATTATTTTTGAGTTAATTTTTGTGAAAAGCATAAGATCAATGTCTAGATTTATTTATTTACTTTTTGCATGTGGATGTACAGTTGTTCCAGCACTATCTTTTGAAAAGACTATATTTTCTCCATTTTATTACCTTTGCTCCTTTGCCAAAGATCAGCTGGCTACATTTATGTGGGTCTATTTAAGCGCTCTCTATTCTGGTTTATTGACCAATTTGTCTATTCTTTTATAATACCACACTGTTTTGAAGTGAGGTGATGCCAGTCCTCTGACTGGCACTTCTTTTCTGAACGTTGTTTTGGCTATTCTGGGACTTTTCCCTCTCCATGTAAACTTTGAGATCAGTTTGTTCATATCCACAAGTAACTTGTTGGGATTTTGATTGGGTTTGTATTGAATCTATATATTACATTGGGAAGAACTAATATCTTGATGATATTGAGTCTTCTATCCGTGAACATGGAATATTTCTCAATTTTTTAGAACCGCTTTTTTTCATCAGAGTTTTGTAGTTTTCCTTATATATATCTTTGTTTTAAAATGTAGGGTTTTTTTTTGTTGTTGTTGTTTTTTTAAATATGACCCAATAATTCTATTTCTGGGCATATGTCCAAGGGAGGTAAAACCAGTATGTCAAAGACATATCTGCACTTCCTTGTTATTGAAGCATTATTCACAGTAGACAAGATAAGGAATCAAATGAAGTGTCCACTGAAGGATGAATGGATAAAGAAAATGTGACACACACCACACACACACACACAAACACACACACAATGGAATACCATTCACCCTTAAAAGATAAGGAAATTCTATTATTTGTGACAACATGGATGAAACTAGGGGACATTATGCTGAGTGAAGTAAGCCAGGGACAGAAGGAGAAATAATGCATGATCTCCCTTTTGTGTAGAATCTAAAGTAGTTGAGAAGTAGAAGCAGACAGTAGAATGGTGGTCACCAGAGCCTGATGGTAGGGGTGAGGGGAATAAATGTGGAGAGGTTGGCCAAAGAGTACACAGTTTCAGTTAAACAGGATAAACAAGTTTTGGTGATCTATTTACAGCATGACGACTATAGTTAACAATAATGTATTAAATATTTGAAAATTGCTAAGATGGTAGTTCTTAAATGTTCAATGTTCTCACCACAAGAAAGATAAGTATGTGAGGTGATGGCTACGTTAATTCACTTGATTTAGTCATTTCCCAGTGTGTGTGTGTATTTAATATTGTACACTGAAAATATGCAGTATATAATTTTTATCAATCATACCTTAATAAGGCTTAGGGAAAAGAAATAGAAATGGAGGTTTTTTCTCACACGTCGGTGTGGAGAGAGCACCAAACAGGTTTTGTGTGAGCAACAAGGCTGTTTATTTCACCTGGGTGCAGGTGGGCTGAGTCCGAAGAGAGTCAGCAAAGTGTGGTGGGATTATCATTAGTTCTTAGAGGTTTTGGGATAGGCGGTGGAGTTAGGAGCAATGTTTTGTGGGCAGGGGGTGGATCTCACACAGTACATTCTCCAGGGTGGGGAGAATTACAAAGAACCTTCTTAAGGGTGGGGGAGATTACAAAGTACATTGATCAGTTAGGGTGGGGCAGAAACAAATCACAATGGTGGAATGTCATCAGTTAAGGCTATTTTCACTTCTTTTTGTGGATCTTCAGTTGCTTCAGGCCATCTGGATGTATAGTGCAGGTCACAGGGGATCTGATGGCTTAGCTTGGGCTCAGAGGCCTGACAGGTTTTATTATTATTCAAATACGGTGAGCATAGCACATAAGGAGATGACTGCCATTGAAAAGATAGTTTGTCACTCATCATTCCCAAGAGGAGAGGGCACACCACATCATGAAGGCACCACACGAGGAAGTGCTAAGGTTGGTCAGGAAGCAGAAAGAGGGAGGAAAATATAACAAGAGGCTTTATTGTGGTTTCTGTGACGAAAAATGGCTAAGGCAGGCTAAGCATGTAGGATTGGCACATTTGAATAATTCAGCAGGCTCTCAGGTGTAGGGTATCCAGACCTGGTGTAATTAGGGCATGGAAATATTCGCCCTGAGTGTGAGAGTTCCATAGAGAAAATTTGGGGGTGGAGGGGGGGCAGGGGATATGGACTTTGGATTGCTTAGTTTGCATATGAAATGCACGCTCTTGGGCGAGTTGTTTACTATCTCTAGAAATTAGCTAACACTGGGAGGGGCAGATCTTCCCTGGTCAGGGAAGCGTTAGATAACAGAGCATCAAAAATACAGAAAATGATATAATTAACATAATCTTGTGCATACTTTGTTAGATTTATGTCTAAGTATTCCAATTTTTGGTATTAATGTACAGGGTGTTATCTTAAGTTTCAAATTCCAGTTGTTCATTTTGGGTATATAGCAAAGCAATTGACTTTTGTATATTAACCTTGTATCCTGCAGCCTTGCTATAATCACTTGTTAGGTCCAGTAGATTTTTGATGATTCTTGGAAATCTTTTACATAGGCAATCATGCCATTTGTGAATGAAGTTTTATTTCTTCCCACTCAATCTGTATACCTTTTATTTGGTTTTCTTATTTGTTGCATTAGCTTGGATTTCCAGTACAATGTTGAATAGTTGTAGTGAAAGAGAACATTTTTGCCTTGTTCCTGATCATAGTGGGAAAGCATCTAGTTTCTCATCATTAAAATGTTAGCTGTAGGTTTTCTGTAGATGTTCTTTATCAAACTGGAGAGTTTTCTTCTATTCCTAGTTTGCCGATAATTTTTAATCCTGAATGAATGGGTGTCACATTTTGTCAGATGCTTTTTATGCGTCTATTGATATGATCGTATGATTTTTCTTGTCTAGCCTGTTGATATGGTGGATTAGATTAATCGATTTTTAAATGTTTAACCATCCTTGCTTACCTGGAATAAATCTCACTTTCTGTGGTGTAAACTCCTTTTTACACATTATTATATTCAATGTGCTAATATTTTGTTGAGGGTTTGGTGTATATGTTCATGAGAAATGCTGGTCTATTGTTTTCCTTTTTTGTCATGTCTTTGTTTTGGTAATAGGGTAATGCTGGTCATAGAATGAGTTAGAAAGTAGTCCCTCTGTTTCTACTTTCTGAAAAAGATGGTAGAGAAATGATGTAATTTCTTCCTTAAATATTTGGTAGAATTTACCAGTGAACACATCTGGGCCTGATGCTTTCTGTTCTGGAAAGCTACTAATTATTGCTTCAATTTTTAAAAAATAGATATATTTTATAATGTTAAATTGTCAGCTGTAGGTTTTTTGTAGATGTTCTTTATCAAACTAGTTTCCTTCTATTCCTAGTTTGCTGATAATTTTTCATCATAACGAATGGGTGTTAAATTTTGTCAAATGCTTTTTATGCATCTATTGATATGATCATATGATTTTTCTTGTCTAGCCTGTTGATATGGTGGATTAGATTAATCGAGTTTTAAATGTTTAACCATCCTTGCTTACCTGGAATAAATCTCATTTTTAAAATAGATATATTTTAAAAATTGAACCTGTTTAGGTTATCAATTTTTCCTATGTGAGTTTGGTAGCTTGTATCTTTTTAAGAAGTAGGTCCATTTCATGTAAGTGATAAAATCTGTGGGTAAAGAGTTGTTAGTAATAGCTTTTATTATCCTTTTAATGTCTGTGGGATCAGTAGTGATGGCTTCTTCATTTTTAATGTTAGTGACTTAACGTCGTCTACTTTCTTGGTTACCCTGGTTAGAGGTCTATCAATTTTATTGGTCTTTTCAAAGAACCAGCTTTTGTTTTTATTGACTTTCTCTATTGTTTTTTTTCTGTTTTTAATTTTATTGATTTTTATTATTTCTTTTTTTCCCACTTATTTTGCATTTACTTTTTTAAAAATTTTATAGTTTTTTAAGGTGAAAGTTTAGATTACTAATTTTAGAGTTTTCTTCTTTTTAAATACATGCATTCAATGTTATAAATTTCCCTTTAAGCACTGCTTTCATTACATTCCACGTGTTTTGATAGGTTGTATTTTTAGTTTCATTTGTTTAAAGAGTTTTTAAGTTCCTGTTGAGAATTCTCTGACCATGTATTATTTAGAAATATGTTGTTTAATCTCCAAACATTTTGGGCTTTTCTAGGTATCTTTCTGTTGTTAATTCTAGTTTAGCTTCATTGTGGTCTGAAAACATATTTTGCATGATGTCTATTCTTTTAACTTTGTAAGTTGTGTTTTATGGCCCAGAATGTAGTCTGTCTTAGTAAATGTCCCATGTGAGCTTGAGAAGAATGTATATTCTGCTCTTATTGCATGATGTATTCAATAAATGTCAATTAGATCAAATTGATTGATGGTGGTGTTCAACTCTACTCTCAATGATTTTCTGCCTGCAGAATGGGTCAATTACAGATACAGAAGTAGTGAAGTCTCCAACTTACGGTAGTAAATTTGCCTATTTCTCCTCGCAGTTTGATCAGTTTTTGCCCCATGTATTTTGATGCTCTGTTGTTAGGCACACACATTAAGGATTGCTATCTCATCGTGGAGAGCTGGGCCCTTTATCATAACATAATACACCTTTTTATCCCTGATGAGTGTTTTATTTTTGCTCTGCATTTGCTCTGTCTGAAATTGAGTCACCTACTCCCCTTTCTTTTGATTAGTGTTATGGCATGTTTGTCTTCATCTCTTTACTTTTATCTGTCTTTATATTTAAGTGGGCTTCTTATAGACAACATACATTTGGATATTGTGGGGAAGGGTTATCCACTCTTAGAGTCTCCAACTTTTAATTGGTATATGTAGAACATTCACATCTAAGATGATTATTGATATTGTTGGATTAATATCTACTACATTTATAACTTTTCTATTCATCTTTCTTGCTTTCTTTTTCTTCTTGCAATCATTTTCTGCTTTCTTTGATTTTAAATGATCATTTTATATCATTCTGTTTTCTCTCCTATCGATTATAATTCTTTCAAAAAATATTTGGTGGTTTCCCTAGAGTTTAAATAAATTCTAGCTGGGTGCGGTGGTTCATTCCTGTAATCCCAGCACTTTAGGAGGCTGAGGCAGGTGGATCACGAGGTCAAGAGATCGAGACCATCCTGGCCAATGTGGTGAAACCCTGTCTCTACTAAAAATACAAAAATTAGCAGGGCGTGGTGGCGCATGCCTGTATCTCAGCTACTTGAGAGGCTGAGGCAGGAGAATCACTTGGACCCGGGAGGTGGAGGTTGCAGTGAGCCAAGATCGTGCCATTGCACTGCAGCCTGGCTACAGAGCGAGACTCCATCTCAAAAAATAATAATAATAATAATAATAATAATAATAATAATAATAAATAAATTCCATGAAATAACAATAGCATCATCTGTTTTAGGAATTAAGAGTGCTTTGTAAAATATAAATTTAATTTACAAATATTGGGATTTAAAGACATTTAATAAGGATTATATACAAAATGATATTTCAATAGTTCAGTCAATGGAAAAATAGAGAACAAAACACTGTTCTTTGCCCAAATTTTCTTCTTTAAACAATTTGTGTAAATTTGTGGGGTATAAGAGAAAATTTGTTACATGTATATAATGTGTAGTGATCAAATCAGGGTATTCAGGGTTTTCATCACCTAAGTACAATATACTTTTTTAAAATATAGTCATCCTACTCTGCTAATTCAAACCTTGAATTGAGTGTTTTTTAATTGCTGATTAAAATTCTTCATGGCTTTGCATCTATCTTGAGATTTATTCTACATATCTTCAAAGTAAAAGCAATATTACATTTTGTTGCTTCCATTGTCATGCTATTATAATTGCTTTTTCCATATTAGTGCAAAACTTTTTATAAACACAATTTGAATGGAGGTGTAACATCCATTTAAGATGCCAACATTTATTCACTGATCTCTCTATGATTGACCAATTATTTCCAATATTCCACTGTTATAGTAAATACTGTGATAAGCCCCAATATGGGAATCTTTCCCCATATTTAGGATTATTTATCTAGAATATTTCCTGAATAGCGTTTACCTGGCTGCAGTGTACAGTTTTAAGGGTCCTAAGCTATACTGCCAAACTGTCCTCTTGAAAAGGTACACCGGTTTACAGTTGTGCTAGCAAGATGTGAGCCTGCTGATTTCATTTGACTCCTTATCAGTGAGTTTATATAAACAACATTTACTAATTTCATGAGCAGTTTTCTGTATTTTCTTATTTAAAGTTTTAAAATTCCATAGCATCCTATTTGTTCCCAACTGTAAAGGAGTACGAACTTGCTTATCAGCACACTAGGGAGAAGGGATATGTTTTATTCTACCTTTGTTTAGTAATTATTAAAATAAAAATTTCAAACACACCTTGTGTTCCTTTCCCTGTGATGTATATACTTATTTGTATACACATTTTCAAATCAAAATCATTAGCTGATTATCTCAAGAATAAACAAACATTCAATCAGACACCATTAGTATTCATACTGGAAACAACTAACATCTTCATTGTGAATGATCAAAATTGCCCAGCCTGCAGAGAAGAGATGAAGCAGAGACAATTGCTATAGAAACTAAGGGTACAATGCCTTTCAGATTGCAGGAAGAGCGTGCATTTCTGCTTCCTGCACACCTGTTTTCATTTGTGCTTTCAGATTGAAAGTTTATGGTGAGTCCCAGCAACAGCTTGAACTATATGTGAAAACAATAATTGCTTTAGCCATTGGCTTCATTATAACAAGTGTAGTTGAGAAATATTTTACAGTCTGCAATAAGAAGGAATAAAGGGTGACTTTTCTTTTTTATGTGTGTTGGAGCACCTTCCCTGCACCTGCATTGGCACTGACATCTACCCAAGCACATATCGAATATATAATTTGGGGAAGCAGGCTCTAGCAAGAAGCAGCATATTGCTAATGATTTACCTAAAATATCTTTTTTTTTTTTTTTTGGTTAATTCTCTCCTTTAATCCTGATCACAACTCTCTGGGGAAAGGAGGAGGCTTGCAGGAGACAGGTTTGAGCTCAGGACAGTCTCCTGGTATGAGATTATGAGTTTAACTCTTGAAATCCAGAGCTCTTACTCTTCTGATGCCAGAATGTCTGCCCCTCATCTCTCAAATAAGATCCACAGACAGAAATCTACTTTTCATTTTCTTTCCCTGATAGCTGGAGGTGCTGATGTGACTTGGAAGGGTCCTGCTAAATTTCACCAGCTTTATGGCCTCCATCCAAGTGACCCCTTTAGCCCACGTAAAGGGAAAGTCCAAGTGCCTGGAGGGATGATGTGGGCATAGGGCTTTTCATTTCTTGGAGACCCCATACATTTGACTGATAAGGGTGATGTGGTTTGGCAATTTACCTTGTGAGAGTAACATGAGTCATCATCAATTGGAAAGTCCTACTGTCTCCATTGCCAAGGTTCCATGTTGGTTTCCTTTAACTCTGCTCCAGGCTGTGTAGCATCTATAGGCATGGCCAGGCATTCACCTTGCCCTGACACAATGTAGCTGTTGGGCACAGATGGAGGGCAGGACAGTTGAAGATGGCTTCCACTGCAAAGAAAGCGGTATCTTGGGCACCTCCATCTTGTCATATGACAGATGGATATGGCTTCTGTGGGAAAGAAAACAACAGGAGTTTCTATTAGAAGAATTCAAGATTGTATCAAAATAGATGCTGGTCTGGCTCCATATTAAGTTACTTTTTGTCCTGAAACACTCGAAGTTTTCTCAAGGTCTTGTTCTTTTTGCCTGCACAATAGAGATAAGATCTTTTATACACTGCAACGTTTGGCTGCATCAAATTCGATAATAAGCGAGAAAATACTTTGTAAAATTAAAGCTGTCTGCAAGCTGGGTGTGTAGATAGCTGTTTTCTTAAAATGTACATTTATCTTTCTTCTGCCCTATGATTCCTCATCTCTGCCTGCCACCCTCTGCCCCCACCATGTGCATAATGGAATTCTGTCAGAATTGTTAGACTAAGGTGATTTCCATCCAGAGAGCAGCTCAAAGTCAGCTCCCTATGGTAAACACTGTGGGTATGAAATGCTGTCAGTCCTATGGAGTGAATGTCTGAATCATGACAGCTCATACTTCTTAACTGCTTCAATCTCTGACTTTCTGGCTAAGAATTACCTCTCCACTGGCCACAGCCTATATGAAGGAAATTGCTCTTGTGTAGTTGTTCAGAATTAGGCAGCAGAAAAGCAAATATCACTACCCTGCTTAGGTAAGCCATAAAATGGGATTTAGCCCTTCAACCTATTGTAAAATTAGAAGACAAATAAAACAGAGATCACAGGATGCATTTCACAGAAGTAAAAGATAATGGAACATATGGTAAACTGAACAAATAGTGGATGGCAACAGTGTGATAGCTGAAGAGGAAATTGCAAGGACATAGGCATTTCAGCATTCTCTTAATTCAAGACCTTGGCTGTTCACTGGAAACTTAATTTCATTAGGTGTATGTGGTTCAAAGACAAATTTTCAAGATATATTTTATGATGAGCAAGGCAAGAGTGACCCTTGAAAGGACACAAGGTAATTCTTTCAGGCTATCCACTCAACAGTGCTTGAACTTGGTTTTTAAAAAATGTTTTATTTTGAACTAATTTTAGTCTTTCAGAAAAGTCCAAATAATATTGAATGTTTACAGATCCCCCTCACCCAGCTTCTTCTAATGTCAACATTTTAAATAAGTATAGCACAATAATTAAAACAGAAAATTAACATTAGTACAATACTGTTAACAAAGTAAAGACCTTATTCTAATTTCATCATTTTTTTCCACTAATGTTCCAGCATCCGAACCGGAACCTCACATTGCATTTGGTTTTTATTTCTCCTTATTCTTCTGAAATCTGTCATTCCTCAATTTTTCCTGTCTTTCATGATCTTGACATTTTTAAAGAATTTTGGTTAGTTATTTTGCTGAATATCCCCTACATTTGGATTTGTCTGATGTTTTCTCCAGATTGGCCTGAGGCTATTCACTTTTGCCGAGAATACTGAAGAAGAAGGTTGTGTTCTCAGCGCGTCGTATCACAGGTTCCAGAGATCAATGTGTCTAATTATTGGTGATGTTGACCTTCGTCACTTGGTGAAGGTGATTTCTGCCGGGGCTTTTTCATTGTAAGACTTCTGTCATTCCCTTTGCAGTTAGTAAATATCCTGGGATATTTACGATTTCCTGTTTCTTCTGAAACTTTGCCTATTAATTTTAACATTCACCAGCAGATCCTTCCTGCAATAACAATTACTGTAGTGTTTGCCTAATGCTGATTTTCTATTCCCCTCTTTCCTTCTACATTCATTAACTAGAATTCTACCAAAACGAAGAGGTCTCTCTTCTCCTCCATTTATTTATTTATTACATCAGTTTTTAAATTTTATATCAGTAGGGACTCATGGATATTTATGTTATGTTATGTGCTATAATCTAATTCTATCACAATCTATTTTGTTCCTCAAATTATTCCAGCTTTTGCATTAGGATCTTCTTCAGATAGGCTCTTGTGGTCTTTCTATAAGCGCATATATATATAATATATATAGGATCTCATATATATATACATACACACATATATATATGATTTTCTTTCTGGAACCACAGGATGCTTCAGGCTCACCTTGTATGTATTTTCCCTGCTGTAGACCTGGAACCAACCACTTCTCAAAGAGCTCTGGTTCCTTTTATTGGTGAAGGGCATTTAGAAATAAGATCTGAGCACTGAGAGTGTTTATCACTGCTGGGAGTCATTGCTTCCAGCCCTGTCGGCAGACAGAATGGGAGCAACATGAGCATGCAAACACATGCCTATGCACATATCTGTATTTCTGTATCTCTATCTATCAATCATCTATCAATCATCTATCAATCATCTATCTATCTATCTATCTATCTATCTATCTATCTATCTATCTATGTATCTGTCTCTGTGTATGTGAAAACCATGGGTTTATACTGAAAGTTGATTCCGGTCCAACACCAAGGGCTCCATTTAGCTTTCTCCAATTCCTTTTTTGTAGCTTTCCCTCTAACAGTGAGCAGCCTGATTCTCCTTATTTACAAAATATTCCTTGTTTTCCCGATTTTAGCATATCCATGAATTAGTCCAGGATTTTCTAACTCACATTCCTGTGAGAAACATGTTTGTTAATTAGCTTACAGTATTAATATGTGGTTCTTTTGGTCTTCATCCCCACAGTATGTAGACTGTTTTATGCCGTCACTTAGTTGAGTTCTTTCCTTTTGTCTTGCCTTCAGCATGGTTATGGTGTTCATTGTAAATACAGTTTTTTTGGGTTTTTTTTTTTGTTTGTTTTTTGAGACAGAATCTCGCTCTGTCACCAGGCTGGAGTGCAGTGGCATGATCTCGGCTCACTGCAACCTCTGCCTCCTGGGTTCCAGCAATTCTTTCACCTAAGCCTCCCAAATAGCTGGGACTACAGGCGCATGCCACCATGCCTGGCTAATTTTTGTATTTTTAGTAGAGATGGGGTTTCACCATATTGGGGAGGCTGGTCTCGAACTCCTGACCTTGTGATCCACCCACCTTGGCTTCCCAAAGTGCTGGGATTGCAGGCATGGTAATACAGTTTTTAAGAGAAAACAGGTACTCAAGTTCACAGCCCAGATGAGCAAACTCATGACTGCTTCTGTCTGACTGGCTTTTGCTTACAAAGCAGATCTGCCACCTCTGCCTTTCCATGCACAGTCAAGCTCTGTTCTCTAGTTTGGATTTTTTACTTTAACAACTGCCTCCAGTGCTTTCCTTGTTTGAAGAAGTGGGCATACCTTGGTTTGTAGACTTCTCCAGGATTAGGTCCCATACTTCTAGAGGAGAACACTGGAATCCCAGCTGGAGTTGGCTTTGGCCTGTGCAGGCATGAGGGGGCCTTCCTGCCTCTGTTGTGCATGGACTGGTCACCACCAGCCACCTGTGGATGAGCTGGGGCAGGTTGTGCCACATGTCACGCAAGGGGACAGCATTGAGGAGTCCTTTTGGGTTTGTTGGAGACCAAAAAGAGAAGGGACCCTGTTGATGTATTTCATTAGTGCCAAGTGGGCACCCTGCGATGAGTCTTACCTGCATGTAGATCAGATCTGCAGGAGCATCTCTGCAGATGCGTGATGTGGGCAGAATTCCTCTTCTGTCTTCAACCCCTTCTTGCTTCTTGCCCCCAGTTGACCTACCACAGTTGAGCTCTTGAAACTGACCCATTTTTCCTGTAGAGCTGATGTTTATGGTTTCTTTGAATAAACATAGAAATTGATCCTCTCAGTCTTAAAACTTGAGAAAGTTACATTTGTCTTATCTGAGTTCCTTTCTCAGGAAAGGAACTATCAGGACACCCAGATAGCATAAAGGAGTTGAAACTTGCCAGATCCCTGTGTTTGGACAATGAGAAGCCAGACCCCTCACCCATCATGACTGCCTAAGTGACCACCTGCTGCCTGTTATGTTTTCCAACACATGGTTACATTTCTTCCCTGCTATATAAACTCCTAATTTTAGTCGGTCAGGGAGGTGAATTTGAGACTGAGCTCCCATCTGCTCAGCTGCAGCACCCGATTGAAGCCTTCTTCCCTGGCAATACTCATCTCAGTGATTGGCTTTCTGTGCAGCAAGCAGCAGGACCTAGACCAAACCCCTGGTGTTTTGGTAACATTCTGAGGAGCCATGGGCATCCCCAAGTGTGCCTCCTGTCAGCCTCAAACAGGCAGGGAGGAGAGCAGAAAGGTGTCAAGGTGGCAGCACTGCCAGCCTTGCTGCCGTGTGAGCTCAGCCCCTCTTCTGTTTGGCCCACTCTGAGTTCTCACAGGACAGGATTTTGGGGTAGATCCAGTTTGGAAGCATCTCGCCCCTCTTCCAGCCTTTTCCCAATGGTGTGTCTGTATTATTCTGCTAGAGCTGCCATAACTAAGAACAGTTGTCCTTCAGTATCCTGGAGGATTAACTGCAGGACCCCCCCGGCAAATACCAGATCTGTGGAAGGCTCAGGTCCCTGATAAAAAATGGTGTAGTATTTGCATATAACCTGCACATACCCTTGTGGGTTTTTTTGGTGTTTTTTTTTTTTTTTTTTTTTTTTTTTGAGACAGAGTCTCACTTTGTCGCCCAGGCTGGAGTGCAGTGGCGCGATCTTGGCTCACGGCTCACTGCAAGCTCTGCCTCCCGGGTTCATGCCATTCTCCTGCCTCAGCCTCCTGAGTAGCTGGGATTACAGATGCCTGCCACCACGCCTGGCTAATTTTTTGTATTTTTAGTAGAGATGGGATTTCACTATGTTAGCCGGGATGGTCTCGATCTCCTGACCTCGTGATCTGCCCACCTTGGCCTCCTAAAGTGCTGGGATTACAGGCATGAGCCACCACACCTGGCCCCCTTTTTTTATACTGTAAGTCACCTCTGGATTACTTCAAATAGCTAATAGAATGTAATGTAAATGTTACATAATGATTTTTACACTATTGTTTAGGGAATAGTGACAAGAAAAAAGTCTGTACATACTCAGTGCATCTACAAGCATCCATTATTTTTCCAACTATTTTTTGACCTGTGGTTGGTTGAATCCACAGATGGAGAATCCACCCACTTGGAAGGCCTGCAAGATTGCAGTGCCCTCTGCCCCTGGAGTTAAGGGAGGTGGTAGGAAGTAAGAGGCAGGTTAGGCACAGCAATAAGGATAGAAGGAGAGGTGAGTCTTTTCTGGGTAACAACTTTCAATTTTCACTGTGTAGCTTGAAAACTCTCAGGGGTCATTCTACCTCTGGCAAATGTACAAATTCACAGACTCTCAAGGTGCTCATTACTGTAAAACCTTCTAAATCGCAACTTTGAAGCTAAAGGGCGTATGGAATTTTCCAGAGTGAAGATCTTTTGGAGCAGAGCATGTTCCAAAACATCTCTAGGAGTGCTTTAAAGGGAGAAAAAAGACAAATGTTCTTTTTCAGTCCTGACGAGCCATCTGTGGTCTGAAGTGATTTACATCTGACTTTTTTTCAAGTTTGTAAATTTTTGCACTGGCTTGACAGTCTCTTGTTCTTGTCACCCCTGGATTCCCTTAACATAGGCTGACTGGCATGCTGAAAGGAAAGTGCTCCTTCTTCATGCTGTTTCTGCTGATGGATTTTGGTAGCTCACAAGTGAATTCTTTAATGGAGCAGTTCAGGCAGCCTATCTCATGTGTTGTTATAATACAGCCCACATCTCAGCACGGGAAGCAGCGGAGTGGGGATTCATTCAAATGTACGGCTGGGAAGCCCAGGTTCCTTCTCTTTCAGTTGGGGAATATTAATGAGATGGGATTTTAGGGAACAGGTGAAGTCTGCTCCCATGTAAGCTGATTTATAATAACTATTTCTTATTTACTGATTATAAATACTGGATTAGGTACCTGTATGATTAAGAGAAAGAACCATATTTCTTATTGGTTTTTGATCTGGCACATTTAAAAATTGAAGAAAGGGTCAAAATTAAAAAAGAAAAGGAAGCTTGTGAGTTATCGATTGATGAATTATCAAAATGAAAGCTGAGACATCCTTAGATCCTGGAAAGTGCCCAAAGGTTTGAGCTCAGGTTGTGACCTGGAAGGCTGAAGACCCTGGAGCTGGCACAGTGCTGTGACCCTCTGCCATCCCCTCCCGTAAAGGTGGTGGCAGCAATGTCTGCCTCACAGGGAGGTTGTAAAATAGCATCAGTTTATTTTAAAGCATTTTGAAGACTCGTAGTTGGTGCTTAGTGGCATGCTTTGCACATGAGAACCCCTTCACTGCACCTCCTCATCCAAGCCCTCCTAGACCTGCAGTGCAGCTCCATGGCCTTAGCTGACCCATGGGCAGACAGGGCTCCACATGCCCTGGAAAAAGATGGGGCAAACCATGGCTATGGGAGGCTGCCACAGAGTTGCAGGTGATCAAGGAGAGACAGTTGATAGACTGGCAGTGAAGAAAACCTTGGCATTTTATAAGTAGAAGCTAAGTTAATTAAAAATCCAAGCACAGCAAACTGGGGCCACTTAATGTATGGGAACAAACACTTCTGTATTTCTTAATCACCCTGGGAGTATCAATGTGAGCATGTGCAGCACAGTGGTGCGAGATCGTAAAGCTTCATTGTGATGATGTGCAGGCATTAAGAGATGGTTAAATTAGGCTTAATATTATTTGTTAAGAGGGCAGTGAAAAATGCTGTTGGTATATCTATCAATACTGGCAAAATATTTAAGTGTAGATGCTTATACTCATTCTCTCCTGAGTTGAATTCATCTTCTCCCTCCCTACATCTACCAGATCTTGTTTTGTGCCAGGTGAACCTGCTTCTGGGCTTCCACACTAGTAACAATAGTTGCTTGAAAAACCACCCCAAAACTTAGTGGCTTAAAATGAACAGCTCATACTAAGCTCATGATTTGGGCAGGACTGGAGACTTTGGCCTGTGCTCAGCTGGGCAGTTCTTCTGGTCTCACCTGAGCTAAATCCTACGTCTGTGGTTAGCCTCCAGGCTTTCCTGCAGGGGCTTCAGCTGGAACCACACACCCCTCCAAGAGACTAACCTGGACCTCCTCACATGGCAATAGGCAGGGCTCCAAGAAAATGAGGGAATGTATCAAAGGCCTTCCAAGGCCTGAGCTCAGAACTAGCCACTTCTGCCACATTCTGTCAGCCACAGCAAGTTATGAGGCCAGCTCTGATGCAAGGGGAGCTCCTCTTGTTTGGGGAGCTGCAAAGTCACATTGGAAAGGACTTATATGTGGGGAGCCATGTGGACATAGGCCACTTTGTAACCTACCACAGCTCTGTGCTTGGCTCTGTCAGGGAACTGTCCAACTCTATGGTAATTTTTGGTGGGCTTTTTTTCCATCTCCTTTTAGACTGGAAGTTGCTAAAGACAAGGACATTTTGTTTGTTTCCTGTATCCTCAGAAAACATGCCAATGGAGTGAAGACTCCATGAAGAAATAAAATAAAAGGGTGAGCTTTAAGACATTAGTATGTTAAGGAAAGGATTGCCAGAGTGTGCAGGAAGGCTCCACTGACGGGGGGAAGCTGACCTAGTCACAAAGGGTGGGGAGCAGTGAGACAGACAGCTGTAAATGGGGCAAGCACTCAGGTAAGGAGGATGGGGTGACTTGTCTATAAAGGCAACACTGAAACTGGCCTACTTTCCCCATAGAACAGATGTTTATGGTATTTTTTAATAAACATAGAAATTGACCATCCCAGTCTCAAAGCTTGAAACTTACATTTGTCATATCCAAGTTCCTTTCTTAGGAAACGAACCATCATGTCTCTCAGATTGTATCAAGGAGCTGAAACTCACCAGACCCCACAGCAAGTGGACAATGACATGCCAGACCCTTCACCTATCATGATGAAAGGTAGAGGCTTTGTTCTTTTCTTCTCACTGGAGAGATTTAGTTTCAACTGAAAGGCATAAATCCAGTTCCTATGGCTTCTCTTCCTACAGACCACCTGCTTTCTTTAGGCCAACTCCTCTTCCTTACTTCTCCCTAATTTCTGTTTTCCTGCACATAGTTACATTCCTTCCCTGCTGTATAAACCCCCAATTTTAGTTGGTTAGGGAGATGGATTTGAGACTTCTTTCCTATTTCCTGACATCGTCCAAGTAAAGCCTTTCTTCCCTGGCAATATTTATTGTCTCAGTGATTGGTTTTCTATGTGGCAGGCAATGGGACCTAAACTGGACCCCTGGCATTTCAGTAGCAACAATATTTAGGGGACTGAGGCTGAACTAAGTGCAGGGAATTAGGAGGAGATGAGATTAATAAGGTTGGTTAGGACCAAATGGTGGAGAGTTCAGAAGTTGCAACAGATTTGGACTTTATAGTCAAACAAAAGATGCATTTGGTTTTATACAAGCCTATATGTGGAGGACCCTTTATTGTTATAGGTATGTTCATATACTTGTGTTAATTAAAACAACTTTAAGCTTAGGTCTCTCTCTCGCTCTCTCTCTATCTCTACCTCTGTCTGTCTATAATCTATCTATCTATCTATCTATCTATCTATCTATCTATCTATCTATGTATCTATTATCTATCTACCTACCTACCTACCTACCTATGTATCTATGGTAGTGGTTAAGTCTGTAAATTTAAAAAGTTGTGAAGTTTGGGATCAGTTTGTCAGAATTTAAATGATATCCTTCAACTCTTGCCATCTGTGTGACCTTAGGCCAGTGACTTCATCTCTCAAGTCCTAGTTCCTTAATCTGTAAAGTGGAGTGTTGATGACAATACCTGGCTCATGGGTTACTGTGAGATAGAATGCCCTATGTACTACGTGGCAAGGTTCTTGGCCCTGGGAAGCACAAATGTGTGCTGGTGTCTTCATCATTAGTAATGATATTAATGCTGCATGGAGAGGTTGCTACCTGCCCTGTGTCCAAGCCCGGACAGCTGGCATTTCTGAGCAGAGGAGGAGCACAGAGAAGTGGTGCTTTGGGAAGGTTGATCCCATAGATCTCATTGAAGACATGAACCTTGCCTTCAAGGCTTCAAAGGCTGGTTTGGATATAAATCATTCACACAGGAAAACATAGCAACACAAGATGGTAAGTAAGTTCCAGGTGAATGACACGGAGAGGGAAGCCCCTATAAAGATTGTGGGTGATGAGATAATATAGGTGAGAGAGGAGGCATGGAAGAAGTGAGTTCTGGGATTGGTTTGATTCTGGCCTTGACTGTGGCTTTAGGCAAACAGAATATTATTTGTTTACATTTAAGATGAATTTCTAGGGGAAGCCCATGCAAAATAGAGTGTAAATATCATATAATGCTGCCTTTTCCTACATAATGTAACACTATGCTTTTTGGGAAAAAAATGATTTGTTTCTGTATCTAATTCCCCTAGCTAGGCCAGGGATAGCCAGCCCTCTTGAAGACATTAAAAGCCAGTAAAACCTAGTTAAAAGGTGTGCATCACACTGATTCTTGAAGGTAATATTTGAGTGAGCCGACTGAACTGACTGAATAGCAGTCAGACATTCTATTAAGGTGTTGGGGTGGAGAGAAGGTGAGGGTGCATTTTATTTCTTGCACCTAAGAAGATATGGTCAAACATCTCTGGAAAGGTATGTGTGGGTTTTCATGAAAAAATGTGGTATTTAGTAGAATGCTATAGTTACAATATTATTTTCTTGGTGAAAGAATAAAAACAATACAAGTAAAAAGTATGTAAATATGTCCCAGAAGAATGGGGTGGAGCTGTGGATGCCCGGTGGATCTTGACCACATATTTCATTGGCCTTGACTTGGCTTAGGAACTTCTTTACATGGCCCAAGGTGCTCTATGAAGCTAATTGTTCATCAGTTATTACACAACTATGAGTTGCCTCTGTGTGTAAATATACACATATCTGTTACCTAACCAGAATTTTGGTGGAGTGCATTTCAGATTTTCACTTTGACCTCTCCTACTCCTGAAGAGAAATGTCTCTTTTCTGCTCAATTATAATTTTAATCCAGATTCTTCCTCCCCTTCCTCTTCTTTTTCTGTCTTCCCCCTTCTTTAAATTTCTCCCCTTCTTCCTCCTCCCTCATCTTCCTTTTCTTTGTCTTGGGTTCTCATATGGAATCGTAATATCTCACTCAGATGAGTAATTTCTTATATCAGGGACTACGTCCTCATTCCAAAGGACTCTCCTACCCATCATCACGTGTCTCCCTTCCCTCTTGCAGTCTGTTCTTTAGCATGTCAATCTCACTACATGTTATGGGTTGAGTTGTGTCCCACCAATATTCATATGTTGAAGTCCTAGTCCCTTATATCTCAGGATGGAAGTTTATTTGGAAACAGAGTCATTGCAGATGTAATCAGTTAAGATGAGGACAAACTGGATAGGGTGGGCCCTAATCCAATATCACCAGCATCCTTATAGAAACAGGAAATTTGGACACAGACCACACACAGGGAGGAAGGCAGAGATTGAAGTGATGCATCTACAAGCCCAGAAATGCCAAAGATTGCCAGCAAACCACCAAGAGCTAGTAAAGAGATAATGGAACAGTGTCTTCCTCACAGCCCTCAGAAGGAACCAACCCGGCTGACACCTTGATCTCAGACATCTTGCCTTCGGAACTGAGCTAATAAATCTTTCTTGTTTAAGTCATTCACTCTGTGGTACTTTGTTATGGAAGCGCTAGCAAACTAGTACACACTTTTACAAGTGTTCTTAACGTATGTATACATTTAATCCCCTCTTTTATTTCAGAAGTGACTTGAGATGTTGGTATCAAAGAGATAGTAAATCTTAAAAAGAATTAACATTGGATTTATAGAGTGCAGTTGAAGAAAGACAAAGCAGGAATTCTGACAATAAACTCATATTTCCTCTCAGCATTTATTATGAATCAAATTAATTTGGAAGTAGAAAAAGGTGTATTGATATTTAAACCTGTGAAAAGACTCGTACCTTCACAGAGTTGTTGGCCAAAGTTCTGAGCTTAAGGTTAAACTGCAAGCTCCATGAGAGCAGTGACTCTGTTTTGTTTAACATAGTATTCTCAATACATAGTGCAATATCTGGCATATAGTAGGTACATAATACATTTTTATTGATTGCTTGTCTAGGGAAATAAATTTAATCATGTGGCAAAACAGAAATCGTGGGCAAAACAGAAGGCAGATGCCGTTGCTCAAGTGAGAAAAATATTAAACTGACTTCGTTAGGTCTGAAGAGATGTATTATCAGTTTCTACCTGTCCAATTGGGGGATCATTTACTAAACATTCCTCAGATGTGTAGCTCAATGTAGACTCCACAGAGAGTGCAAAGAAATAATGTTTCATACTCTTTGGCTTCAAGGGGTTTATGATCCAGTTGGGGAAATTAGACATTGAATGGAGATAAGCAGCAATAATACAATAAAATGCTCAGACCTATCTCACTGATGATAATGCTGTGGGAGGTCCCAGGAAGAGGCATGGGTGTGGCCATAGAGATTCACACAGAATGTAGAATGAAGTCTCTCTGAGGCAGTGTCTTTCAGCTGTGCATCCCCAGGGTACCAAAGAGCTTGGTCTTCAAAAAGAGTTTGTTGAATAAACAAATGGGAAAATGTGAGGTTGGCCTAGAGAGTTAGGTTTAGGGTGGGGGTGGAGAAGTATTCCATGTGGTCAGGATTGGCTTCATGGGCATGTCACCCCTAGAGTTGCATGGGGCCCTATTCTCAGAAGGGCCTGACACTTGACTGATGTGCTGCTGCTATATGTTGAAATTCTTAATGACTTTTGGACAAGGGGACTCACATTTTTATTTTGCACTGGGCCCTACCAATTGTGTAGCTGGCCCTGCATATGCTTAAATAGCACTAAAGTGTTTGCTTCACGGATGCAATCTGCTGCAGTGGCACAATGTTTTTAATATAATTTTGAATTCTGCCTGGAAAGGACCTAAGCCAACCTGGTCATTGACAATTCTTAATCCCTTCTTTCTGGACTGTATAGTCGTCACGAAGAAGTTTGGGCTGGGTAAGGAGAGTTAGTTTCTCCCTTAAAGCTTCATACTCGCTTTACTACCAAGCGTTAACAAGAGCAAACCTCAGAAAAAATCAGTCTCTCATACCTGCATTAACTGAACAACCACATGGCCTGTCTTACAGGCTCAATGAAGCCTGTGGATTCCGTCTTTTTGGAGCTCAGGCCACCACTTGCAGGAAGGATTTGTCCACAACTCTAGGTTAGCACAACAACATTACAGAGCAGGATTCTCCAGCCTTATAGCTGGCATCAGGGAACTGATGGCTGAACAAGGGTTCCTTAGGGACAAAGTGGATGTAACAGATACAAGTCTCTCTGGATATACTCCATGGATGCAAAGACAGGCAGCGCCTAGTTTATTTCAGTCAATCCACATATCTTGAGTACATTTATCTTTCCCAATGACAGCCTATTTCTAACTTCCATCATGCTATGACAGGTCACTGTCTTCTCCGATGAAAACCTCTCCCTGATACTCAGTAGGATCATTAGAAAAGATTCAAGTGGGCCGGGCATGGTGGCTCATGCCTGTAATCCTAGCACTTCGGGAGGCTGAGGTGGGTGGGTCACGAGGTCAGGAGTTTGAGACCAGCCTGGCCAACATGGTGAAACCCTGTCTCTACTAAAAATACAAAAATTAGCTGGGCATGGTGGCATGCGCCTGTAGTCCCAGCTACTTGGGAGGCTGAGGCAGGAGAATTGCTTGAACCTGGGTGGTGGGGGTTGCAGTGAGCTGAGATTGTGTCACTGCACTCCAGCCTGGGCAGCATAGTGAGACTCTGTCTCAAAAAAAAAAAAAAAAAGTTTCAAGTGTTGGCTGTGATGTGAATAACAGGAGTTCTTATAGCAGCCACTGTGCTGCCAATCAGGAAACTGGTGGGTTGTCCTGGATCTACACATTTTTATCTTCAGCAACTTGTTAGCTTGAGTGAACACACCTAATATTACACTAACTGTATTGAAGTAGTTAAAAGTAAATGGCAAACACTGTGACAAATGCTTTAGGTAGGTCACATCAGTTAAACAGAGTCCCTGTCACTCCCTAATGTCTTGAACCCATGGCTTCTGCCACGTATGCCCCTGTTCGTCTTCTGCAGTTTTTTGAATCTATGAAGTATGAAGGTTGAGGGTATGGGCGTTGGAAGCTAGGTGATGGAATTTACAGTTGACTCCGCAAGACATTGGTCAGCCATGATAAAAATGGCATGTAGGGGAGCACATGAAAGTTCTTTAAACAGGCACTCTTGAGACGGCTTCGGGTCCCAATTCTGCCATTCCCTGGAGGTATGGATTGGTTGCTACTTCATCTCTCTGGGGCTCAGCAGCCTCCTCTATAAAAAGCATAAACTGGATGAGTGCTTTTTAAAGATTTTTGTAATTCCCAACTGCATAATTTTGTATTCTACCTGGTGGTCATAGGCAGGATGAACTATTTGTGGAAGGAATATAAGTAGAAATTGAAGTTGGGAAAGAATAAGTACATTTTAAAATTTGCAGACATATCTGTAAACATTCCATACATAGTATGGAACGACTTAAATTTATCAGTTTATTAAATCCTACCTACACCTTTATGCTATAGGCACTATGGGACAAAGTTGCTATGTGGTGAAATTTTTCCTATTTATGCACTGATGTATTCACTGTACTCTGGTTAGTGTAGGATTAAAGGTGAAATTTCTTCTACTGGCATCTTTCTAATAATGATTTCATACTTTGTATGCAGAGCACTAGGTGGCAATGTTGCATCTTTTTAAAATCAGTTTTCCTTTTAGAAGAGAGAAATGATGGGTGAGATACTACTTAAAATAATTATTACGTTTTAAATTGTAGCTTATTTTGGAATCATATTTCCTAGGATTTGTTCATTGTTGGAAATGTGACAGGAAATCTTAATCCCTAAGTTCAGAGAAATTGGATTATTTTTGTTGTTAGAGGTAAATATCCCAATAGCTACGTAAAATAAAATCTCTCTTATGGTAATAAGGGAATTTGAATTTCTCCTTTAAAGGGAATTTAGAATCTACCCTGAAAATATTTAGAGAATGGACAGATTTTTTTATTCTCCACAGAAGAGAGTGCAGAAGCCAGCATTAATCTTTTTAAAGTATATCTGTTTTCAGAGAAAAAAAAAAAAGTCTATTCTAAAAAGCAAAGGTCATTTTGGGTCATTATAATCATATACTTTTGGGAGAAAAGAGAAGTTAATCTCACAGAGAGATAACTCTTTGCAAAAAGGCAAATTGCCCAATGCATGGTTTTCTCAAGTGAAGGTGAACTCTTGAAAGAAAGGGAAGTAAGTACACAAGACCAAGGATTTAGAGAGTGTGTGTTATCTCCTGGATGACAGTGAAAGTATAGATTCATCTCTTTCACAGCTACTGGCTCTAGAAACTATCAATTTAGAGGAAAGATTGTTTGTATGTTCAATTATCTGAGATTGGTTTTCTCCAAATACTGTTATATTGACAATGGACAAGTGGTGGCAGGAGGAAGAATGAATAATATGGTGCTAGTCTTATTTACTCTGCCTGTCATTAATGTCACAAATCCTCACTTACTGATAAAACACACACCCAGCCAGTGTCTCAGAGAGCCGCAGAAGGTGGTTTAATATCACAGTTGGGCCAGCAACTCTGGAGCTGAACTGTTTGGCTTATCCTAGCTCCGTAGCTAGGGAGTCAATGTTTCAGGGTCTTGACTTTCTCATCTGTAAAATTTAAAAATTGTGCCTTCTGTCTCTTGGAATTGTGAAGACTCAATAAGTGACAGCTTTAAAAAAAAATCAAGCACAGTGCTTGAAACATAGTAGCTTTTCCCATAGTCTTCCCTTTGTACTGAAGGTTGACCAAAACAACCCTACCATCATCCAACCTGAATTACTGGCCAAAGTAAGATTTATAACTATTTATTTTAATTTAATGTATGTATATATTTTCTACTCATAGCCATTTTCATAGCAAATTCATAAGTTGTTCCACATTCAAAATAAGTCACTGCCCTTTTAAAAAAAAACCCATGAACTGTTCCCCGACAAATAAAAAGCAAAAACAAATAAAAACCCTCATCTATAAAACAATGGCCTCAACAAGTGACTTGATCTTGTGATCAACAGTTTTAAAACTGCCCTCACTTAGAGGTTTAGAAATTCTTAAGACAAATAAATATGGATATGGAAGTTTGGTTTTGATTTGATTTCCTAACCTTATTTAATTTTTAGATTTTTAAAGTTTTTGGATAATTTTCGTTTGTCTAATTCAACAGGCAAAAATAGAAGTGACGCTAGCATGCCCTATGATAAACATTCTTCTATAAGTTGTTGAAATGATTAAACTTTATTGTCATATATATTAGAATACATGTTATATAATACATATATCATGTTACAGATATTATACATATAATATATATAGTCCACTAAATTGATGTTTCTTGGAACTAGTATCTGTGGAAGAGATAAATCTGTGTTCTTCACTGCTAAACAGGAGAAAACATCCACTCTCTCTAAATCATTGGTCTCATCCCTTCTCTTCCTTTCAACGATTCACCTTCACTTGAGAAAACAACGCCCTAGGTAATTTTCCTTGTATGCAAAAATGTCTCTTAGATAGAATAACGTCTTTCTTCTCCCCAAAGTATACGCTTTGAAATAATGAAACCTTGAGTTGAGAAGGTTCTTTCTTGTGAGTGTGACAAGAAGCAGCACAATCTTCCCAAGCAGGCGAATGGGAAGATGAGATCCCTTGTTATGGAAGGATCTCTGGGGACGGTAACCAAGGTGAATGATGATGATGATGATGAAAGCTGAAAGCCAACTGCTCTCCTAGAAGTCCTTCCAAGTAAAGGCCTTATTGACCACCCAGCACGTGCTAGCCATGGGATCCCATCAGTGTTCCTGGGTCGGAGCAGTGGTTCTCAGCTTTGTCCCCTGCCCCACTCGGGACATCTGACAACACCTGGAAACATTTTTTGATTGTCACACCTGGGAGAAGGGCTACCACTGACATCCAGTGGGGAGAGTCCAGGTATGCCACTAAACATCCTACAACACACGAAAGCCCCTGCCACAAATAACTATTCAGTCCAAAATGTCAACAGGGCTGTGGCTGAGAAAATCTGGCTTAGAAAGAGCTTCCTTGTTATGGGATCCAGAGCCCTCTTGTATAGGTTAAAATTGTTAGGTGAGAATAGGATGTCTGGGCCGCAGGTTAGCACTGAGAAAGCCCTGCAGTAGAAAGATACAGAGTTTTTACCCTTTGCTTTTTTGTATCATTATGTCCAGAGAAAAGAAAGCTATGCGTGGGCTATTGTAGAGGACTTCAATGATCTTTCTAAGGAAATTACACAAACTAAAGATTGTATACTACTATTACCTAATTACTTGAACACAATATGGGTTGTCATTCTGGATGAGCCTGTTAGAAATAATCAGTGTTTTACTGGCATGTAAAACAAGACGGAAGTGAATTTGAGGACTAATATTCAATTGAGGCTATGCTACACAGCAGGTACTAGGGATACGCTGGTGGGCAAAAAGTTGCACTCTTCATGGAGCCGACAGACCTAGGGCAAAGACAATTGCAAATCAAATGATAACTTAAATCAATGTAAAATTAGTGTGTGGGGAATGGGTTGGGGGAGATAATTGTATTGTTCTTATTATATAAGTGATATCAATGTCCCTCCCCAACAGGGTTTGTTCAGATGGACACAAGGCCTTCTTCATAATATCCTGGGGTACAAGGTGGGCTGCTTAACCATGTTGATGTATGGAACCAGGGTGAGAATTCTAAAGGAGGGTCCTGAAGGTACAGCAAGGACTCAGTTGAGGCAAGTGGTTCAAAACCAAAAATATGGCCATAGGTCAAGATAGCAGGCATAAGCCAAGATGGACACTAAGGTTCTGAGAAGTTCAGTGATGGAGAAACACACAGAGGGGAAGGAAGGAGAGCCTGGAAGGATCCGCAGACCATGGCTGGCTCACTGCCTGTGACTCTTCCTGTGGAAAAAGCAGAGCTGGCACCCTTCCCCCAGAAAGCCTCTCCCTTAAGAAGGGTCAGGGGGAAGAATCTCCTAGGGTTTGATGATCAAGTGCTCTTAATGAAGTCCTGAAACTTTTTCCTGTGGGGTATGAATCTCTGAAACCACTGTACCAGTTTGCACCTTCTGCGATGTACCAGTGCTGGGCCTGGCCTTGCTATCATCAGGATCCCAGTACTTTTTTTAAAAAAAAAGATTCTCTAATTCCCTGCTAGGTTGCTGGAGTGCATGGTGGAATATGGGGCCTTAGGAGGTTAGATGAAGTGGGTAGTTGAAAAAAACAAGTTGCATGTCCATGGAAAGGAGAATGGAGTAGAGGCCAGAGAGCTGATGACCTCTGTCACCCCAGAGGTGTTGTTAAAAGTTTATACCAGAAGACATGGAATTACCCACTACTTTAAGTCAGCCTCTCCCTCATTCCAATATTCACGGCCTTCTTTTTCTACACCACTGTGCCTCTTTGCTGTTCCAGGCCCTACACTGTTTGTTGTTTGTTTTGTTTTAATGAGGGGTACTTTTTGTCCTTGCCTATCATGAAGGGGCTATCCTCATGAACAGGGACACCGTGTTGCACACTTACAGGAGACATCATGCCCAACACAGTGTGTGAGAATGATGCCCCTGGGCTTACTCAGTGGACAACCCTTGCAGGAAGCTTATGCGTGTGCTGCTGGATAATCCACAGGGGAAGTGCGGGCAGCTGTTGTTACCAAGCCTTCCTCCTGCAGGGATGAGAAGAACGCAGGAGTCTGCCTTGGATTGATGAGCTCCCCCAAATAGGGGGCGGCCAGCATGCCTCAGCTTGATTTCCTTTTCCTCCCTGGAACTGGAGGTCATGTCCTCTCTCAGCTCTGGTTCCTTCCCGTCTCCCTCCTTCCCCCAGGATCTGTCTGCTTGTTTCAGCCCCTGACATCTGCCCACATTGCTCCCACAACCTTCTCTCTCACCACCTACCCTATAAAACCCTTCTCTTGTTTTCCTGGGAAAGGGAAGCTCTTGCCTCTCTCTCCACTCCGTTTACATTATTTTTTATGGCTCACAGTGTCTCCTCTCATTTTTTTAAATCATTTTTTATCATTTGGATTATCCCACCCTTTACCCTGTGATCAAGATCCATATTTGGAAGTTTAAAATCAGGATATTAACTGTTTCTTGTCCTTTGCATTCCTGCTGTAATGCAATGCCCCTGACTAATGAAGCAAGTAGAAACTATTGGAAAGAAAAAAATACAGAAATGAATGTACCAAGAGTTGACCTTTTTGAATTCATGGGTAAATGGCCTGGTCTTCCTACTCTTATGTGAGTTCCAGGATGTGGGAGCCATGTGTCTTGTTCTGTGTTTACAGAGCTTCTGGCATAGTGTCTGACACAAAGCAGACACTGAACAAATATTTGTGGGCTGAATAAATAAATGAACATTATCATTTCTGTGGACATTGTTTTATATCAGTTTAGGGTTGTTTTCAGTTGCACATAAATGAATCATTATTACAGATGTTTAACCAAATGGGCAGCTGTTTTTTCCCTCATACATCTAGAGGCAGGGACCCGAGGATGGAGTAGCTATATGCAGTTGCCACCAAGAAAACAGTTTTTTTTGTTTTTTGTTTCTTTTTTGAGACGGAGTCTCGCTTTGTCGCCCAGGCGACGGAGTGCAGTGGCCTGATGTCGGCTCACTGCAAGCTCCGCCTCCCGGGTTCACGCCATTCTCCTGCCTCAGCCTCCCAAGTAGCTGGGACTACAGGCGCCCGCCACTAGGCCCGGCTAATTTTTCTGAGTTTTTAGTAGAGACGGTGTTTCACCATGTTACCCAGGATAGTCTGGATCTCCTGACCTCGTGATCCACCCGCCTCGGCCTTCCAAAGTGCTGGGATTACAGGCGTGAGCCACTGCGCCCGGCCTGGAAACAGTTTTATTTTTCTGCTCTGTTCTTTGCATAAGGCTTGTGAACGCAGAGTTCGAAAAGCCTTATGCAAAGGTGGCTTTATGCAAAAGCCTTATCCAAAGGTGGTACCACCTCCAAGCACACGATGAATCTTTATGATGAACCAGATGAACTGGTGTCTTTTCACTGGGAAAATTATCGCCTTCCCAGAAGCTTCACTGATATCTCATTAAGCAAGCTGTATTGCCCCTTGCAGCAAGAGACCTGGAAGTTACATTTATTTTCATCTAAGCATATCATCACCTGTATTCTCTTGGTGTCTACTACAGTTGTAAGGGTTTCTTACTGATCATGTTGTGTTTACATTTTGTATTTTATATTTTCGATTAGTATAAAAATATTAACTAACAAAAAAATTTTATAAATATAATTCCTAGCATTATATTTTTGAGAAGCTTTTCTTATAAGACCTAAAGCTCCTTAAAGGAGGAGACCTAGAAATATTTTTGACAATGTCTTTTAAAAAAACAAAACCTTGTTGTAATCATGCTCATGAGTGTAATCCAAACTGATTGCATCTGATCAGTAATTTAAAATTTAGATTAAGCAAAAGTGAAAATGAAAGATAAATTATCTCTTTAAGGAAACATCCAGTTAGTATACTCCTACTCATCTGCACTAAAGGCATATTTTTTCATATATTCAAAACATGGATTTATTCATCGGTTAACTCTGAACAATCGCTGCACACCTCCTAGGTTAGGAATAGGGTTACAGGTGCTTTGCAGGCTCACGAATGTATCTGCTGAACAACACGTATGAAATGCCACCACCTGCTGGAGCTAGGACGCCCCATACAGTCGACAGGATGGAGCCCTCACGGAGGTTGCATTCTAGTGGCAGAAGGCAACAATATAAACAAATATACAGACCAAAAAATAATACCACTTATGCAGAATTCAGTGCTTGAAGAAAATAAAATAAGGCAGTGGAGTAGAAGGTAATGGGTAGAACAGGGAGCCCCTTCAGACTGGAGGTCGGGGAAGCCTCCCTGAGATCCGATAAAGAGGAAGGAGCCATCCATGGCAGAGTGGGGACAAGGGCTCCAGGCAGAGGGCACAGACAGTCCAAAGCCCTGAAGCAGGAATAACTTAGGGTTCTGAACAAGGGAAATGGCTGCTGTGGCTGAGTGTGGTGGTGGGGAAGACAGTAGGACCAGAGCACGTAGGCCCCCAGGACACCTGAAGGAGGTGAGAGTTTATCGCAAGTGAAATTAGAGACCACTGGAGCATGGTGCCTGATTTATGATTGAAAGCCCCTTTCTGATTAGCTGTAGGGGTCAGGGCTGGGGACAGCGAGATGGGCTGGCAGGCATTGCTGTGGAGTAGGAGGTAGGGGAAGGTGGCTTGGATTAAGGTGATAGCTGTGGAGTTTTGATAAGAGATATGGTTTAGGATCTACCTAGGAGGTGGAGCTGATAAAATTTGCTGTGACCCTCTGTGGGGTGGAGCGGGGAAGAGAATCAAGGATCACTCTTAAGTTGTGTGTATATATATATATAATATATGTATAAAATATATTTTATATGTAGAAGAGGCACAACACTATTAGCTCAGGCTGCAATCATAAAATCCCACCGACTGCGAGGTGTAAACAACAGAAACTCCTTCTCACAGTTCTGGAGGCTGGAAGTCTGAGCTTAAGGAGTCAGCAGGTTTAGTGGTTCCTGTGGCGTCTCCTTGGCTTGCAGATGGCGGCCACCACCTTCTTGCTGTGTCCTCACGTGGTCTTTCCTCTGTAAGTGCATCCCTGGTGTCTCTCTGTGTGCCCAAATTTCCTCCTCTTATAAGGACATCAGCCAGATTAGATTAGGGCCTACTCTAACTGCCTCATTTTAACTAAATCACCTTTCAAAAATCCTATTTCCAAATACAGTCCACCTCTGAGGTGCTAGGAGTCAGGGCTTCAATATAAGAATTTTGAGGGGACACAATTTGGCCCACAACAGTCCCCAAGGGGCAGATGCACAGATAAGCCCAGCAAAGGAGCTGGATAGGAGAACACAGAGAATTGCTGGAAAAGTCAGAAATGCCATGAAGATGAAGACTGCATTAAAAACCAGATCTGAGAGTCTAAGATATTTCTGTTGGTCAGAATAGTACTACCAGGGTTCACAATGCCAGGAAGGAAATGAAAAGGAAGATGAGAGTGGAAGTGAGGGTGGGAAGGGAGGGGAAAAGGGAGGGGAAGAGAAACCTTTTAAAATGACCCTGATTATTGTGCTGACTGAAAAACATTATCATGTGCAATTATATTTACTCGGTTGATTCTGAACTTTTGCTTTAAAATAAAAAGAATTTCATGATTGTAGGTGAACTTTGATACTGATAAGATTGGTGATTTCTTTGGGGAGCGAGATGGACAGAAATAATTCATGTTCTGAGGCTGTGGGGGTAGTTGGTAAAAAAGAGTGACCCAGCTCCAGATTACATTTGGCAGCTGCCTCCTTAGTGCTGTGAAATCATGGCGATGCAAGGAAAGACGTTCTCACAGTGAAAATACTTGTTTTTTTCCTAATTATACAAATAATATGTGGTCATTCATATATCACTTGTGCACTATTAAATATTCAAACAGTGTTCAAAATGTATTTGGAAGAAAGTGAAATCGCCTGATATTCCACCGCTGAGATAACCGTCATTAACAATTTTTAGTTATTATTTCTCTGTGCTTTGTTTTATGCATATACATGCACATCTATAATTCACACCATACAAGCAATTTTATTTGTAGTGGTATAAATGTGTGAATGTGAGTGTGCATGTACGTGTGTGCATACATGTGCATGTGTGTGCACTATGCAAGAGTGTGTGCATGCGTGTGTGTGTGTGTGCATGCATTTCTTCCCTCTCCTCCACCATTCCCTGGGAACCCATGTTAGCTGTCTGGTTTGCATCCTTCTCTCTTTTCTCTAAGGACTTACGTCTATTTACCAATACACGCTGATGTGTGCATTCAAGTGCAGGTGCAATTTTAAAATTAACATCTGTTTTTGTAAAAATGTGATCTCAAATGACTGTATCTGTATATGCAAACACATATTTTCCTCATCTTACTTTCTTATTCCCCTCTATTCTTATGAGTGTTCTGCCTTGTGAGTGCTAATAGTGCATCTGCTCTATTCACAGAACTCAATTTCTGTGTCTATCGAGGTGCTGCCATATTTCATGAACATCCCTTCTGTTCTCATGGCATCCTTATATCAGCATGGCCTCAGCTCTCCTGGCTTCTCTTTCTTCCCACCTCTTTGCGTGTGAGCTAATGGGGCACTTGTTGGTGGACAGATGATGTGATTAGATGCTCCATTAGCATACACCTCAGTACACTTTTCTCAGAGCACGCTCCCTCTATGCATGTTAATTTCTTGTAAATGTCAGTGAGTCAGAGGGTGTTGATAAACATCACTACTATTAGTTATTTAGCTATCTGGATCACAGTTTCAATTGCTCCTGACCTTGGCTTGGAAATCCACAAAGCACTTCTCTGACATTTTTGTCTTTGTTGCGGCTTTCATAAAGGTAGAGGCTTTGTTCTTTTCTCCTCACTGGAGAGACTTAGGTTCAACTCAAAGCCATATATATATCCAGTTTCTGTGGCTTCTCTTCCTACAGAGCCCACACAGGAAACTTCCCCACCACCTCCTGGCCTTTTCCACACCATTTTACTAGCCTTGATGCAGAGGATGTGCTTTACTTACCTGAACCTACCTGATAAGCAAAGTTATTTCTATTGAAGTCATATTCCAATCCTTAAGTGAAACATTATTCTATTTGATTTTGCCTGGGTGGCAGAAAGGAAAATTGGCCTATTTTCCTGATTAGTATACTTTCCACTGTAGAAACTGTTCTTAGTCTAGATCTTGACCCCAGGGAAGCAAAATGATTGATCTCTGGTTTTAATGTTATGAAACTTTAACCCCAAAAGGCAAACCAGATATTATTAGTTCTACATTCCTAATAACACACACTAAATGAGTTAGTGAGTTGCAACTGTGAATATCAATCAAATGAGATTTAATGGAAATATGTGATGCTATTATTCAAGTGTAATGCAAACTTGCTAAGATTTTATTTAAAATATTTCATGAAAAGTGAAATAAATAAAACTGTACAAAGGAAGAAGTTACAGATTGATCAAGAAGTAGATTAACTTGTGATGAGCATCTGATAGTGGTTCTTTCTCTGGCTGTCATCTGGTAGGAACTGACTTATGCCTGTTTCTGTATTCTGCAGAGGTCAATTCTCTGTAAAGATCAGTTTGGTTATAGACTTGGTCTTACCCAGTTCTGACCCTACACCCTAGGCTGGGTTGAGGCAGACTGGAGTAGCTAGTGCACCAAGCTCCTTTCTTCTTGTGCAGGGACTGTGAGGCCACAGGCCAGAGGGGCAGGTATGGGATTGGAAAGGAGCCTGTGGTGGCTGCCTATGTCCAGCTACATATGCAGAGTGGTGAGCAGGTCTGTGTGCTGCTTCTGCTGGGAGGACTCTGTTACCAGAATCTGAGCTGTCCAGGGGACTGGCAGATAGATTGATGGTCCCCATGTGATATGGTTAGGCTTTGTTTCCCCACCGAAGTCACATCTTGAATTGTAATCCCCAGGTGTTGCGGGAGAGACCTGTTGAGAAGTGATTGGATTATGGGAGCGTTTTCCCCCATGCTGTTCTTGTGATAGTGAGTGAATTCTCACGAGATCTGATGGTCTTATAAATGATAAATGGTAGTTTTTTTCTGCGCTCTCACATGCTCTCTCTCACCTGCTGCCACGTAAGATGTGCTTGCTTCCCATTCTGCCATGATTGTAAGTTTCCTGAGGCTTCCCTCCCCAGCCATGCAGAACTATGAGTCAATTAAACCTCTTTCCTTTACAAATTACCTAGTCTCGGGTAGTGTGTTTTATAGCAATATGAGACTGGACTAATACATCATGCTTGGCCCTCTTGTCACTATATCCAGGAATGTGCAGGGAAAAAAATCTTTTGTTGCTCAAAAGTGAGGCTTCTGCTGCTAGAACATTTCCACAATCACAAAACTTCAGCAACTAAATATTGGCCTGCTGTGTGTGACTGTGTGTGTGTGTTCACTTGTGCAAATGGTTCTGACTTTCTTTTAGCAATTTAAAAGCAAGTTAAATCCCTGCTGACAGAACTTGGTTTTCCTGCTGTGTGGGTGCCTGGGATATTTAATTGAATCTAACAAACATTTCACTTTGTGGAAGGGACAGATGAGTTTTCTTTAGGGAATAGATAATACTGGGGGGTTCAGGATTGAGAGATGGTCTGTGAGAGTAAAAAGATCTCCACGCTGGGAACTGTGAGACTCTCACCCTAACTCTCTTCTTATCTCTCCCTGTATGACTAAGCAGGTCATTTAAACTCTCTGAAATTTTCTACATCAAAATTTTATCACTGGTGAAAGGACTAGGTTGACCAGCTTACACAGAAAGCTCCTCTCAGATCAAAAACTGTCTTTCAAAGATAAAGTGATAAGAGAGTCATTACCTTCATCGTCAGACACACATATATATAATGCATTAACTATGAAAGCATTTGAAAAATCTTGCCATAAGCAAACAAATACCATAACTCCCAGCATTTAATTTATAACTAGGATATAAATTAGATGCTCTAAAAATTCCCTTTAGTAATTATTGCAGTATACAAATCATTGCCCTGATCATTTATTGATTCGTAACATATTTTGGGTTCACACTCTGTGGGAGGCAGCTTCAAGGTGCTAGAGACAAAAAGGGAATGAGACACACAGTCCTCACCCTCAAAGAACTCATGGGAGGTAGGTCTTCGAGAAAGGACGAGAAATAAAAGGCAAAGAAACTAATTATAGTATAATGAGGGCTACAGCATGCCATATCCCTTAAATTAAAACTTGCTACATGGAAAATGCTAACTTCATTGCATATTTCTATTCACATCATAAAAATGTAGGATGAAAGTGATTGTAAAATGTTAATACAGACATACCATGCTGATATTGCAGGCTTGGCTCCAGGGCACTGCAATAAGTGAATATTGCAATAGTGTGAGTCACAAATTTTTTGGTTTCCCACCGCATAGAAAAGTTATGTATGCAATAGCAGTATGTGTAAAACAATGTACACAATCTAATTAAAAATACTTTAAAAGTGCTAATGATTATCTTTTTGCTGTTGGGCAGTCTTGTCTCCAAGTGGATGGCTGTTGACTGATCAGGGTGTTGGTTGCTGAAGGTTGGGGTGGCTGTGACAACTTCTGAAAATAAGACAGTAATGAAGTTTGCCACATTGATTGACTCTTCCTTTCACAAGAGATTTCTCTGTAGCATGTGATGCTGTTTTATAGCCTTCTTTTCACAGTAGAATTTATTGAAAATTGGAGTCGGTCCTCTCAAACCCTGCCACTGCTTTATCAACTAAGTTTATGTAATATTCTAAATTCTTTGTTGTCATTTAAACAATGTTCACAGCATCTTTACTAGGAGTAGATTTCATCAAGAAACCACTTTATTTGCTCATCCATAAGAAGTAACTCCTCATCTGTTCAAGTTTTCTCATGAGATTGCAGCAATTCAGTCCCATCTTCAGGCTCCATTTCTAATTCCACTTCTCTTGTTATTTCCACCTTATATGCAGTGGCTTCCTCCACTGAAGTTTTAAACCCCTTAAAGTCCTCCATGAGGTTTGCAATCAACTTCTTCCAAACTCCTGTTAATCTTGATATTTTGACGACCTCCCATAAATCACGAATGTTCTTAACAAGATCTAGAATGGGAGAATCCTTTCCGTAAGGTTTTCTATTTACTTTGCCCAGTTCCATCAGAGGAATCATAATCTATGGCAGCTATAACCTATGACATTTATTTCTTAAATAAGAAGACTTAAAAGTCAAAATTACTTCTTGATCCGTGGGCTGCAGAATGGATGTTGTGTTAGCAGGCATGAAAACAACGTTAATCTCCTGTGTACATTTATTAGAGCTCTTGGGTGACCAGGTACATTGTCAATGAGTGGTAATATATTGAAAGAATCTTTTTTATCTGAGCAATGGGTCTCAACAGTGGGCTTAAAATATTCAGTAAATCATGTCTCACACAGATGTGTTGTTATCCAGGCTTGTGGTTCCATTTATATAGCACAGGCAGAGTAGATTTAGCATAACTCTAAAGGACCTTAGGAATGGCAAATGATCATTGCCTTCAACTGAAGTCACCAGCAGCACTAGCCCCTAACAAGGAGAGCCAGAATGTCCTTTGAAGCTTTGAAGCCAGACATTGACTTCCCCTCTCCAGCTATGAAAGTCTTACATGGTATCTTCTTCCAAAAGAAGGCTATTTTGTTTACATTGAAAATCTGTTGTTGAGTGTAGCCATCTTCATCAATGATCTTAGCTGGATTTTCTGGATAACTTGCTGCAGCTTCTACATCAGCCCTTGCTGCTTCACCTTGCATTTTTATGTTATGGAGATGGCTTCTTTCCTTAAACCTTATGAACTAACCTCTGCTATCTTCCAACTTATCTTCTGCAGCTTCCTCACCTTTGCCAGCCTTCATAGAATTGAAGAGGGTTACGCCTTACATGGGCTAGGCTTTGGCTTAAGGGAATGTCGTAGATGGTTTGATCTTCTATCTGGCACACTAAAACTTTTTCCCTATCAGCAACAAGGCTGTTTTGATTTCTTATCATTCGTGTGTTCACTGAAATAGCACTTTTAATTTTCTTCAATAACTTTTCCTTTACCTTCACAACTCGGCTGTTTGGCACAGAAGCCTTGCTTTTGGCCTATCTGGACATTCGGCATGCCTTCCTTACTAAGCTTAATTGTTTCTAACTTTTTGATTTAAAGTGAGAGGTGTGCGACTTTTCCTTCTTGAACACTTAGATGCCATTGTAGGGTTATTAATTGATCTAATTTCAATATTGTGTGTTTCAGGGAATAGAGAAGTCTGTGTTGAGAGAGAGATGGGAGAACAGCAAGTTGGCAGAGCAATCAGAACACACACATTTATCAATTAAGTTTGTCATCTTATATGGCTGTGGTTCACGGTGCCCCCCACAAACAGTTACAATAGTAATATTAAAGATCACTGATTACAGATCACCACAACAGATATAATAATAATAAAACTTGAAATATTGCAAGAATTAGCAAAATGTGACACAGAGCCACAAAGTGAACACATGGTGTGGGAAAAATGGTGCCTGTAGACTTGCTTGATGAAGGATTGCCACAAAGTTTTAATTTGGAAAGAATGCAGTGTCTGCAAAGCACAATAAAGCCAAGTGCAATAAAACAAGGTATGCTGGTACATACTTCTAACTTGCCGATACATGAGAAGCTAAACCAATCACCATAAACAGGAAAATGTGTGTGCGAGTATCATATATTAATAGATACAGTCTGTGGGAAATGGTGCAGGAAACTATAGTTAAAGGAACATTGTCTCTGGAATAAGGTAGCTATGAATTCAGATTCTGACCCCTTCTAAATCTGATATCTTAGTTTAGTCACTTAACTTCAACTTTTATTCTCTCATTTGTAAAAACAAAGGCTAACAGTGACTTTCTCACATAGTTACTGTGACAGTGAAGTAGAATAATGTGGAAGTATTTAATTTTCTGAAACCTTTGCATAGAGTTGTTATTGTTTCAGCTTTTGTTGGTCACTATTTCCTCTAAGAATCTGGCAAATCTTTATTTTACCAAAATCCTCCATCACACAAGTGACACAGGCCTCTCCTCGTCTCTGGCACCATTGAGGCACTTTGACATCTGGAATTCAATTTGCCTTGTTAAGAAGTTCTCTTTCACACAGCAGTGGGATTCATGTAGTCAGGATGTCTCCACGGGCTCTCAAGTCAGCACGTGGCTGTCTCCACTGTCACTTGGTTCCACTTCACCTGCTCTCAACCTCCCAGGGGTCATTTTCACTGTTTCTCTCTGTCTCTGTCACAAGTTGCATCCCTGGTGTCCCACTCAGCCTAATGCCCTTGATCTCTTTTCAGTTGGCCAGCAGCAAACAAGTGAGGGCCTAATGCATGCCAGATGCCAGTCACACAGCTATTTTGTAGGTGCTGTTGCCTGTGACATGCAACTTGCCAATTTAGATGCTCCATTCTCTCTACTGCCTGCATACTCTCTGCTATTACTTACCTTGCCTTTGCTTATGGGGAACTAGAATCTACTACTCTGATGTCTACCCTCACAGAGGGGCTTTGCTTTACAGTTGCTTGGCCCAAGGGATTTATATTTCTTTTAATTTATACATTATTTTGCTTCTCAGTGCTATATTTGCCACAAAGTTGCTAGTCCAGTCTGGGTCCCTAAAATCCACACCACAGTTTAGTTTTTAACATACCTATTGCTGTGCTTCAGATTTCTATCTAAGGACCGAAATGGTGCTATCGAATACTTTTGAACTCTTTCCCCATGAGGCTCCTTGACCCCATACAAGTAGACGGGAACAGACAGACATCTGAGCACAAAGGGTTGCTTAATTCTACTCACGGATATGTCTGTATTCCAGTATCAACTAAGTTCAGACATACAGAGATGTTTCAAGATTTAAAACAAAATGGAATATTCGTTTTAAAGTAGCTCTTGACTTCTAGTCAAATTGGTGGATTGAATGTAACAAATTACCTTCTTATATTCCAGTCACCTTCTTATATTCTGAATGAAATATTTTAAAATGCTTTCAAAGGTGCAAGCATCATGTAGGAAACTCTAGATGGAAGCAGAGGATAAACTGAGCTGGCCCCAGGGCAGTGGCCAGCTTTTGACACCTGTATGGGATTGGGAAACAAGTTTGTAGGAGTCACGCTGAGCAAGGAGTAGAAACTGAGCTCCTATGTGAACCCACAAGCTGGGAAATTGCTGCTTGTTCTTGACGAGGGACTGTGCTATCTGTCCTCCAGCCTCAGTCGTAGCAAAGAGCAAACTGACCACTCCCATTCAGAGCTGTAACCAGAAACATCTATGACCTCAGACCTGTGAACATCAGGTTGCTGGACCCGGCTTTACATTCTCCCTGCGACTGAGTGGCAAGGGTCCACAGTAGGGTTTGAGCAAAGGCGATCAATAGACCAGTATCCAGAGAGGTCTTGATGACCCGGAGAAAGAAACTCAAGGAGAACCTATGATGGGAAACAAGGTCATAGAGAAGGATGACACAATATTTGAGATAGTTCCAAGAAAATCAGCCTACATCCTCCTCCCATCTGGTGAATGCATAACTAAGAAGCAAGAGCTAAGAGAAGAAATGAATTCAACTAAGTAAGTATGTTTAAAAGCAGCCCAAAAAGATAAAAGAGGAAATAGTGAACACGATGAAAGAACACGAGGTTATAAAATGGAGCAAGCAAATGTAAAAAATAGCCTAAAATATAGTAATTTGAAATTTTTGGGGGATTGATTAAATAATAGACTAGGCAAAACTGAAGGGAGAATCAGTGAAATGGAAGATAGAGTAAACCTTCCAGGAATCAGCACTGAGACATAATGAGATGAAATATAGAAAAGAAAAAATGAGAGATAAGGAATAGAAAATGAGAAGGTCCAATTATCTTTAACTGGAGTTCCAGAAATTTATGGAGGGAATAGTGGAGTTAATGTTTAAAACTGTAATACTGACAATTTTCCAGAAATGAAGAAACTCTCAGATTGAAATGGTTGAATAATATAAATAAGTTGTGTAAATATATGGAGAAATCTTGTCATTAAACTGTAAAACCTCAAAAGAAAATCCTAAAACACAACAGAGAAAATTCAGAGTTCTGATAAAGAAGCAACAATCTGATAGGCTTCCATGATAAATAAATGAAGAGATAAGACAATGAAATCAAGTTTTAAAACTCTAAGGAAATATTTTCATTTAAAATTCTTGCCAATAAATGAATATGTAAGAATGTGGACAAAACGAAAACATTTTTAGTGTACAAATACTTGTTATTATTTAAATGAGAGGTACAGTGGCTCATGCCTGTAATCCCAGAGCTTTGGAAGGCTGAGGTGGGAGGACTGCTTGAGGCCATGTATTCGAGACCAGCCTGGGCAACATAGTGAGATCCTGTCTCTTACACACACACACACACACACACACACACACACACACACACACAAAAAAAAAAAGCTGGGTATGGTGACATGTGCCTGTAGTCCCAGCTACTCAGGAGGCTGAGGTGAAAGGATCTCTTGGGCCCAGGAGTTCAAGGCTGCAGTGGGCAATGATTGCAGTACTGCACACTGCCTGGGCGACAGAGTGAGACCCTGTCCCTATGAATTAGTAAATAAATATATAAAAATAAGATTATTACAGCAAGATAGATGAAATATACAAAATAATGTACTTAAGCAATATATGTGAATTCATAAAGAAGGAGTGGGGTGCAAGAAGTAATTGTGAGCACAGAAACACTGTAGAACGTGGTGGTATATTTAAATGCATGTCCACGATAAAATAAGATTATAGTAATGAGGGCAAAAGTGAAAAATATTTTGTTTGTATATGATTTTATAGGCTGTACAGAAATAAATAACACAATATTAATCATGTGAATTGAGGTTTGAGAGTGTAGAAAGTTTGGACGGACGTTATTACTAATTTTTTTGTCTTAGAAGAGAATAGAGATATTGATTAATGTTATACTTGTTTGTACAACAGAAATGTAAGTATGTATGTAAAAAACATGGGTAGATACACAAATAATAAAAATATAGTAGATAATTTATAAACAAATAGTGGAAAAGACAGAAAATATATGTAGTTTAATCAACCTAGTGGAAGCTAGCAAAAAATAAAATAGAAGTGGATAGAAGATATATGAAAAACAGAACAAGGTGTCAGAAATAAGTTCAAGTATATTAAAAAATCATAAAATATACGAATGGATAAACAAAGTAAATGACAGATATACTCAGATTTTATCTAGTCTATATTTTCAAGAAACAAATGTAAAACATAAGGATGCAAAAATGTTGAAAGACAAAGGACTAAAACATATATGCCAGGTAAATATGAAAATAAAGTGATAAAGATTAATAACCAAAAATAATATTAGATTAAAATAGAAAAAGAAAATATTTAAAAAGAAATTTAAAAAATCCCAAGAACTTATATCAATAATAATCCTATGTATAATAATACTATTTCCAAATTTTGAACCAAGTACTGACAGAATAACAGATGAAATTGAAAATTGACAAAGCCACAATAACAGTAGGAAGTTTAACATACTTCCTTCAGAAAATGATGACTCAAACATCTAAAAAAATAGACATTTAGAAAAACACATTTGAAAAGTTTGATCTAATAGTTTGACATAGAATTTTGCATGTGACAAAGAATACACTTTTTTCAAGTGTATATGAAACTTTAAAAAAAAGTACCATATATTCATTAAAATGTTGCAACAAATCCCAAAGAATTGATATCATATACCCATACTCTGACTACAGTGCAATGAAAATAAAGAATTAGAAATACATAAAAGACTCTCAAATATTTATAAAAATACTTAGGAAAATTACATTTCAAAACAATTCATAAGTTATAAGAGAGGTGATGAGGAAAATTAAGAAAAAGATTATATTTAAAAAATTTGTACTACAGTTAAAAGTTATCAGAGTGAAATTTATAGCTTTCAATAAATGCATTAGAAAATAAAACATTTTGAATACTAGCTAGCTAAGCAGCCAATTCAAGAACTGAGAAGATTAACACAGCTGTCACAATTCTTTTCCAATTCTGAAAAAATTCAGACATTATCTCTTTAAACATTGCCTCTGTCCCATTCTCTCCTCTTTTTGGCATGCAGATTAAAAGTATGCTAGACCACCTTGTCCTATTTTCTGTGCCTTTTTTTCTGCATTTCTTTCTTATATTTTTGTCTCTCTGTACTATATTTTCAATAGTTTCTTCTGACCTACTTTCCAACTCATTAATGCTTTCATTAGCTATGTCTAATCTGCTGGCAAACCATACTTTGTGAACTTTTAAAAATTGTTAATATTTTAATCATAGATGTTCTGGGTTTGTTTTGTTTTCAGATTACTTATATCATTTTTAATAGTTTCCTGTTCCCTGCTGATAATTTCAAGCTCGAATTTTGTTTTTTACTAAAGTGGTAATTATAGTTGTGTTCTTAGTCATATGTAATAACTTCAATATCAGGTCTTTGTAGGTTTGTTTCTCTTGTCTGTTCTCTCTCCATTTTAGTGTCTTTGTGTGTGTGTGTGTGTGTGTGTGTGTGCGTGTACTAGGTTATCTTTGACTGTGTGCTGGTCATTGTATTTTAAACTTTTTTTGTAGGAATAATGTGAGGTCTAAGATGAGGGTATGTTCTTCCAAAGTGGGTTCACATTTCTTTCTATCAGGCATTTAGTGACACTACCAGTTTGTGGATGATTTTAACGCAAGATTAAAGTTTGATGTTATCTGGATCATGCAGATGATAAGAGCTCTGATTTCAATAACTTCCTGGTTTATTTTCATATTTTGAGTCTTGGTTTTGGTAGTCCCCAGTTAATATGTGACTGAGTGTTCATTGGAATCTCCACTTTGGGCAGGTCTGGAATTTGACCTGTAGTCTCTTGCCCTGTGAGATGGCCAGTACTACAGCTCAAACTCACAGCTTTTTGGTGGTGGTAGTTGGGGCAAGGGGTTGCTAGCAAATACTCTTAGAGAGCTGTGTTTACCTTTCTAGATTCTTACATTTTCCTAGAAATCTATAGCAGTGAGTTTTAGGAAACCCTATATTCTTCTTAATCTATATTCCTAATTCTACAGCTGTTTTATGTTTTGGATATTCATGTTGCTAATTCCCCTACTCCTTTGTTTTCTCTCTAGATAGCAAGTGCCTATTTGACATCCCTTGGATGTTTTGTTGATATCTCAAACCTAACATGATCAAAAGAAGACCTTTTATTCACACACACACACACACACACACACACACACACTCTCTCTCTCTCTCTCTCTCTCTCTCTCTCTCTCTCTCACATGCCCACACACTCACGATACTCTGGTATTTTCATTCCCTTACCCTGGTGCATTATTTAACTGCAGAATCAAAAACCGAGGACTCTGGCTGGGCGTGATGGCTCTTGCCTATGATCTCAGCACTTTGGGAGGCCGAGGCAGGTGGATCACTTGAGGTCAGGAGTTCGAGACCAGCCTGGCAAACACGGTGAAACCATCTCTACTAAAAATACAAAAATTAGCTGGGCGTGATGGTATGTGCTTGTAGTCGTAATTACTCAGGAAGTTAAGGTGGGAGCATCACTTGAACCCGGGAGGTGGAGGTTGCAGTGAGCTGAGATCATGCCACTGCACTCCAGCCTGGGCGACAGAGTGAGATTCTGTCTCAAACAACAACAACAACAAAAACAAAAATCTAGGACTCATCATTAATCCTCTTTTTTTATTTTCTTGCTGTCTGCTCCCCATTCACTCTATTGGCGAGTTCTCTCAACATAACTTCAGAATCCACCCATCTTTCTCTAGTCTCCAAATCCACTATCACCACTCTATTTCTGGACTGCCATCTCCCATTTCTACATTAATCCAGGCACCAAGTAAATTAGATTAAAGCTTTGCTTCTTCTCTTGCTGAGCACATCACTTCCATCTTTAAACCCCAGACAGGATGATCTTCAAAAATGTAAATTGTATCCTGTCCTGTCCTCCCCTGTATAAATGGCATTCTTTTTGTTGTTGTTGTTGTTGTTGAGATGGAGTCTCGCTCTGTCACCCAGGCTATAGTGCAGTGGCACGATCTCGGCTAACTGCAACCCCTGCCTCCTGGGTCCAAGTGATTCTCCCGTCTCACTCAGCCTCCTGAGTAGCTGGGACTACAGGCACATGCCACCATGCCCGGCTAATTTTTTTTAAAATTTTTTTTATTTTTAATAGAGATGGGGTTTCATTATGTTGGCCAGGCTGGTCTCGAACTACTGACCTTGTGATCCGCCTGCCCCGGCCTCCCAAAGTGCTGGGATTACAGGCGTGAGCCACCATGTCTGGCCTTAAATGGCATTCTTTCAGTTTAGATTAAGGCCCACTGACAATGAAAATCTGTGGGTCAGATGTCCATCTACCCTCTCTCTTCTTGTGACCATGCTGCATGCCCTTGTGTTTATTTCTGTTTACCTGACAGGTGGAGTTTATACTGCCCTGGCGACTTATTCTGCTACGGAACATGCTTCCCTAGGTCTTTGCTGGTTTCGCTTCTTCTGGCCATTCAGCTCTCAGCTTGTGTGATGTCTTCTGTGAGGGCTCCCCTGACCATCTAATATAAATCACCAACACTGCTCTTGTGCCACTGTTCCTGTCCAACAAATCACGTCATCACTAATTCCTATCTGAAATGGTTCTGCTTCTTTATTTTCTTGTTTATGGCCTGTCATTTATATTGGAATGTGGCTCCTAGAATACTATATGACACAGAAAAATGTTCAATAGGTATTTTTTTTAATGTGGTTGTTGAAATAGGGACATTGCCTGTGTACTCACTGAGTTGCTTTATGCTCAGAAACACAGGTTGCCTTTGAATATATGAAATCTTTTTCTCCTTTAGAAAAAAAAGGGCAGAGGTATGGGATATGGTCTGTGCTTAAGAAGACATCCAGGGAGAGCTTCCTTCCTTCTGCTGGAAGGGGGATGTCAATATCCATTGCAGATCCTCCTCCAAACCGACTCCTGTGAAATATGACTGTAGGCAGGTCCCATCTGTTACTGTCCTGGCACCTAGGACCCCACCCAGCATGGATCCTCTTCCCATCACTCTTTCTTTCTCATCCAGCCTTCCCTACCCCCACCTATGCTCATCTTGCCTATTTTCTGGTTGACTGTTTACCACTCCTTTTACTCCAATGACTCTTAGTAGTTGTATTCTTCTAAGAAATATTGTCTTGAATTTGTAAGAGTCTGATTCTTTCAAATAGTTGCATGTTTAATTTGGTTCTTAAAATTACTATGGACTTAAGGATAAGAGTTTGAGACAAACATTAAACACTTAAAAGATGTTTAATACATGAAGGAATACATACATGAAGAAAGGAAAATATTTAGGTGTGTAGATTTTAGATCTTCAATTGGTAGTTGTCTAATATTTCCATCATAATTATCTTTCAGAGTTTCATGTTTATTTTATATTAGGTTCATTTTTTTCCTACTCTCACCAACAAAAGGGAAATGAATTCCTAGTGTTTAGGCTTGAATAAAGAAATTATTAGTTCTATTATTATAGAGGGTCTCATAGCAAATACAGAGAGAGGAGAGAGACAGGGAAGCTGGGACACCAATCAGGCTCCTCTCAGGCCAAACTTCTAACTATCCCTGGATCACCTAACTCAGACTTTGAGGAAAAGACAGATTGTATTGCAAGTGAACATTAAAGAAATAAAAAAGTGCGGCATTTCTGAAGCTGTAGTGGCGGATGCAAGGTGAGCTGTGGCCCTAGGTTGCACGTTATTGCTGCTTTCTCTTTATGTATTCTGTCTAGCAGGTTAATCTTTCAGCTTTATTCATGCTGCTGTTCACAGGGAATTGATATGCTCTACCACTGTCTAATTCAGATCATGAGCTAGTGTTTTGCCTTCACTCCTTGTGTGCATTGTTGCTTATACATTCACTTACTGTGTACCTTTCCAGTATTTCTGATTTCTTGAGGGTTCATTCTACCAACTGTGAGGAATGTATCTTTACTGTGTGCATAAAGAATTTAGAGCTACAGTAAAAATGAAATACAAGCAGCCCCTGACTTACACATACATGGGGACATTCCAAATATGGTTTATATTAATAAATTTCTTGTTTAAAAATCAGAATGCATTTTGCCATAGCCACAATATGATAAGAAATTGCTAGGTTCCCAATCTAACCCAAAAAAGCTAATTAAAAAGCTTTTGGGACTAGAATAAGGACTTATTAAACCACAGACTAGGATGGACTATAGACTTGGGAATACTCACAAGTCTAATTGCCCTTTTCAACCCTGTTTTGAAGTCCTGAGGGTACCAGAAATTTATCTCTGCTGACACATTCTTTCTCTTCTTATTTGGTTCCAGGTGGAATTCATGGTGGATTCTTTTGATGGGGATTTTCCTGCTTTGAAAGGAAATAATAGGACGTTTTCAATGTGGAACAAGGCTGAGGTTCTGACTGCTGGCCTAAAAGAAGTAAGTATCTGTTTAGATCCATAAGATAATTTCTGCTTAGGAGAGTGACCAAGTGGGAGAGAGCTGTTGTGAGAATAACAACACAAGAAACACCAAAGGAATTGGAAAGCAGTGAAGTGGTTTAAACTGTGAAGCAGGAGGAATGTAAAGTATTGAACTGACTTCTGGAAGGAATGATTCATTTATGTATAAGGTGGTAAAAATTGCCAATAGAAAGCTGCAGTAATGTTCACAGAATAAGGTATTTAATCCAGAGCCTATTAGTCTCTTGTCTATTCAATAGAACATCTGAGCCACATTACCATTTCTATTTTAGAATGCACAACTGGTATAGTCATTAAATCTTATTAAATCAGTCTAAAACTATTGGGAGTTGTAATTGTTAGTTTTTATGCACTGTGTAAAGTCTTATCAAACTATAGGCTTCCATAATTGTATTTGAGTCACTTCCTCCCAGAGCCCACACAAATAATTCCCAATACCAAGGTGCTTGGAGATCCCACTTCTTTTATGTTTGGTCTTATAGGACCAAACATATGGTTGATTTGGCCCTCCAGCAAAGTAATGAAATGAATTAATTTCTGGGATGATGAGCTACATTTTATAGTGACTATATTGGCTTAGTAATGAAGAAAGGCCATATGTACATGTGCTTCTGTGTGGATACAGATTAAGAAAATGAGAGAAGGCAAATGCTTTGTTATGATACCAGAATGTTGAATTTATATTATCTTCATTCTACTCCAAACAAGAGGCTGTCGTTTGAATAACTCTGTTAATCAGCTCAGGTAATAAGTGTTGTGACTACTTATCTTACATCTCATTCTTCCAAAACAGAAGTGAATGACAACACAGCACAGTGTTGTAATTACCCAAAAAAGCCCAGGAATCTGATCAAAATGAAAATAAATGAAACAAATACCAATGTAATTTTCTGTTTTGGGCTGACATTTGGGGAAGGCTGTAGGGTAAATTTTCCCTCAAGTTTTTTAGAATTTTTATAAAAATTGTATTGTTATAGGCCTTCCATCCTTCTGCTATGTTGAAAATTTCATTATTTATTGCCATGTTTTTTCTAAATCTCAGAAATAAAGGGCAGTTAAAATTTAGTAGTCTTAAGCTCTTGAAATAAAATGGTATCTCTCCACCATGGCACACGTTTACCTATGTAATAAACCTGCACCTCCTGCACATGTACCCTGGAACTTAAAAGCTGAAGAAAAAAATGGCCACAACACTTTTTTTTTTTTGCAACATGTTAAAGGTTTGATGCATTTTTGAATTAAAACCATTAAATTGTAGTCTGAGTCAGAATCTCAGAGGTTTATGTACTTTCTGAGGGGAAGATAGAGTCATGTGTTTTTACCACTGACTACACCTCCCCTCTACCCTCTAGAGGTAACCACCAATTTTATCATAATTTTTTCTTACTTTTATTTATCTGTGTACCAGCAATAAATAACTCTAAACAGAATAGTTTATTTTGCCTATTTTGGAACTTTATATAGTGGGTTCATACAGAACGTATTATTATTATTATTATTATTATTTTGTTTGTTTGTTTTGGAGACGGAGTCTCGCTCTGTCACCCAGCCTGGAGTGCAGTGGCAAGATCTCAGCTCACTGCAACCTCTGCCTCCCGGGGTTCAAGTGATTCTCCTGCTTCAGCCTCCTGAGCAGCTGGGACTACAGGCACGTGCTGCCACGCCCAGCTAATTTTTAGTAGAGACGGGGTTTCACTGTGTTAGCCAGGCTGGTCTCGATCTCCTGACTTTATGATCCACCCACCTTGGCCTCCCAAAGTGCTGAGATTATAGACGTGAGCCACCGCGCCTGGCCTATTTTGTTCTTTTAATCAGTGTTTTATTTGCAATTTTTTGTATGTATTGCATGTAGGTTTGTTACTTTTTATTACTATAAGTGTTTCATTGTATGACATCACTGCAACTCATTGGTTCTTTTGAAGCAGAACATTGATGTAGTTTTTGGTAATTGTGAACTCTACTGCTGTGAATATTCTTATACATATCTACAAGAGCACATGTGCGAAAATTTCTCTAGGGTATATATCTAGAAGTAAAATTGATGAGTCAGAACACGTGTATCTAAAGCTCCAACAGATAATGCCATTTCCCCCCTAATATGGTTTGGCTTTGTGTCTTCACTTAAATCTCACCTTGAGTTGTAATCCCCTGGTATTGAGAGAGGAACTTGGGTTGAGGAATTGGATCATGAGGGCAGTTTCCCCCATGCTATTCTTATGATAGTGAGTGAGTTCTCACGAGACCTCATGGGTTTATAATTGTTTGGTAAGTTCCTCCTTTGCTCATTCTTCTTTCTTCTGCCACCTTGTGAAGAAGGTTCCTTGCTCCTCCTTCTGCAGTGATTGTAAGTTTCCTGAGTCTTCCCCAGCCATGCAGAACTGTGATTCTATTAAACCTCTTTCCTTTATAAATTATTCAGTCTGGGGTAGTATCTTTATAGCAGTGTGAGAGTAAACTAATCCTGGAAATTTGTACCACAGAGAATGGGATACTGCTATAAAGATACCTGAAAAGGTGGAAGTGACTTTGGAACTCGGTAACAGGCAGAGGTCGGAACAGTTTGGAAGGCTCAGGAGAAGATAGGAAGATGTGGGAAAATTTGGTACTTCCTAGAGACTTGTTGAATGGTTTTGACCAAAATGTTGATAGTGATGTAGACAGCGAAGTCCAGGCTGAGGTGGTCTCAGATAGAGATGAGGAGCTTATTGGGAACTGGAGCAAAGATCACTCTTGCTATGCTTAAGCAAAGAAACTGATGTAATTTTGCCCCTGCCCTAGAGATCTGTGGAACTTTGACTTGAAATGGGAACTTATGTTTAAAAGGGAAGCAGAGCATAAATGTTTGGAAAATTTGCAGCCTGATGATGTGATAAAAAGAAAAACCCATTTTCTGGGGTGAAATCCAAGCCAGGTGCAGAAATTTGCATGAGTAATGAGGAGCCAAAGACAATGGGGAAAATGTCTCCAGGGCATGTCAGAGGTCTTGGCAGCAATCCCTTCCATCATAGGCCTGGAGACCTAGGAGGGAAAAATGGTTTGTGGGTCAGGCCCAGGGCCACCCTGCTCTGTGCAGCCTCTGGACTTGATGCCCTGTATCCCAGCTGCTCCAGCTCCAGCTGTGGCTAAAAGGGGTAAGGTACAGCTTGGGCCATTGCTTCAGAGGGTGCAAGCCCCAAACCTTAGTGGCTTCCATGTGGTATTAGGCCTGCAGGTGCACAGAAGTCAAGAATTGAGTTTTGGGAATTTCTGCCTAGATTTCAGAGGATGTATGGAAATGTCTGGATGTCCAGGCAGAAGTCTGGTGTGGGGCAGAGCCCTCATGGGGACCTCTGCTAGGGCAGTACAAAGGGGAAATGTGGGGTTGGAGCCCCCACACAGAGTCCCTACTGGGGTACTGCCTAGTGGAGTTGTGAGGATAGGGCCACCATTCTCTAGACCCCAGAATGGTAGGTCCACCAACAACTTGTACTGTATGCCTGGAAAAGCCGCTGGCACTCAATGGCAGCCATGAAGGCAGCCAGTGTGGAGGGTTGTACAAAGTCACAGGGGTGCAGCTGCCCAAGGCCATGGGAGCCTCTCCTTTGCATCAGCATGCCTTGAATGTGAGACATGGAGTCAAAGGACATCATTTTGGAGCTTTAAGATTTGACTGCCCTGCTGGATTTTGGACATGTGTGGGACCTGTAGCTCCTTTGTTTTGGCAAATTTCTCCCATTTGGAATGGGAGCATTTATCCAATGCCTGTACCCCCATTGTATCTTGGAAGTAACTAACTTGATTTTGATTTTACAGGCTCCTAGGTGGAACTGACTTGCCTGGTCTCAGATGATACTTTGGACTTGAACTTTTGAGTTAATGCTGAAATGAGTTAAGACTTTGGGGCACTTGTTGGGAAGGCATATTTGTTTTGAAATGTGAAAGAGACATGAGATTTGGGAGGGGCCATGGGCAGAATGATATGGTTAGGTTTTGTGTCCCCATCTAAATCTCATATTGAATTATAATCCCCTAGTGTTAAGGGAGGAACCTGGTGGGAAGTGATGAGATCATGAGGGCAGTTTCCCCGATGATGTTCTTGTGATACTGAGTGAGTTCTCACGAGATCTGATGGTTTTACAAGTGTTTGGCAAGTTCCTTCTTTGTACACTCTCTCTCTCACCTGCTGCCTTGTAACATTTGCCTACTTCCTCTTTCACTGTGATTGTAAGTTTCCCGAGGCCTCCCCAGCCATGCAGAACTGTGAGTCAATTAAAACTCTTGCCTTTATAAATTACCCAGTCTTGGGTAGTATCTTTATAGCAGTGTGAAAATGGACTAATACACTTCTTGAGGTTTAAACCTCTGATGTTTAATTTGTTTTGGATGTTGCTGGATAAATAGTTCACACTTTGATATTTTTGCATTGATGTTTGTCAGTTGACATTTTTGTTTAACTTCCTCTATTTATCTGGACTTGGTATGAAAGTTTTGCTAGCATCATGAAGTGAGTTGGATAACTTTTATCCCTTTTATCTCTTATTGAATGATTTGTATAAGATAGAGAATGTATGTGCTACATCATTTGGTAGAATCACTCATAAAACTACCTGGTCATTTTGCAGTAATGGCAGATGGGGAGATTTTGATGCCCACATACATTTCATTAATTGTTATTTTTTTGGAAACGTTTCAATTGCATTGTGCCAGGGCTTTTGTTTTTTGCATGAAACTTTAAGAAACAGATTTATCGAGATATAATTTGCACAGTATAAAACTCACCCTTTTAAGTTTGAAGTGTACAATTCGTTGTTTTTAACTATATTCAGAATTGTGCATCCATCACCTCATCTAACTTTAGAATACTTCCATTTCCCCTAAGAGAAAACCTAATACCTATTAGTAGTCACTCCCCATTCTCCAACCCCTCAGTCCTAAGGAACCACCAATGTGTTTTCTGTCTCTATATATATTTGCCCATTCTGTGTATTTTTTATAAATGTAATCATAAAATGTGTGGTCTTTTGTGACTGCCGTCTTCACTTAGCACATTGTTTCCAAGTTTCATCTATATTGTAACATGTATCAGTACTTCATTCCTTTTATTCTTGGATATCCGACATTGGCTATTAGAAATAATTCTGCTATGAATATTCACGTACAAGTTTTTTCATGGACACATGGTTTAATTTCTCTTGAATACACCCAGGAGTGGAATTTCTGGGTAATATGGTAAGTCTGTTTAACATTTTGAGGAATTGCCGGACGGTTTTTAAAGTGGCTGCACCATTTTACATTTCCACCAGCAATGTATAAGGGTTTTAATTTCTCCACATCCTTGCTAGCACTTATTATTATCCATTATTATTATTATTATTGTCATCCTACTTGATGTAAAGTGATATTTCACTGTGGTCTTGATTTGCATTACTTAATAGCTGGTGATTTTGACATCTTTTCATGTGCTTAATGGCCATTTGTATATCTTCCTTGGAGAAATGTTTAACCAATTCCTTGGCTCATGTTTAAATTGATTATTTGTATTTTTATTGTTGAGTTATAAGAGTTATATTTTGGACATCTTATCAGATGATAAGTTACAGTTTGAAAATTTTTTTGTCATTCTGTGGGTTGCCTTTTCCCTCCCTCCCTCCCTCTCTCTCTTTCCTTCTTTCTTTCTTTCATTCTTTCTCTCTTTCTTTCTTTCTCTCTTTCTTTTGTTGTTGTTGTTGAGACAGAGTCTTGCTCTGTCACCCACACTGGAGTGCAGTGGTGTGATCTCAGCTCACTGCAACCTCCACCTCCTGGGTTGAAGCAATTTTCCTGCCTCAACCTCTCAAGTAGCTGGGATTACAGGTGTGTGCCACCACACCCGGCTATTTTTTGTATTTTTAATAGAGAAGGAATTTCACCATGCTGGTCAGGTTGGTCTTGAACACCTGACCTCAGGTGATCTGCCCACTTCAGCATCCCAAAGTGCTGGGATTACAGGAGTGAGCCACTCCGCCTAGCCACCTTTTCACTTTCTTGATGGTATCCTTTGAAGCAAAAATATTTTCAGTTTTAATGATGTACAATATCTGTTTTTTTCTTTTCTCTCTTGGACTTCTGGTATTAAATTTAAGAAATCATTACCTAAACCAGGGTGATAAAGGTTGACTCTTACGATTAGTTCTACAAGTTTTATAATTTTCACTCATAAGTTTAGGTCCATGGCATATTTTGAGTTACTTTTTCATATGGTGTGAGGTAGGAGTCTAAATTTATTCTTTTTGCATGTAGATATCCACCTGCCGCACTACCATTTGTTGAAGACCATTTCTCCCTTGGATTTTTGTGTCAACCTTGTCCAAAATCCATTGACCATAAATGTAAAGGTTTATTTCTGAATTTTCCACTCTATTCTGTTGATCTTTATGTGTTTATCCTTATGCTGGTGCCACACTGTCTTGATTACTGTAGCTTTGTAGTAAGGTTTGAAGTTGGCAAGTTTGAGTCCTCCAAATTTGTTCTTCATTTTTAAGATTGTTTGGCTATACTCAGTGGATCTTTATGATTCCAGGCCTTTTTGTTTTCTTTATTAAGACAGGGTCTCACTCTATCATCTAGGCTGGAGTACAGTGGTGCAGTCATGGCTCACTGCAACCTTGAACTCCTGAGCTCAATTGATCCTTCTACCATAGCCTCTCTAGTAGCTGGGACCACAGGCGTGTACCACCATGCCTGGCTAATTTTTTGTATTTTTTTTTTGTATTTTTTTTTTTTTTTTAGAGATGGGAATTTTGTTATGTTGCTCAGGCTGGTCTTGAACTCCTGAGCTCAAGTGATATGCCCTCCTTGGTCTCCTAAAGTGTTGAGATTATAGGCATGAGCCACCATGCCCAGACCCCAAGCTTTTTTGTAGGAGAAGGAAATGTACTGTTAGAATGTCAGCAAACATTTATACCACCTCAATATATAGCAACCCTTCATGTAGCACTGGGAACTGATAGTGCAAGCAAACCTGGCCCCAGCCCAGCCCTAGACATCTGGGTCCAAATGTAGCTCTAGTCATTTCATGAGTAGTGTAATTTTAACCTCTCCAAATGCCTATTTCTGTATCTGTGAAGTGGAAGTAAAATAAATCCTACTCACAGTTATGTCAGCTACCTATCATGGCAATAATGCTGGATAATAAATAACCACAAAACCTCGCCAACGAACAATAAGTGTTTATTGCTCACATGCCTGTGGTCAGCTGGGAGCAAACTAATGAGCTCTGTTGATATCAGCTGGGATATCTCTCAGGTCTGAGTATGGGTCAGGGTGGCCTGGTGATTTGGCTCTGCTCCATGTGCTTTTTTTTTTTTTTTTTAAAGAACAAACTTTTTTTTTTTTTTTTTTGAGATGGGGTCCTGCTATGTTGCCCAGGCTGGAGTGCAATGGTTATTCACAGGTGTGATCATAGCACATTGTAGCCTTAAACTTGTAGGTTCAAGTGCCTCAGCCTCCAAAATAGCTGAGATTATAGGTGAACACCACTTTGCTGGCTTCCATGTGCTTTTTGTACTCCATAGTCTTATGGCAGTGGCACAATTGCAAGAATGAGAAGCCCAGTCATACACGTGTGTTTCATGTGTTATGACTTCTAACATCCCATTGACTCAAGGAACTTGGGCGAATAAGGGTCTCTGAAGAACCTACCCAAGTTACTCCATAAAAATAAAGTCATCTGCTGCCACACCCAGATGACACTCCTGCCATGTTACAACTATCCAAGTCCATTGGGGACATTTCTGTCCCTCCTCTCACAATCTTCAAACTTAAAGAAGCAAGGGACAGCACAATGAGTCTGAGAGGAGAAATGGAAGAGGAGTGGGAGATAATAGTGATAAAGGTCTCCTGCCCCATTGCAGGCTTCCCCATCTAAGGCAGGACTGAGCTAGAACAGGGGATAAACTTTGAAGTCGATGCAAGATAAAAGTTTAATATTGAATTAATCTGCATTTTTTAATACCTAAAAAATCAGACTAGTTGTAATAACTGGGAATGACCACAGTAATTGTGAGATCTACTCAAGGCTATCTCCAGGGCTAGAGGTGGGAGATTTGCCATAGAACAGAGGAAATACAGAGCTGGCCAAAAAGCAAACTGACTTTCTCCTTGCCCCCTACAAAATTCAACTCATTCAATAAATCTGTTACAGGGACAGATAAAGGTATTCAGAAACAGTATCCGGGTAAGCAGAATTCATTGTTCATGTAATAATAACCAATATTTATATTTTTAATACAAATTGCTTTCACATACATTACCTTTGCTTTCAAAAAGTTTCCACCTGACAAAGCATAAAATTTCCTATTTCTCCTCTATGGACATTGCTCTCTTAACCGTTTTCACATCCATAATGTGAAAACCTACAAAACCTACTCAAACCTACAAAACCTGTGTACCCAAGTTTTATGGTTCATCCTAAAATTGAAAAGAGTATGAATGCTCTTCAGAGTATATGCTGCTAAACCATTGTTTTCCTAGAAAATTCAGTGACTATAATAAACATGGGGTTGTGGGGTTAGAGCTTATGTCTGACCCAAATAAGATAAGGTTTCTGGTTTGTAGCCATTCTCTTGGTGGATATTCCCATGACAAAAATGTTTGTCCTTAGGGAACCACACACGTGTATCTCCCATTGGGGAATCGATGTAATTTTGTGGTCAGGATTATATTATCATAATGGTGACACCATCTAGCTCCTCAAAACGAAAACCTGGAAGTCTTTTGTTATTAATTTCATTTTTTTATTATAAAATATTTAATTGAATATCTGTATGTAGTATATACATAAGGTTTAAAAACTGAGAGTAAATAATCATGTATGTGCTCACGTCCCAGGGTAATTAACAGAACACTATGCCTTGCAGACCTTCCTCAGTCCCCACACTCTCTCTTCTCAGCAATGGCCACCACTATTGTGAATGCTATGCTTATCACATCTTTAATTTTTCTTAGAGTTTTACCTCAGATGTGTCTATAAACAATATAGCATCACATGTATCTCAACTCTATATAAGTGATGCAATCCTGTGTGTTTATTTTTTGCATCTTGCATTTTTCATTCAACTTTGTTTTTTGCTTTGTTTTTGAAAATTTGTATTTAATCTATGTGTTTCAAGTGTAATTTTCTTACATGAGTACACTGCATAGAGGTGATATCAGTGTGTTTAGGGTATCCATCACCCAAATAACATGCATTGTATCCATTAAGTAATTTATCATCATCCACCCCAATATGGTTTGGATCTGAGTCCCTGCCCAAATCGCATGTCAAATTGTAATCCCTAATGTTGGAAACGGGGCCTGGTGGGAGGTGATTGGGTCATGAAGGCAGTTTCTCATGGTTTAACACCATCCCGCTTGGTGTTGTCATGGCAATTGTGAGTGAGTGAATTATCATGAGATCTGGTTGTTTAAAAGTGTATAGCATCTCCCTTTTCCCTCTCTTCCTCCTGCTCTGGCCATGTAGGATATGCCTGCTTGCCCTTTGCCTTCCACCATGATTGAAAGTGTTCTGAGCCTTCCCCAGAAGCTGTTATGCTTCCTGTATAGCCTGTAGAACCATGAGCTAATTAAACTTCTTTTCTTTAAAAATTACTCAGCCTCAGGTACTTCTTTATAGCAGTGTGAGAATAGACTAAAAGAGAAAATTGGTACCAGGAGTGGGATATTGCTATAAAGATACCTGAACATCTGGAAGTGACTTTGGGATTCAGTAACAGGCAGAGATTGACAGAGTGTGGAGTTCTCAGAAGAAGACAGAAAGATGAGAAAAAAATGGGAACTTCCTAGAGACTTGTTAAATTGTTGTGACTAAAATGCTGATGGTGATATGAGCAGTGAAGCCCAGGCTTGAGGAGGTCTCTGATGGAAATGAGAAACTTATTTGGGAACTGGAGTAAAGGTCACTTTTTCTATGCTTTAGCAAAGAGCCTGGTTGGATTGTGCCCTTGCCCTAGGGATCTGTGGAACTTTGAACTTGAGAAGGATGATTTAGGGTATCTGTTGGAAGAAATTCCTAAGCAGCAAAGCCGTCAAGATGTGGACTGGCTCCTTCTAATAGCCTATGCTCATATATGTGAGCAAAGACATGATCTGAAATGGGAACTTATATTTGAAAGAGAAGCAGGGCATACAAATTTGAAATATTTCCAGCCAAGCCATATGGTAGAAAGAAAAGCCCATTTTTGGGGGAGGAATTCAAGCAGGCTGCAGAAATTTGCATAACTAAAAGGAAGGAAAATGCTGATAGCCAAGACAAGAGGGAGGCCTCGAAGGCATTTCGGAAACCTGCACGGTGGCCCCTTCCATCAAAGGCCCACAGGCTTAGGAGGAAATAATGTTTCTGTGGGCTGCGACCAGGGCCCTGCTGCTGCTCTTTGCAGTCTCAGGACGGTGCTCTCCACATCCCAGCTACTCCTGGCTAAAAGGGGTCAGTACAGGCCTCTTGCTTAACAGGGTGCAAGGCATAAGCCTTGGCAGGTTCCATGTGGTATAAAGCTTGTACGTGCAGAGAGGGCAAGAGTTGAGGCTTGAGAGCCTCCACCTAGATTTCAGAGGATGTATGGAAAAGTCTGGGTGTCCAGGCACAAGCCTGCTGCAGGTACAGAACCCACATATAAAACCTCTCTTAGGGCAGTGCAGAGAGTAAATGTGGGGTTGGATCCCCCGACACAGTCCCTACTGGGGCGCTACCTACTGGAGCTGTGAGAAGAGGGCTACTGTCCTCCAGACTCCAGAATGGTAGATCCACTGAGAGCTTCCACCATGCACCTAAAAGTTATGCCTGGAAAGGCACTCAGCACCAGCCCTTGAGAGCAGCTGCAGGGACTGAACCTTACAGAGTCACAGGGGCAGGCTGCCCAAGGCCTTGGGAGTCCACTCCTTGCATCAGTGTGCCTGGATGTAATACATGGAATCAAAGCAGATTATTTTGAGTTTTAACATTTAATGACTACCCTGCTGGGTTTCAAACTAGCATGGGGCCTGTAGACTCCTTTATTTGGTGATTTCTCCCTTTTGGAATGGAAATATTTACCTGATGCTCGTATCGCCATTGTGTCTTGCAAGTAACTAACCTGTTTTTGATTGTACAGGCTCATAGGTGGAAGGGAGGCTTGACTCAGATGAAACTTTGGACTTTGGACTTTTGAGTTAATGCTGGAATGAGTTAAGACTTTAAGGGACTGTTGGAAGGGCATGATTGTATTTTGAAATGTGAGAAGGACATGAGATTTGAGAGGGGCCAGGGGTGGAATTATATTGTTGGGATCTGTTTTCCCCCCAAATCTCATGTCTAATTGTAGTCCTCAGTGTTGGAGGTGAGGCCTGGTGGGATGTGATTGAATAATGAGGGTGGTTTCTCATGGTTTAACGCCATCCTCCTTGGTGTTGTCATGGCAAGAGTGAGTGAATAAGTTATCATGAGATCTGATTGTTGAAAAGTGTATAGCACCCCCAACACCTTCCTCCTGCTTTGGCCATGTAAGAAATGCCTGCTTCCCCTTTGCCTTCCAGCGTGATTGAAAGTTTCCTGAGGCTGCCCCAGAAGCTGCTATGCTTCCTGTACAGCCTGCAGAATCATGAGTCAATTAAACTTTCCTTCGTAAGTTACCCAGTATCAGGTATTTTTTATAGCAGTGTGAAAACAGACTAATACAAACCCCCTCCTACCTCCTCACCCTTCTGAGTGTTTATATTGTGAGTTAATCTGTAATGTGTATGGCTGTAATTGATTTCTTCTCTCTCCTGTCTTGTATTCCACTGTGCCACCATTTTATCCTTCTGTCCAAGGATATTTGGATTCTTTGCAATTTTTGCTAGTAAAAATAATTTTGTTATGAGCATTCCTGTGTGTGAAACCTGTGGTGCCCATGCAAGGGTCCCTCAAAATACATGGGCACGAGAAAAACGGCCACATAACGTAATGCTATACTTTTGTCATCTACATAGGATGAGAGTACCATTGGCTAGCATCCTTTCCAATCTTAGTAGAGGTAAAATTATGTATCATTTGGTTTTAATTTCTATTTCCTGTTTATTAACAAGGTTAATCTTTTCATGTGTTTTTCAGTGAAGTGCCTGTTGATGTACTGTTTTTCCATTTTTTTTTCTTAAGACTTCTTTTCCTTTTGATTTTCAGAAATCCTTTATAAATACTGGATACTAACCTTTCTCTGGTTATGTATGTCAGAAAGATCTTATCTTTTCAGATGCTTAATGGTGTTCTTTCAATAACAAGTTTTAAATTTTAAAATGGTCAGGTTTATCAATCTCTTTGGGTTTTGTTCAATGAATTCTCACATAATCGTAGAAGTATTATGCTATGTCCTCATTTAAAGTTTAACATTTTTGCTTTACACATTCAATCCTTGATCCACGTGGAACTATTCTAACAGATGTTTGTAATTGCTGTGAGATTTGTACCAAATTTCATTCTTTCTACATGCATATTCAGTACCAAACTCTACTGAAGAATACTTTCCTTTTTCAAAGATCTGTAATTCCCTCTGTTATTTATCAAGTTTCTAGACAGGGGTGAATTTATTTCTGATATGTATTATGTGCCATTGATCTATTTTTCTATTCAAAGCTGATACCACAACATTTTAGTTATTGCTTTAATAAGTCTTGATATTTGGCAAGTTATCTCACCTTGTCCTTCCTCAGCAATCTCTTTTTTTCATATTCTAAATTCAATTTACATTGAGTTCAAAAATAAGCAAAACTAAATTATATCAGCAGAGGTCAGTATAGTGATTAGCTTTTTTAAAAATTATTTTAAGTTCTGAGATACATGTGCAGGACGTGCAGTTCTGTTACCTAGGTAAACATGCCATGGTGGTTTGCTGCACCTATCAACCCATCACCTAGGTATTTAGACCCACATGCATTAGCCATTTATCCTGATGCTCTAGCTACCCCTGATCGCCAACAGGCCCCAGTGTGTGTTGTTTCCCTCCCTGTGTCCATGTGTTCTCATTGTTCAGTTCCCACTTATGAGTGAGAATAGGTGGTGTTTGGTTTTCTGTACCTGTGTTAGTTTGCTGAGGATGATGGCTTCCAGTCATCCACATCCCTGCAAAGGACATGATCTTGTTCCTTTTCATGGCTGTATAGTATTCCATGGTGTATATGTACTACATTTTCTTTATCCAGTTTATCATTAATGGGCCTTTGGGCTGATTTAATGTCTTTGCTATTGTGACTAGTGCTGCAATAAACATACACATGCATGTATCTTTGTAATGGAATGATTTATATTCCTTTGGGTATATATGCAGTAATGGGATTGGTGGGTCAAATGGTATTTCTGGTTCTAGATCCTTGAGGAATCACCATACTGTCTTCCACAATGGTTGAACTAATTTACCTTCCCACCAACAGTGTGAAAGCATTTCTATTTCTCCATAGCCTCGCCAGCATCTGCATTTCTTGACTTTTTAATAATTGCCATTCTGACTGGCATAAGATGGCACCATCTCATTGTGGTTTTGATTTGCATTTCTCCACTGATCAGTGATGTTGAGATTTTTTTCATATGTTTGTTGGCTGCATAAATATCTTCTTTTGAGAAGTGTCTGTTCATGTTGCTTTCCCACTTTTTGATGGGGTTGTTTGTTTTTTTTTTCTTGTAAATGTGTTTACATTCCTTGTAGATTCTGGATATTAGACCTTTGGCAGATGAGTAGATTGCAAAAATTTTCTCGCATTCTGTAGGTTGCCTGTTAGCTCTGATGATAGTTTCTCTTCCTGTGCAGAAGCTCTTTAGTTTAATTGTATGCCATTTGTCAATTTTTGCTTTTGTTACAATTGCTTTTGGTGATTTCATCATGAAGTCTTTGCCCATGCCTATGTCCTCAATGGTATTGCCTAGATTTTCTTCTAGGGTTTTTATGGTTGTGGGTTTTACATTTAAGTCTTTAATCCACCTTGAGTTAATTTTTGCATAAGATGTAAGGAAAAGGCCCAGTTTTAGTTTTCTGCATAAGGCTAGCCAGTTTTCCTAGCACCACTTATTTAATAGGGAATCCTTTCCCCATTGCTTTTGTCAGGCTTGTCAGAGATCAGACGGTTGTAGATGTGTGGTCTTATTTCTGAAATCTCTATTCTGTTCTATAGGTCTATGTGTCTGTTTTGGTATCAATAACGTTGTTTTGGTTACTGTAGACTTGTAGTATAGTTTGAAGTCAGGTAGCGTGATGCCTCCAGCTTTGTTCTTTTTGCTTAGGATTGTCTTGGTTACACAGACTCTTTTTGGTTTCATATGAATTTTATTTTATTTTATTTTATATTTTATTTATTTTATTTTATTTTATTTATTTTATTTTATTTTTATTTTTATTTTATTTTAATTTTATTGTTTGAGACGGAGTCTCGCTCTGTCACCCAGGCTGGAGTCCAGTGGCACTCCATATGAATTTTAAAGTAGTTTTTTCTTTTTTCTTTTTTTTTTTTTTTTTGAGATGGAGTCTTGCTCTGTCACCCAGGCTGGAGTGCAGTGGTGCGATCTCGGCTCACTATAAGCTCCACCTCCTGGATTCATGCCATTCTCCTGCCTCAGCCTCCTGAGTAGCTGGTACTACAGGCACCCACCACCACACCGGGCTAATTTTTTGGTAGTTTTAGTAGAGACGGGGTTTCACCGTGTTAGCCAGGATGGTCTCAATCTCCTGGCCTGGTGATCTGCCCGCCTTGGCCTCCCAAAGTGCTGGGATTACAGGGGTGATCCACTGCGCCCGGCCTGAAGTAGTTTTTTCTGATTCCGTGAATGTCAAGGATAGTTTAATGGGAATAGCACTGAATCTTTACATTACTTTGGGCAGTATGGCCATTTTCATGATGTGGATTTTTCCTATCTATGAGCATGAAGTGTTTTTCCATTTGTTTGTGTCCTCTCTTATTTCCTTGAGCAGTGGTTTGTATTTCTCCTTGAAGAAGTCCTTCACATCTCTTGTTAGCTGCATTCCTAGGTATTTTATTCTCTTTGTAGCAATTGCGAATGGGAGTTCATTCGTGATTTGGCTCTCTGCTTGTCTGTTGTTGGTGTATAGGAATGCTTGTGAATTTTGCACATTGATTTTGTATCCTGAGATTTCGCTGAATTTGCTCATCAGCTTCAATGACAAAAACCACATAATTATCTCAATAGATGCAGAAAAGGCCTTTGACAAAATTCAACATCGCTTTATGTTAAAAGCTCTCAATAATCTAGATATTGATGGGACATATCTCAAAATATTAAGAGTCATTTATGACAAACCCACAGCCAGGAGCTTTTGGGCCTAGACAATGGGCCTTTCTAGATATAGGATCGTGTCATTTGTAAATAAAGACAATTTGACTTTCTCTCTTCCTATTTGAATACCTTCATTTCTTTCTCTTGCCTGATGGCCCTGACCAGAACTTCCAATACTATGTTCAATAGTGGTGAGAGAGGACATCCTTGTCTTGTGTTGGTTTTGAAAGGGAGTGCTTCCAGCTTTTGCCTATTCAGTATGATATTGGCTGTGAGTTTGTCATAAATGGCTCTCATTATTTTGAGATATGTCCCATCAATATCTAGCTGATTGAGAGTTTTTAACATAAAGGGATTTTGAATTTTATCAAAGGCCTTTTCTGCATCTGTTAAGATAATCATGTGGTTTTTGTCATTGATTCTGTTTATGTGATGGATTGCGTTTATTGATTTGCATATGTTGAACTAACCTTGCATCCCAGGGATGAAGTTGACTTGATCGTGGTGGATAAGCTTTTTGATGTCTGCTGGATTCAGTTTGCCAGTATTTTACTGAGGATTTTTGAATCAGGGATATTGGCTTGAAGTTTTCTTTTTTGTTGTGTCTCTGCCACATTTTGGTATCAGGATGATGCTGGCCTCATAAAATTAGTTAGGGAGAAGTCCCTCCTTTTCAATTGTTTGGAATCACTTCAGAAGGAATGGTACCAGATCCTCTTTGTGTCTCTTGTAGAATTCAGCTATAGATCCATCTGGTCCTGGGCTTTTTATTGGTTAGGATATTTATTACTGTCTCAATTTCAGAACTTGTTATTGGTCTATTCAAGGATTTGACTTCTTCCTGGTTTAGTCTTGGGAGGGTCTGTGTGTCCAGGGATTTATCCATTTCTCCCACATTTTCTAGTTTATTTGCCTAGAGCTGTTTATAGTATTCTCTGATGGTTGTTTTTATTTCTGTGGGGTCAGTGGTGATATTCCCTTTATCATTTTTATTGTGTCTATTTGATTTATTCTCTCCTTTCTTCTTTATTAGTCTAGCTAGCAGTCTAATTTATTATTTTTTTCAAAAAACCATCTCCTGGATTCACTGATTTTTTGAAGGTTTTTTTATGTCTCTATCTCCTTCAGTTCTGCTCTGATCTTAGTTATTTCTTATCTTCCGCTAGCTTTTGGATTTGTTGGCTCTTGGTTCCCTAGTTATTTTTGTTATGATGTTAGGATTTGAGATCTTTCTAGCTTTCTGATGTGGGCATTTAGTTCTTTAAATTTCCCTCTTAGTACTGCTTTAGCTATGTCCCAGAGATTCTGGTATGTTGTCTCTTTGTTCTCATTGGTTTTAAAGAACTTCTTGATTTCGGCCTCAATTTCACTATTTACCCAGGAGTCATTTAGGAGCAGGCTGTTCAATTTCCATGTAGTTATGTGGTTTTGAGTGAGTTTCTTAATCTTGAGTACTAATTTGATAGCACTGTGGTCTGAGAGACTGTTTGCTAAGATTTCACCTCTCTTGCATTTGCTGAGGAGCGTTTTTCTTCCAATTTTGTGATCGATTTTAGAGTAAGTGCCATGTGGCACTGAGAAGAATGTATATTCCATTGATTTGGGGTGGAGAGTTCTGTAGATATCCATCATTTCTACCTGATCCAGAGCTGAGTTCATGTCCTGAATACACTTGTTAATTTTCTGTCTCGATGATATGTCTAATATTGACAGTGTGGTGTTGAAGTCACCCACCATTATTGTGTGGGAGTCTAAGTCTTTTTGTAGGTCTCTAAGAACTTGTTTTATGAACCTGGGTGCTCCTGTATTGGGTGCATATATATTTAAGATTGTTAGCTCTTCCTAATGAATTGATCCCTTTACTATTATGTAATGCCCTTCTTTGTCTTTTTTAATCTTTGTAGGTTTAAAGTCTGTTTTGTCAGAAACTAGGATTTCAACCCTTGCTTTTTTTCTGCTTTCCATTTGTTTGGTGTAAATTTTCCTTCATCTCTTTATTTTGAGCCAATGTGTGTCTTTGCACATGAGATAGGTCTCTTGAATACAGCACACTGTTGGGTCCTGACTCCTTATCCAATCCAATTTGCCAGTCTGTGTCTTTTAAATGGGGCATTTAGCCCATTTACATTTAGGGTTAATATTGTTATGTGTGAATTTGATCCTCTCATCATGATGCTAGCTCAGCAATCTCTTGGTCTGAAGGAGCATATGGCATACTTTGCTACTTTATATAATTTCTAGAATTAACATTCCAAGTCCTATGAAAAACTCTCTGTGTTTTATATTTTGACACTGGCATACCTGCCAACATTATTATATGATGTTTTCTTGATAAATTACATAATTGTTTTTAGACTTTGAAACTACCAGTCAGTGATTTAAAAACTATCTTAAGGCTGGGTGTGGTGGCTTACGCCTGTAATCCCAGCACTTTGGGAGGCCGACGTGGGAGGATCACAAGGTCAGGAGTTCCAGACAAGCCTGACCAACATGATGAAGCCCCGTCTCTACTAAAAATACAAAAATTGGCTGGGTGTGGTGGTGTGTGCCTGTAATCCCAGCTACTTGGGAGGCTGAGGCAGGAGAATTACTTGAACTCAGGAGGCAGAGGTTGCAGTGAGCCAAGATCATGCCACTGCACTCCAGCCTAGGTGACAGAGTGAGACTCTGTCTCAAAAACAAAAACCAAAAAACAAACAAAAACCGTCTTAACAAGTGACCAGAGTTAACATCAAGATACTACATCATATCAACATCATGACTCCCTGATATGATGTACTCCCTCTGATATTTCAGTTTCCAGAATTGCCCCATTCCAAATCATTTTCCACCTGCAGCCAGAATAAGCTTTTGAAAATGCAAAAGTGACCATGTTCTTTACTTAAAACTTAAAAACAATGGTTTTCTATGGCCCTTAGAAATCAGTCCAAAATGTCAGTATGTCCCTCCAGGTCCTTCACGATTTGAACTTTGCTTATTCCTCTGGTCTTCCATCTCCTTCACCCTCTTTGCCAGTTTGCCTGGGCCACACTTGGAGATCCTCACTAGTGCCATGCCCTCCCACCCCAGTTTAGAGCTGTGTCACACCTTGTGTCCCAAAGTTTCCCTCTAGAGTAGTTACAAAACTATTGGTCTTTATAGCATCTCCTGTCTTTCCTCCCTTTTCTTCTCTGCTCCCCCACACTGATACACTTCTTGCACTACAATGGAATGACCCAACCTTAACTACCATCATGAATTTTAAGGATCTCTATCCAGTTTGGAAGCTGAGATGGCAACCGACAAAATATTGACAAAAAATAGCTGAAACAATATTTATTTTTTTTCTACAAAATAAGCAGCTGGTATTGGTTGATCCAGAGTTAATTCCATGGCTCAATGATGTCAGGGTAAGCTTCTTTCTTTCACTATTTGCCTCATGGTCACAAGATGGCCATAGCAGCTGCAAGCAACCTAGAGAGGAAAAAGGTCTTCTCTTCTTTATTATTCTCTTTTTATCAGGCACGGAAATGTGTCTCAGAAATCATCTGGGAGACTCACTTTCACGTGCCATTGGCCAGAGCTGCCCCAATAATTTGGATCTGGCATATCTGACAGCTATGAACACAGGCTTCCTCTGCTAGCAAGGAGGAAAGGCGAGGGGGATCATGGTAGGAAAATGTCTGACAGAGGATTTCCCTGTTTATAGTGAAGATTTCTGTGTGAACTTGTGAAGGAAAGTATTCTGAAAATAAGGGGTTAATATCCGAAATCTATTTGATAATATCATGAGCTACGCAATATGGCAGCCATTAACCATCTACAACTTTTTAAAATTAAAATTAGATTAATTAAAATAAGATTAAATAAAAAATATAGTGTCTTTTTTTGTAAGTCGTATTCCAAGTGTTCAACAATCACTTGTGGGTACCTTATTGAATAGCACATATAAAACAAATTTCATCCTTGCAGAAAGTTTTATTAAATAACTGGTTTGGAGCTTACTTAGAAAAGCTTTTGAGGGTTGATCTAGACCAAGCCTGTGAGAGGGTCCTGTATATTGATAGTTCTTAACAAACATTTAGTAAGTTGAGAAAAGTTAGAAAAATTGCATAAAGTAAATTTATTGCATCTAGGTTTACTACTTTTTGCTTTAATTGGTTATAAGTAATTTTATTCTAGTAGATTTCCTTTTAAAAGTAACTATAAAATCAATCATATGACACATTTTATCTTTTTTCTACTTTTTAATTAATAGACACATTTTTTTGAAAAGGCCACACTCTCAAAAAGTTGAAGTATAAAATTAAATTGTCAAACAAATAGTTATGACTTGCATTGCAAGCAGAATTATTGTAAATATATATTAAGCCAGTTAATTACTCAGACCATTTAATGAGTTCCATTAATGTGAGCAAATTCAATCCATTAATTATATTTCCAATGGTTATCCCTGTTAAAGGATGAAAAATAAAAGAAAGTAAAACTCAGTTGTAGTGTAGCAGTAACTCAACAGTTCACACAAGGACTTTAGGCTCCAGCAAAGCTAACATACATGCAGTGTCCTGAAGACATCATACTATATCACCCTTTCAGTCCTATATCAAAGGATATTTACTTTGCATACTTCGTGTTTTTATTATTTACTTGAATATTTTACTTTGAAAAACTATTTTGTTTTTATTTATTTTTATTTTTATTTTTTAAATTATGCTTTAAGTTTTAGGGTACATGTGCACAATGTGCAGGTTTGTTACATATGTATACATGTGCCATGTTGGTGTGCTGCACCCATTAACTCGTCATTTAATATTTGGTATATCTCCTAATGCTATCCCTCCCCCTTCCCCCCACACCACAACAGGCCCCGGTGTGTGATGTTCCCCTTCCTGTGTCCATGTGTTCTCATTGTTCAATTCCCACCTATGAGTGAGAACATGCAGTGTTTGTTTTTTTGTCCTTGCGATAGTTTGTTGAGAATGATGGTTTCCAGCTTCATCCATGTCCCTACAAAGGACATGAACTCATCATTTTTTATGGCTGCATAGTATTCCATGGTGTATATGTGCCACATTTTCTTAATCCATTCTATCATTGTTGGACTTTTGGGTTGGTTCCAAGTCTTTGCTATTGTGAATAGTGCCACAGTAAACATACATGTGCATGTGTCTTTATAGCAGCATGATTTCTAATCCTTTGGGTATATACCCAGTAATGGGATGGCTGGGCCAAATGGTATTTCTAGTTCTAGATCCCTAAGGAGAAAACCCCATCGTCTCAGCCCAAAATCTCCTTAAGCTGATAGGCAACTTCAGCAAAGTCTCAGGATACAAAATCAATGTTTTTAATCATTTTAGATTCACAGGAAGTTTCACAAATAGCATAGAAATGTCCTAATGTACCCTTCACTCAGATTCTCCCAATGGTTGCACCTTATGCAATACTATCAAATATGTGTTGGCATATTTCCCAAACCAGGAAATTTACATTGACACAATATGTGTGTTTAGTTCATTTATGCAATACTATCAAATACTGATGGTACAGTACCAAATCCAGGAAATTGACATTGGTGCAATATGTGTGTTTTGTTCAGCATCATTTTATTACATGTAGAAGATTCACGTAATTACTACAATCAAGTTACAAAACCGTCCTATCATCACAAGACTCCACTGTGTTATCCATTTGTAGCCCCAACCACACCCTATGTCTCCACACCCTTCCCCTAACCCCATTATTCCTAACTCTGGCAACTGCTAATCTGTGTTCCAGCTCTACAATTTTATCATCTTGAGAATGTAATGGAAGTGGAATCAGAATATACTATCTTTGATACTGACTTTTTTTTACTCATGTATTGTCCCTGAGATCCACTGAAGTTGCTGCAAGTCTCAATAGTTTGTTTCTTTTTATTGCTGAAGTGTATGGCATGAATGTAACACAGTTTAACCATTCATTGATTTATAGAATATTTTTATTGTTTTTAATTTTTGACTATCACAAATAAAGCTGCTATAAAACTTTTTGTGGGGACATAAGTTTTCATTTCTCTAGGATAAATGCCAAGGAGTGTGACTGCTGGGTTGTATGGTAAGTGTATGTTTAGTTTTTTGAGAGGCTGTCAGACTGTTTCCCAGTGTCACTGTACCATTTTACATTCCCAACAGCAAAATCTGAGAGATCCCATTTCTCCACATCCTTACCAGCATTTGATATTTTCATTATTTTAATTTTAGCACTTCTAATAGGTGCATAGGATATCTCATTATGGTCTTTGCTATGGTTTGAATGTGTCCCCTCCAAAACTCATGTTGAAATTTTAAACCCATTGTGGTAGTCTTAAGAGATGGGGGCCTTTTGGAGGAAAAAATAAGTAATAAGTAATGGATTACTGATAGATTAGTGTTTTTTTGTTACGTATTAGTAATCTATTACTTATAAGATATTTTATTATAGTAATCTATATTACTTAGTGTTTTTTATTATAGTAATATTAGTAATAGATTGCTAATCTATTACTGATAGATTAGTGTTTTTTATTAGTGCTTTATAAAAGGACTGGAGAATGCTAGCTAGTCCCTTTGCCCTCTTGCCTCCTACCCCGTGAGGATGCAGCATTCATGGCATCATCTGGAAGCACAGAGCTACCCTCACGAGACACCAGACCTGCTGGTACCTTGATCTTGGACTCTTCAGTCTCCAAAATTGCAAGCAATAAATTTCTGTTATTTACAAATTACCCAGTTTGTGATTTTTTAAATATCAGCACCAATGGTCCAAGACAGTCTTCATTTGCATTTTCCTAGTGGCCAGATATTGAACATTTCTATGTGCTTGGTGAAATGTCTCTTTAGATCTTTTGCACATTCTAATTTCTGTTGAATTTCTAGACTTCTTTACATATTATATATATAAGCCCTTTGTCAGATATGGGGCTTGCAGATATTTTGCCTTGTATTTTCATTTTATTAACAAAGTTTCTTACAGAGCAAAAATATAATTTTGATGAATATTAATTCACAATTTTTTTCAATAATTCATGCTTTTTGTACTAGGTTTAAGAACTCTTCAGCAAGCCCTAGGTCCTGAAGATATCTCCTGTGTTATCATATAGAAGTTTTATAATTTAGTGTTTTACGTTTAAATCTATGATCCATTTTGAGTTAATTTTTGTAAAAGGTATAAGATTTATGCTGAGGTTCATTTTTGTGCCTGTGAATATGCAGTTTCTTTGGCGTGATTGTTGAAATGACTATTCTTCCTCTGTTGAGTTGTGTTTGCACATTTGTCAAAAAATCAGATCAGTTGGCACTCTTGTATTGGGTTGTTTCTGAATTCTCTATTATGTACCATTAATCTATGTGTCTGTTCCCTCTGCCAATATCACACAATCTTGATTACTATGTCTTGTAGTTGTCTTGAAGTTGAGAAAAATAATTTCTTCCACTTTCTTCTTTATTTTTTCAAAATTGATTTAGCTATTGATCTAGCTTCTAGTTTCTTTGCCCTTCTGTATAAATTTTAGAACAATTTTATCTATGTCTACGGAAAGTCTTGCTGAGCTTCTGATAGGAATTGCATTATACATGTATATAAATTTAGGGAGAGTTGACATCCTTACTATATTAAATTTCTAGTCCACAAATATGACATGTCTTTTGATTTATTTAGATCTTCTTTGATTGACTCCATTAGTGATTTTTAGTTTTCACCGTGCAAGTCTATATCTTTGGTTAGACATGCACCTAAGTATTTTGGGGGCAGTAATAAATGATATTATATTTTAAATTTGTTTCCCCATGTTATTGCTAATATATATAAGTACAATTGATTTTTATATGTTGATCTCTTACCCTGAGATCTTGCTTCACTCACTTATTCTAAAGTTTTTGTAGATTTCTTGGGTTTCTCTGTATAGACCATTATCTCATCTGCAAATTGGGGCAGTTCTACTTCCTCTTCTTTTTGTCTGCATGCCTTTTATTTTGTTTTCTTGCTTTATTTTTAGTACTATAGTGGACGGGAGTGGTGAGAGTGGACATCCTTGCTTTATCTCTTTTTCGTTTCTGGATAATGCTGAGTTCTTAGAATAAGCTAGGAAATGTTTCCTTCTCTTCTTTTTTCTGGAAGACATTGTGTAGAATTAGTGTTAATTCTTAAATATTTGGTAGAATCCTCCCATGAAGGCATCTGAGCCTGGAAATTTTTTGGGGGGCATTTTTAAGTTATAAATCCAATTTTCTTAATCATTATAGGGTTATTCAAACTATTTTATGTTGGGAAAGTTGTGATACTTTGTTCTTCTCAAATAATTGATCTGCTGCTTCTAAGACATAACATTTATGTTTGTAGAGTTGTTCCTAGTACTCTTATATTATCCTTTTCTTATCTGCAGTAACAATATTCCCGTTTCATTTCTGCTATTGGTAATGTGTGTTTTCTTTTTTTTTTTTTTTTTTGTCAAAAACACCTTACTAGATGTTTGCCAATTTTAAAGATTTTCCCAAAGGATCAAGTTTTTGTTTCATTGATTTTCTTTCTTTTTTTATGTTCTAAATAACATTGATTTCTGCTCTTGTCTTAATTTTTGCTCTCTTCTGCTTGCTTTGGGTTTATTTTGCTTGTCTTTTTCTGGGTTCTAAAGATGGAAACTTCAACTACAGATTTGTGATTTTTCCTTTTTTCTAATATGTGCTACTAGTGCTATAGATTTTCCTCTCAAAACTGCCCTAGACAGCATGTTTCATTTCATTGGCACTTGAAAAGAATGCATATTCTGGTGTTGGATGGTATGTTCTACAAATGTCAATTAGATCCTGTCTGATAATTTTGCTGAGCTCTTCTGCTGATTTTCTGTCTAGTTGTTTTATCAACTGTTGAGAGAGAAGTATTGAGGTCTCTGTTATTGTGGTTTTTACATTCTCCTTTTAGTTATTTCAATTTTTGCTTCACATGGGTGCATACAGATTTAGATTTGCTATACCTTCTTGGTAGATTGCTATTTTTTGAAATCATGTAATGCTTCTTTTTGTTCCTGGTAATTTTTTTTTTTTTGGCTTGGATGTCAACTTTATCTGACAACAATGTAGCTATTCATAGTTTCCTTTGATTAAAGGTTGCATGGTATACCATTTTCCATCCTTTTACTTTCAACCTACCTAAAACCTTACATTTGAAGTGAGTTTCTTACAGACAGAATATAATGGAGTTGTGTTTTTTGTTTGTTTTGCTCTTATCTATTTTCCCAATCTCTGTTTTCTAATTGGTGTATTTGTATCACTTGCATTTAATGTAATGTAACTTACAGATATGTAAGGGCTTAAGTCTGATGAGTGTTTTTGTTGTTGTTTTGTGCTTGTTCATTTTTTATTTCTGTTTTCTTCTTCATTTCTGTGAACTTAGAATTCTCTTTTGCATTATCTGTACAATTTTTAGAAGGACTACTTATCACAAACTACTGGTGTCAGCATTTTACCAGTTTGAATTTACAAACTCTTACCTCCCTTCACATTTCTTTAATATCCCCCATTTATAATTGTTTTGTATATATTATGTACATACAGGGTGCTTCATTGTTCATTGGGTGGCTAGGTTGTGTGAACAAAGTTAAAAGGCTGATTAGTGCCACCAAGGAAGGAGACCAATGCATGATTTGAGGTAGCTGAGAACAGGCAATAGACACATCAGGCTCAAGTTGCATGTTGTTTACTTGCAGAATAAGGAAAGAGCATGAGCACAAGATATAGCCCCTTGCAATGCATTGGCCCCCATGTGGCCAGCAGATCCACTGCACATACGATGTTGGCAGTGTGGCTACACACGCTCTAGTTTGTCCTGCAGTAGAAGCACCTTCTCCTTCTCCCATGGGGACCTGAAATATAGAAAGCCAGGGACATGCTTGAGGACACTGACACATACACATGCTTAGGCATAACAAAGGAGTAACTACATCAAGGCCAGAACAGGGAAGATACTCTCTCACAAGGCGATAAACCCAGCATTAGTTATGAGGGCTCTTTACCTCTTTGTAAGGAATGTTCCAGGCCTAAGTCTACTCTCAGGTAGCCATTCAAGGGCTGAGGAGCTGTGCATGACTGCCTTTCCCAACACATTGAGAACCACGTCAAACAGTGTTATAATTTTTGCTTTATCTCTCAAACATAGTTTAGAAAACTCAAGAGGAAAAATATTCATCAATATTTTTACTTTTTATTTTTCTTTCTTCCTTCTGCATATTCCAAGATTCCTTTTTTTTTTTTTTTTTTTTTTTGTGAGATGGAGTCTCTGTTGCCCAGGCTGGAGTGCAATGGTGCCATCTCGGCTCACTGCAAGCTCCGCCTCTTGGGTTCATGCCATTCTCCTGCCTCAGCCTCCCGAGTAGCTGGGATCACAGGTGCCCGCCACTACGCCTGGCTAATTTTTTGTATTTTTAGTAGAGATGGGCTTTCACCATAGCCAGGATGGTCTCAATCTCCAGACCTTCTGATCCGGCTGCCTCGGCCTCCCAAAGTGCTGGGATTACAGGCGTGAGCCACCACACTCAGCCCCAAGATTCCTTCTTTTATCTCTCCTCTTCTGTTTAGAGAACTTCTTTTAGCCCTTATTTTAAAGTAAGTCTTCTGGGGAGAAATTCTCCTACTTTTCATTCATCTGAGAATATCTTAACTTCTCCTTCATTTCCGGAATGCATTGTTCCTGGATATAGAATTCTGAGTTGACAGTTGGCTTATTTCTTGAAAAATACGTGCCTCTTCTTTCTGGCCTCCAGGGCTTCTAATGGGAAATCTGCTATAATCTAACTGGTTTTCCCCTTTAGGTTAGGGATCATTTTTCTCTCATCACCGCTTTTAAGACATTTGCCTTCAGTTTTCAAACATTTGACTGTGATATATCTTGTGTGGGTTTCTCTCAGTTCATCCTGTTCAGAATTTTTCTAGGCTTTTTGAATCTGTAGAATTTTGGCATTTTCTAAGTGTATTAGTCTGTTCTCATGCTGCCAATAAAGACAAACCCCAGACTGGATAACTTACAAAGGAAAGAGGTTTAGTTGACTCAGTTAGTTCCACATGGTTGGGGAGGCCTCACAACCACAGCAGAAGGCGAATGAGGAGCAAGGTCACATCTTATGTAGTGGCAGGCAAGAGAGATTGTGGAGGGGAACTCCCATTTATAAAACCATCAGATCTCATGAGACTTATTCACTACCACAATAACAGTATGGGGGAAACCACCCCCATGATTCAATTATCTCCACCTGGCCCCACCCTTGACATGTGGGGATTATTACAGTTCACGGTGAGGTTTGGCTGGGGACACAGCCAAACCATATCGCCAAATATAAGAAATTTTCAGTAATTATTTCTTCAAAGGCTTTTTCATCCCATCTTATATATTCTTTTTTTCTGGGACATCAATGACGTGCATGCAAGACCTTTTATTATCATCCCAGAAGTCCCTGAGACTCTGCTCATTTGTTTTCAGTCTATTTTCTCAGTATTGTTTGGATTAGGTAATTTCTATTGTTTTATCTTAAGATGTCCTAATTATTTACTTTGTTTTTGTCCATTCTGATTTTGAGTCCATTTATTTAATTCTAATTTTGGTTATTGTATTTTTAATTTCCAAAACTTCTTTTAGTCTTTGTATTTTCTATTTCTTTGCTGCGATTGTTTGTGTATGTTTCTATTTTTATTTAGTTTGTGGCATGTATTTGTAATTCCTCATTGAAGCAATTTTATAATGGCTGCTTTAGATTCCTTGTCATATAATCCTAACCTCTGTGTCATTTCTGTTGTGTACCTGTTAATTGTCTGTTCTGATCCAAGTTGAGATTTTTCCAGGTTTTGATACAAGTGATTTTCAATTGAACCCTGGGTATTTTGAATATTGAATATTATGAGACTCTACTTTTTTAAAAAAATCTACTCTTTTAATAGGTTTCCTTTGACATTTCAATGGCAGGGGAAGTGGGTACCACTCTTTTACTGCCAGATGTGGGAGGAAGTCCGGGTTTCCTACTTGGTCTTCATTGACACTCCCTGGATGAGTAGGACACCTTGTTATTGCCTGGGAGGGCTAGGATTTCAAGATCCCCACTATGTGTTTGTTGATATCAACTTGGCTGGATGGGATAGGGGTTTCTCATTGCTGCTTCTCACATGATCTCCACTCACACATGACATAGTGGCCTCATCACCACTAGTTGGTGGTGAAAGTCTTGACTATCCAGTAGACTTCTGATGCTACTCTGGCAGTGTTCTGGTTGGTTTAGTGGGTTCCTGCAAGTGGCAATTCAGGAACCCTGGCCTTTTCTATCCTGCCATTCCTCCATTCCTCAGTATCTTGCAGTTCTTGGTTCCAGATAGCAGATGGGGAGAAAGTAGAGAAGGCACACCTCTGTCCTTGAAACACCAGTCCACAAGTGATGTACACTAATTTCTCTCACACTCCTTTGGTGAGAACTGGTCATGTAATTGCACCTGGATAAAAAGTAAGTTGAGAAATACAGACCTTTGCTAGAGAGATGCTTCCCAGTAACTACTCTACACCATGAGAACAGCATTATTTAATGTGGCCTATTAGCTTTCTGTATTTTTCGTTCATTGCTCTTTCCATGATTTATAGTTATGTATTTGTATGATTATTTGATAAATATGTTTTCCTGACAAAATGGTAAACCCCATGTAGAACACACTGTGTTTGTTTTGCTCATATGTGACCCCACTGCTTCTTATTCCTCAGAAGGTGATCATAGGTTTAATAGCATACAGGTTTGCAGATTGTGTTTGCCAGAAGTTCATTCATTCAACACATTTAGAGTTTCTACTATGTGCCAGGCACTGCCCTAGTTACTGGGGAAGCAGCAGTGAATAATGTGAGCAAAACTCGCTGCTCCCTATAGCTTACATTCTAATGCGGGAGACTAGGTTGGGAACAAATAAGTAAGTAAACTAGATAGAGGTTTGATGATTATGAATATCAAGGAGAAAAAGAAAGCAAGAAAGGAGATAAGGGTCTGAGGGTTGCAGTTTTTAGAAGAATGATGGGGTGGAGCGGGCCTCAAGGAAGGTGTTATATCTGAAAAGCCAGGAGGGAGGTGAGGGAGCCAGCCATGCAGATGACTGGGAGAGGGGGCTATTTTTAGAAGGAACAGAAACTGCAAAAGTCTCGAAGCTGGAGAGTGCTGAGCATGTGTGAAAGAAAAGAAGGAGGTCTGTGTGGCTGGATTAGTGTGGGCCAGGGACAGAGAATAAGCAACAGGATCAGGAGGGGCAAGTGGTGGGGCCTTGTAGGCTACTGGGGCTTTTACTCTGAATGTGATGGGTGTCAAGAACTGCACAGAGCCTGGATCTTTACCTTCCTTGTAAGCTAAGAAGTATGCCTGTTACTTCATGGATGCAAACAGAAGACATGAGACTCCTGGGCCAGAGACAGATGGCACAACAGTAGCCAGAGTTCATAATGGTTTGTGTACAGCTATCCATTCCCTGCTAAGTTGCACAGAGGCAGCACAAGGCCCCATCATGGGTGTCTGCACACACAATGGATTGTGTTACAGAAGAAGAACTCAGAGCCAAGAGCCAAGCACTTTCTGGGTGAGCAGCAAACTTTATATGAAACAGCCAACAAGCCAGTCTCCCTTCCTCCAGGAAACTTAATGGCCTACAGGGCCAGCTAGAGAAATTGCTCACTCTCAGAGGACAGAGTAGGATTGCAGTTTGGCACACTAAGCAGGAACAGGCAGGGATAATTAGGAACCCATGTGGACGGCCTCTTCCAAAGTGGGGTGCTTTCAGGGATTTTGAGCAGAAGAGTATCATGATTAGACTTATATTTTAACAGGCTTACTCTGACTGCTATATTGAGAATACAAGAAAGAAGTTCAAAGGCAAAAACAGGAAGTAAATTTAGGAGGCTGTTAAAATAACCCAGGTGAGAGATATAATGATAGCCTGGATTAGATGGTAGCTGTGGAGATGGTGAGAAGGACAAGCGTGGACCTACCTGGAGGAGGAGCTGGCAGGATGTGTTGATGGATTCAACACGGGTGCAGGAGAAACAGAGGAGTCAAAGTCGACTCCATAGCTTTTAGACCAGGGAAATGAAATAATAAGGTTACTGGATTAGTCAGTTCTCAAACTGCCATGAAGAAATACCTGAGACTGGATAATTTATAAAGAAAAGAGGTTTAATTGACTCACAGTTCCATATGGCTCAGGAAACTTACAATCATGGCAGAAGGCACCTCTTCACAGGGCAGCAGGAGAGAGAATGAATGCAAGGGAAATCCCAAATGCTTATAAAACCATCAGATCTCATGAGAGCTCACTCACTATCATGAGGACAGCATGGGGGTGCTGGGCGTGGTCGCTCACACCTGTAATCCCAGCACTTTGGGAGGCTGAGGCAGGTGGATCATTTGAGGTCAGGAGTTTGAGACCAGCCTGGCCAACATGGTGAAATCCTGTCTCTACTGAAAAATAAAAAATACAAAACTTAGCCAGGCATGGTGGTATGCACCTGTAATCCCAGCTCCTTGGGAGGCTGAGGCAGGAGAATCACTCAACTGGGGAGGCAGAGGTTTCAGTGAGCTGAGATCATGCCACTCTACTGCACACCAGCCTGTGCAGCAGAGTGAGACTCCATCTCAAAAAAAAAAAAGAAAAAAACAAGAAAGAACAGCATGGGGGAAACCACCTCCATGATTCCATTACCTCCCACTGGCTCCCTCTCATTACACATGGGGATTACGGGGTTACAATTCAAGATGAGATGTGGGTGAGGCCACAGCCAAACAGTATCAGTTACCATTTAGGACAGTGAGGAAATCTCTAGGACTAGTTTTGGTAAAGCAAAAGTGATCAGGAGCTCACTCTTAGGCATGTTAAGATTAGATGCTTCCGTGTAGAAATGTTGATAAGGAAGTTCAGCAGATAGATCCAGTCCAGAGATACAAATTTGAATGTCTGAGTATATAGATGATGCCTTAAGTCTGGTTCCTTAGAAGCAGAGCCCAAGACAGGGGTTCTTGTGTAAATGGTTTACTCAGGGATTGGGTGAATGATTTATTACAGCCCCTAGATGAGATCTGTAAGAAAGCAAGGGAAGTAGGATAGGATGGGGGAAGAAGCTAGGCAAAGATGTCAGTTTGGCCAGGCACCGTGGCTCATGCCTGTAATCCCAGCACTTTGGGAGGTCGAGGCGGGTGGATCACCTGAGGTCGGGAGTTCGAGACCAACCCGGCCAACGTGGTGAAACCCTGTCTCTACTAAAAATACAAAAATTAGCTGGGCATGGTGATGTGTGCCTATAATCCCAGCTACTTGGGAGGCTGAGGCGGGAGAATCGCTTGAACCAGGGAGTCAGAGGTTGCAGTGAGCCGAGATCGCGCCATTGTATTCAAGCCTGGGTGACAAGAGCGAAACTCTGTCTCAACAACAACGAAACTCTGTCTCAACAACAACAAAAAGATGTGGGTTCAGCTGACATCTGGCCTCAGCCTGATCCCGCTGGGGAGCTCTGGGAGTAAATGGTACCAGAGTGTGCCACTGTGAGGCACTGGAATGACCATTTGTACCCCTTTACCCCCACCTCCCCATATCAGCCAGGAAGTGACCTGGGTAGGATGACAGCAGCTCTTACTATGGACTGTGTTCAAAGCCATGATTACCAACGAGCTCCTCCATGGCAGGGGTGTAGACAGAAAAAGGGAAACTGGGCCAAGAATAGGCCCCAGAGCACTTTTCCTATTGTCGTTAAGGAAGGTGAGGAGAAACCAGAAAAAGAACTTAAGTTAAATTGAATATAAAACATCATAATAAAAAGAAAAATTGTTGACTATCAGTTATGACACAATGCATTAACAATATTCCTTCCTAATCCATGAATTGATCCTCAACAAACCTCTTGTCCCTTCGAAGTCTCCTTTGTCCACTGGAGGGATTTGGTTACTTCTTCCGGCTTCAGTGCACTGCTGAATGTGTGCTCAGCTTTTCTCCTTCACGGGTCACAGTCACATGATGTAACCCAGCTTCATCCATTCCAGGCAATTGTTCTTCTCAGAGCCTATAGAGAATTTGGATGTTGCTTTCCAAACTAACTGGAAATGTGCACATTTCCTTATGGTGAATGTTTGCTTCACTAACATTAAATCTTCACTCAGCTCCTCGTTGTCATGCTGTCCTGTATACCCAATATCTTTTTGTTTTTTTTTTGTTTGTTTTTTTTTGTTTGTTTTAAAACCAAATCAGAATGTAACTTTTTAAAGACATTTGAAATGTATTTAAATCCAACAAGTATAGTATCAACATGCATATACTTTCCATTCGTGCCACAACAATACGAGCAAATCCACAACCTTACAAATGCCCAGAGAAACCCACTGCAGAAGGGGCAGGTGGAGGGCTGAGCCTAAAACAAGCAGACCACTCAAAGGTCTCTAATAGAGAATAGTCTGTTGCCCACCCAGGTCCCTGCACCACCACCTCAAGATGAATGTCTAACCATCAGCAATGCAGCTTCCAAGCCAAATAGAGGAAAAATGAAAGCGCCACATGAATTTTTTCTAAATAAATTAAAATTACTTTTTGGGGAAAACTAGTATAGTTTCTAGTGAGGAACTAGCACTCAAGTTAAATTGAATTAAATTAAATTAAATTTCTGCATCCTGGGCTTCGTGCCCCAGCCTGCTCACCCAAGGAATGCCTACTGGTCAGGAAGCCTTGTGCTCCTCCCCCAGGACTCCCACTAGCCTTCATATTGGATATTCTTTTTTTTTTAGTTTCATTTCATTTTTGGTTGACAAATAATAATTGTATATTCTCATAGGGTACAAAGTGATATTTTAATACATTTATACACTGTACAATGATCAAATTAAAGTAGTTAACATGTCTATCACATCAAATACTTATTATTTCTTTGTAGTGGAAATATTTTAAATCCACTCTTTTAGCAATTTTGAAATATAAAATGCATTATTATTAGCTATAGTCAACTTGCTATGCAATAGAACACCAGAACTTTTTCTTTCTCTCTAACTAATTTAGTGCCCATTGGCCAACATCCTTCCTTTCCCCATCACCACTCCCCGCCCCAGCCTCCAGTACTCTAGTAACCACCATTCTACCCTCTACTTCTGTGAATTTGACTTCTTAAAATATTTTGTATACAAGGAAAATCACAGGGTATCTTCTGTGTGCTTGGCTTATTTCACCTAACATAATGGCCTCTAGGTTCATTGGTGTTGTTATGAATGACAGGTTTTCATTCTTTTTCTGACTGAATAGTATTCCATTGTGTATGTATACCACATTTTTAATCTGTTCATTGGTTGATGGATACTTAGGTTGTTTCCATAACTTGGCTGTTGTGCGTAATGCTGCAATAAACATAAGAGTGCAGATATTCCTGACATAGTGATTAAACCTCCTTTGTGTGCATGACTAGCAGTGAAATTGCTGGATCATACAGTAGTTCTGTTCATAGATTTTTGAGGAAAGTTCATCCTATTTTCCAAAATGGCTGTACAAATTTACAATACCACCAACAGTGTATAAGGGTTCCCTTTTCTTTACATCCTTACCAACATTTGTTATCTTGGATCTTTCTGATAATAGTCAATCTAATGGGTGTGAGTTGATGCTTCATTATGGTTTTAATTTGCATTTCTCTGATGATTAGAGATGTCAAGCGTTTTTTCATATATATGTTGGCCATTTTTATGTCTTCTTTTGAAAAATGTCTATTCAAGTCCTTTGACCATTTTTAAATAGAGTTATTTGATTTCCTATTATTGAATAGTTTGAACTTCTTGTATGTTTTGGATATTAAATCTTTGATGCATAATTTGTAAATATTTTTTCCCATTTCATAGTTTGTCTCTTCACTCTATTAATTGTTTCCTTTGCTGTGCAGAAGCTTTTCAGTTTGATGCAATCCTATTTTTGGTCTGCAAAATGAAAGAGAAAAATGGAGAACCAACAAGACTTAAAGAAACTATTACTGAGTAATATAAAAGACATTGTATCCATTCAGTAAGAACTGGATGCTATGGAACGAAGGCACGGGAAAGGGTTCTTGGAACTTAAAAACACAATGGGCTAAGTAACAAAATTCAGTAGGAGACCGCAAGGAAAATTAAAGAAATCTCCCAGATCAAAAATAAGGAGGTACAAAATTTGAGAGGACAGAGAAGACATAGAGACTACAGTCAAGACTGGAGATCAAACATCTAATAGGATTTCTAAAAAGTAACAACAAACAGGAGGGAAACAATTTTTTTTCCTCCAAAGAAATAATATAAAAATTTCTATACAGTTGAAGGTAACCCTATTTCTTAAATGGAAAAAAACTTACTGAGTACCAAATCCAACAAAGGCAAAAAGCTGTTGACATAGACACATCATTGTGGAACTTCAAAATATTAAGATAAAGGCTTTTAGAGAAAAACAAGTCAACTGAGAATCACATTGGCATGAGATTTTTCATCAAGACATCACATGCTAAAAATAGAAGACACTTCTTTTTTATTTCCAAATTTTCCTGGTGTTGTCCATTGTTTTTACTGTTGCTTCTGAACTCTTAGGAAGAAAAATAATGTATTTACAAATTCTAGGGCTGTTTTGTTTTTATTAGGTAAGTGATTATGAGTAGGTGTGGATTGTAGGTCTTCTCGTCAGAAATAAACTTCTTTGTAGAGACAACATTCTTTAAGACATGCTTGACTTGGTTTCTTCTGTTATCACAGGGGTTCATCCTGGCTGGGGTTCAGAATGCTTGGTGGCTGGACAGGGCAGAGGTGCAGATCCACTCCCCATCTCCAAGATATGGAGCCCAGTGGTCTGAAGAGAGCACCCAAGGGAAAAGATCAAACTCCAGCCTAGAACTGCCAAACCAAAATGGGGCTTCACAGAAGCAAAACTTAGCTTCAAAAGTGAAGTTCCTAGAACCGGGTTCAGTGGGAAGATAAGTTGATTCTAGGGGGAAAACAGGAAGCAGAACTAGATAAATTCTCTAAGGGGAGATATTCAGACAGGTTTCCTTTGATAAGACCCTGTACATTCAAAGGAGAATGGAAGGCCACTTAAAAGATATTGGATTGGTTCTAAATATCCACCCACAACACAAATGGAAACATTTTATGAGAACAGCAAAAACAATTAACTGAGACTGCTGGAGAGTAAAGCCCAAATGCAGTGAACTATATAATCCAACTATAATTATATGCAGTAAACATAAATGATTGACAGCGAGATTCTCATAGCAATTTCTAAGTCTTTCATACTAAAGACCTAGTGAAACCTTTCGCAGACAATAATTGCTCTTCCGCTTTGGTGCAAATTTCTTTTATTATTGTGCAATCCAGTTTTCTTCTGTGTGTTCCAGGCTGTTCAGTCCCAGGATGAGCACATCTTTATATGAGGGTTTATATTAATGTCTTGCCAAAATTATATATATTTGAAATTCACTTGTATGGATCATTTTCACGGGAACTATGAAAGAAGTCTGCTTTTTCCAACTAGCTTTGTAATATCTACTAGTACTGGTCCTGCCATTTAAAAAATGCAACTCAACTTCTAAGCCTCTTTGCTCATTTGTAAAACAATTATAATAGGACCTACTACAACCTTCCTCATAGAGACAGGGATATTATAAAGATTAAATGAGATAAAACATGTAAAATGCTGAGCACAGTATTTAGAACATAACAATCCTAAATGATGTTAGTCATTAGTGCTATCATCATTACTGTCATCATTCTTATTAAATCTGATTATCAAAAATGCTAGTGAAAAGGCACTGTAATATTTCCAATTTTACAAAGGTCCTGATAACTTTAAGAAGTAACTAGGAAAATCTAGCTGTGTGTTCTATATTTAGAACGTTGTCATAGCTCACACAATTATTTCTAATTTGTTTTACTGCTAATTTAGGCAGTTTTCTATGGACTGAAACTACTCATCAATAATTTAAAATCTTTTATGGCACAAAGGAAATTGTTGTTTTAAGTAATATTTGTGAAAAATTTATGTGAGGTTAAAACAATGTACCCATTTTGGAACTGGGATACCTACTGTGTCTTCTGAGTCGAAGTCACCAGGGTGACTGGGAGGCCTTCATGCTGACCCAGTTTTGGTTGTCAGGTTTCAAGTACAATTGAATGCCATTAAAAAGTGTTATTGTATTGACTTACCCTCGACACACCCAAAGGGCCTTCTGGTTCATTCAGGCTAACTAGAAAAGCCAAGAAAAAAAAATTAACTCCATACGATTGTGCCAGTTCAAAGCTGCTCAGGGAAGTGACCCGACAGATGTGATGCCCGAGACAAAAGCTCTTGAATTAACATTTATATGCATTTCAACTTCCATTCCCAGATATCAAGGCAAATTAAAGACACTTAGCAGAATACTTTCAGGGCAATGGGATTGGAGAACTATAGGTCTCAACTACTGAAGGACATCAGAAACTGCTTTGAAAAAAATTGGTTTGCCAATACAGAGTAATTTTCTTTGGTTTGGGGTGACTCATTTATTTGTGTCTTAATTCACAGTGTTTCAACCTGAGCTTCAGAAATTACTGTAACCAAACCCAGGTTCGGGTGCTTGCTACTTGAAAGCCAAATACGAGAGATGAAGTTGGTGGGAGGAAAAGCAAGAAGATGGTGAACTAGCATTCTAAAGTACCACCTTCAAATTTCCAGGCTGGCCGCAGGATTTTTGTGGGAGAAGGATATAGGGAAGAGGAGGGTGTTTGTATCAAGAGGTGACAGAGGTCTGTAGACATCTGGGCTCCAGTGACAGATGGAGGAGATGGGGAACCACTTTGTCCGTGGTCGGGTCACAATGCTCCTACAAATCTTTAACAAGACATAGTAGTTGTTTGCATTCTTTCCTTAATCCCAGACTTAGTTTAAAAACCACATGATTGCTGTTTTCTGCATGTAATCTTAGTGCTCTAAAATTATTCTAACCTATGTGCGGGAATGGGTAAAGCCCTCTTAAACAAAAATGGAGTCAGTCATGTTAGTTGTTTTACTGTTGCACTGTTACATTACTATCTGGGTGACTTTAAGCAAGAACATTTGGGGTCATGACAATTTTTCAACCTTTTTTTTCCTCATTAAACTTTTTAAATGGGTCTCAAAATTCTGTGACAAATTTTTGGTCAAGTTGTTTCCATTAAAAAGGGCTGATTTTAAAAGCTAGTAACTTAAAACTGCCACACGCAAAAAAGAAAACCAAAGTGGTCCACAGAACATTCTCCTTTCCTTCTGAAGGTTTTACGATGCATTGTTATCATTAACCAGTCTTTTACTACTAAACTTAAATGGCCAATTGAAACAGAGTTCTGAGACTGTTCTTCCATCACTGATTAAGAGTGGGGTGGCAGGTATTAGGGATAATATTCATTTAGCCTTCTGAGCTTTCTGGGCAGACTTGGTGACCTTGCCAGCTCCAGCAGTCTTCTTGTCCACTGCTTTGATGACACCCACTGTAACTATCTGTCTCATATCACGAACAGCAAAGCAACCCAAAGATGGATAGTCCGAGAAGCTCTCAACACACATGGGCTTGCCAGGAACCATATCAACAATGGCAGCATCAACAGACTTCAAGAATTTAGGGCCATCTTCCAGCTTTTTACCAGAACGGTGATCAATCTTTTCCTTCAGCTCAGCAAACTTGCATGCAATATGAGCCGTGTGGCAATCCAATACAGGGGCATAGCCAGTGCTTATTTGGCCTGGATGGTTCAGGATAATCACCTGAGCAGTGAAACCAGCTGCTTCCATTGGTGGGTCATTTTTGCTGTCACCAGCAACGTTGCCATGACGAACATCCTTGACAGACACATTCTTGACATTGAAGCCCACATTGTCCCCAGGAAGAGCTTCACTCAAAGCTTCATGGTGCATTTCGACAGATTTTACTTCTGTTGTAACGTTGACTGGAGCAAAGGTGACCACCATACCAGGTTTGAGAACACCAGTCTCCACTCGGCCAACAGGAACACTACCAATACCACCAATTTTGTAGACATCCTGGAGAGGCAGGTGCAAGGGCTTGTCAGTTGGACGAGTTGGTGGTAGGATGCAGTCCAGAGCCTCAAGCAGCATGGTTCCAAGGCATGTTAGCACTTGGCTCCAGCATGTTGTCACCATTCCAACCAGAAATTGGCACAAATGCTACTGTGTCAGGGTTGTAGCCAATTTTCTTAATGTAAGTGCTGACTTCCTTAACAATTTTCCTCATATCTCTTCTGGCTGTAGGGTGGCTCAGTAGAATCCATTTTGTTAACACCAACAATTAGTTGTTTCACACCCAGTGTGTAAGCCAGAAGGGCATGCTCTTGGGTTTGCCCATTCTTGGAGATACCAGCTTCAAATTCACCAACACCAGCAGCAACAATCAGGACAGCACAGTCAGCCTGAGATGTCTCTGTAATCATGTTTTTGATGAAGTCTCTGTGTCCTGGGGCATCAACGATAGTCACATAGTACTTGCTGGTCTCAAATTTCCACAAGGAGGTATCAATGGTGATACCATGTTCACACTCAGCTTTCAGTTTATCCAAGACCCAGGCATACTTGAAGGAGCCCTTTCCCATCTCAGCAGCCTCCTTCTCAAATTTTTCAATGGTTCTTTTGTCGATGCCACCGCCTTTGTAGATCAGATGGCCAGTAGTGGTGGACTTGCCCGAATCTATGTGTCCAATGACGACAATGTTGGTATGAGTCTTTTCCTTTCCCATTTTGGCTTTTGGGGGTAGTTTTCATGACACCTGTGTTCTGGCGGCAAACCCATTGTGAAAAAAAAAGCGAATTTTCAAATATATTTAAAAGTATTACAGCTACCTAATCATAACATCATTATATCAAAAAACCTAGCAATAATTCCTGAATATCATCCTATATTCAGTATTTTCACATTTCCCTAATTGGATATTTAATTTTTTAACGTTTATTAAATTGAGAACTAAATGAAGCCCACCTTTTGATCATCACTCTTAAATTCCTCTACATCATTTTTTTCTGTTGAAGAAACTGGGTGGTAGGGTGTAGGTTTTCTCACAGTCTGGATTTTGTTTATTTTATCCCCATGGAATTTTAAGCACGTTCCTCTGTTCCCTGCTCCTATAGGTTGATAGATAGACATTTGATCAGACTTAGTCTTGATTTTGTTCTTTTTCTTGACCATGCTACTTTGCAATGGTGTCCTTCCATCGAGAGGCAGGTAATACCTAATTGTCTCTTTTTTTGGTGATGCTTATCAACCATTGAAATTATTTGCCTAGATCCTTTAATTCATTAGTAGTTAGTATTGCAAATGGATAGTCTATCTCACCTCAGTTATTTACTCATGAGATAATTCCAGAAAGATACTTTTCTTTCATTAACTATTTGGATACTCAGATAAACAGATTTTATAGGGAAGGCCTGATAATTGCTCCATTTCTTCTCCCTAATTTTTAAAAAATCAGTCCTAAAAAAATTAATTGGTTCTCTGCATGTATCCAAGGTTGATTAATGAGCTGAATTTTTCTTTTTTTAGTATGATTATAAACTCTCCTGTATTAAATCATATGTAATGTCTTTCAATCCATTGCAAGTATTACCTTTTTTAATATTCAAATTGCTTCATTTTCGGCCAGTGGGAGCCTATTCAAGTTAGTTCCTCAGTCTTTTTGATAAGGCACTAGTAGTCTTGACAGGTTCCTTGCTTTCGGGCATGAAGAAATCTTCCAGGCTTTTCTTGTACATTGGAACCAGGCATTTCTCAAGGAGCCCTACTTTCCATTGCAAGAAATGGTATTTGAAGTTTGCAATCCAAGATGTAATCACTACTGGGTTTGTCTTCGTTTTTAGGCTTGTTCAGTGTATACAAGTAGGAAATATGTACGTATGTATATAGTTTCACACACACATACTCATACACACACACACACATATATATATTTAAAGGTAAGTAGGAAGTTCAGTCTGATATTTTCAATTCTAACTGTGGGTTTTTACTTATTATCTGTACAACTCATAAATAACATATATACATTTTTTTTAACACATTTTATCCAAAGAACATTCAAAAACTCTTGGTGATAAGTGGCTAAGAAAGTAGTGCCTATTCTGGCCTTTTGTGTGCGTATGTGTTGGGGTGATTGCTTTGATTCCTTTGATCTTTTTTTCTGTGTTGCAGCCCCTCCTGGCTGGGATGGAGATGTAGATGCTGAGGAGAGGAATGCAGAAGGAACTCAAGTTTATTTATGTTAAATGTTACTTTGTAAAATCTAGCCTCCCACCTTGGAGAATGACTGATTCTAGGACTGGAGCAAGAAATATATAAGCCTGGAGCATCTTTTAGTGCCAGAAAAGAAGGAAATGCTGGAAAAAAAAAAAAAAAGGGGGAGGAAGGCGCAGGAGAGATGGGTGTATGTCAAAGGGACTCAGGAGCCAACTGTAAGAACTTCCAGTGGCCAATGCTGAAATTTGAGCAACAAAATAAAGCAGCACCAAACTACAACGCAAATTATAAATATCTGTGAGTTCGTACTAATATAAATCAATTATTTGCTAAATAACTGAATGGGAGAGAAGAGCCAAATCTCCCATGCAGAGGAATTCCAGTAATTCATGCAGATACTCTGCCCTCAAACAGGTGTAACACAACCACAACTCCCACCCTTAAGTGTGGGCTGCACAGGGTGACTTCCTTCTGAAAAACTATCTCAGTCAGACAATCAAGGTCAGCAGCAACTGTGTTATGATGCTGGCAGAGTGTACCTTGATACAATGTGATGAAAAGGATACTTTGCTTCTGTGGTTTTTCTCCCAAAAACCTGTAATGGTCTAATCACACAAAAGAATCAGACAAGTCCCAATTTACAAAATCTCCTCAGAACTGCCAAGGTCATCAGAGCAAGGAGACTCTGAGAGACTGTCACAGTCTAGAGGGGCCTAGTGAGGCATGACTATTAAATGTCACATGTTCTCCTGCACAGGGTACTGGAAGAGAGACAGGATATTGGGTAAAAATGAAGGAAATCAGAATAAATTATGGAGCTTAGTTAATAATAATGTGTCATGTTGATTAATTGAAGTAAATGTACCATACTAATGTGAAGTCTTAATCATAGAGAAAATTAAGTGTGGGATACATGAGTATCTCTGCACTATCTTTATAATTTTTCTACAAATCTGTAACTTAAAAACTGAAGTTTCTAATGAAGTTACTTTATTTCTAAAAAAAAAAAAAAAAGATTTATTAAAAAAATTCAGCTCCCCATTTCAGTGTAAACAGATTTTTTTTATTCTCAGTCTCCCCACATTTTAGATATCTCTGCTGTTCCTGGGTCATTGGTCAGTTTGATCACTAGAAAGGCAGCCTGACAGGAACTGACAGGAAATCCCCTTTGTTTTATTGTATATAGTAAAACTCTTTTATTATATGTAATAAAACTACTGAGAGCTGCTTTTCAGGATGTGCAAAAGACCCTCAAGTTCCAACTAGTCTTAGAGAAACTGCTTGACGTGGTGCCAATTTAGCTGGTCACTAATTGGCCCAGTTTGTTCTCTCTGTTTGCATAGGCTAACTTAACAGTAGCATTTCTTTGAATAAATTTTAAGCCTCACCATGGAATAAAGAATGAAAACAAGGCTTCTGTCAATGTAGGAGTAAATTTTATCAGTTGATGAAACTATTTACTGTTAGAAAATTGGTATATAGGAAAACAATGTGTTATGTTGGAGTCTGAGTTGCCAGGTCAACAGAAAACAAAACAAAACAAAAAAAAAACCAACCTCCACTCCAAACGTTTAACTAAAGAGAGAGGTATGAGCCAGGGTCAAGACATCTAGAAAGGGTGAGGAGAGGCTCTACCAGCAGGAAGCTCTTCCCACCCCAGTGTCTGAAGGGCAGCTGACAAGAGAATCTCACTGGATTTATGGAGGAGAGACTACCTAAGGGGAGCAGTAAAAATGAGAGTGCAGCTCTGCCCAGATGGCCATGTGAAGTTGGAGTGGGGTGAGTAAGGAGAATTGCACTCCTAGCCTCCCTCCCCTTCTGCTCACCGACCTCCTGTTGGTCCCTGCTATTTGCCAAATCTAGCCGAAGCCCAAGGGTAAGGACACCGTAGTGATGGCCACTCCAGCACTCAGCCTCCTGGGGGTAGTGAGCAGAACAAAGGGGAGAGGATGGATGCAGAGGACAGGTGGAGAATGAGCAGAACTATTAGAAACCTCAGGTGCACGTGGGATTTTTAACAAGGTCTGTGTTTCCCAGCTCTGTCTTTACTAAACACGGTGCCAAAGTAATAGGAGGGTGCTTCCCATCACCTGCTCCTCCAGCGCCCAGACTTCAGTGTCTAGTCTGTTCCCCACAAAAGGAACCAAGAATCATTGTAGGGTGGCTGATTCCATACCTGTAGCAGGGTAAAATCAGGAAAATTTAGTGGCCAAAAAGCAAAGGGCTGTGCTGAAAGAACAAAGAGAACAACTTAAAGACAACTTAAAGAGACACCCACTGGCCAAGTTGTAATCATTTGAGCCTCAAATAGAATTATGTTGTAATCTGTTTTATCAAATATAATTATATATAATATATTTTATTAGTCTTTAATATATTTATGTTTTATATAATATAAATATCAAATGTGATTATGGCTATAATCATTTGGGTCTCAAATATAAATACAGTTACGATGAATGAGGATAAAGTGTCCTTAAAGCCATGAATTGATGAAGATACCCCAAAGAGAAAAGTCAATAAGAAAAACACAGACAGGTAATTGTAACACAAAAGAAGGATGAAAATAGTGAAATGGCTTTCATTACTTTATAGATTTTTAATAAGTAGGTGACGTCAAAATATGTAGATATTTCTTCTATTGTAAGTCTAGTTTTAAAGAGCAAATATACACTTGCTTCTATCCACGTACATAAGAATACACCAAAATAACTGTAAACAAACCAGAGGATCCCAGAAAAGGTAGATACTGAAACCTCAAGCAGTAAGTTGTGGTCACCTACAAATAGAGATTGGCCACATATTCCAAAGGGAAGAATTACTTAAATGTCCTAAAGAGGAAAACTAATTATGTAGACTCAGTCCTTCTTCCAGGAAATATTTATATGGCTGTACTAGTTATAATTTAGTATGTGTTTAATAATGTGTACAGACTATACTTAGCAATACATCCCAAAGCATGGACTCTGAACGATGTAATGCAGGCCAAGTCATATTTTAAAATTACTGCTTGGAGGCATATTACCTTACTGTGGCTGCTGTAACAAATTTACAACAAACTCAGTGGTACAAAACAACATAAATTCATTCTCTATAGTTCTTGAGGCCAAAAGTCTGAAATCCAGGTGTCAGTGGGGCCTCGTTGCCTTTGAAGTCTCTGGGGAAGTTTCCAAATCCACTTCTGGCCGCTGCTGGCGATCCTTGTCTGTGGCTGCGTCGCTCCAACCTCTGCCTCTCTGGCATGGTCACACTGCCTCTTTCTCTCTCTTTTTTTTTTTTTGGTCAAATCTCCTCCGAGTGTTTCTTGTGGCATTTAGGGCCCACCTGTAAAACCCAGGATTATCTTTTCATCTCAAGATCCTTAACTTAGTTACATCTGGCAAGACTCCTTTCCCAAATAAGTTCATATTCACAGGTTCCAGGGACATATCTTTTGGGGGGACCACTATTCTATCCATGACAGTGGGGAGTATGACTAATACTGGTTAAAACAAAACACAAAACCTAAAACCTAAGTACAAGGTCTAGAATTTAAAAGTCTTATTGAACAGCACCTCCCATTTCCCCTGCTATTCAACAAATGTAACATTTGAGCTATGCAAGACGGATGAATAAGGTCGAGAGATCTGCTGTAGAACACTGTGTGCCTATAGCTAATAATACTGTATTATGCACTTGGAAATTTTGTAAGTGGGTAGATTGCATACTAAATATTCTTATCACAATAAAAGAAGTCTAACTGCAATTTAATTACAAAAAGGAAATGCAGGTTGATGCTTTGCAGCTCCAGTTTGAATTCGCTTGGGAGAAGAAACCATGTCGAGTAGCTGGATATCTCAGCTCACTGAAGAGAAGACAGTTGGCCTAAGAAAGAATTCTCTTTCTCTGGAGTCTGGCAAGATTTCTGCAGTCCCAGGGAGGAATCAAAGTATTACTACCTAACTCTTGCAAAGATATTAGAATAAGCATATCAATAACACTCGGAACATATAAACACAGTATAGAAGTAAAAAAGAAATGAAATAAATCCATGCTGTTCATAGTTTAGTTTTGAATATACCTGAATAAATGTATTTTGTGGCCATTACATTATTTTTCTGATGCTTCAGGTGTTTGAACCATTGAAATATGGCTTGCTAAATTTGTTATTTAAAATGTTTTTGGACATATAATGATTCAAATTTGTAATGTTGAAATTCTCAAAAAATACTGGCTTTCTGTATTTTATTGTTCAATATATTAACTAATTAAATTTTGCACTAAATAAATTCCAAAAAGTAATGAATATTTCACTTCACATACTCAGACTCTTTAGACTTTAAAGAGGCTATTAACTGTTTCAATTAGTATTTGAAATATTTCTTGAAGTCCTGCTTCATTTTCTCATTTCTGCTCTTTGTAGACACCTTCGAGGGTGACCCAGCCTTCCTCCTGATCCTCTTTCCTAAAGGGTCGAGGAACCTCAGTCTTTAGAGGTGTAGCTGAGTTGTTGGGTTCTCCTTCTCTGACACGAGGTCTCTCAAGGTGATCCACATTGAATTTTTCCATTAATTCAAATCTGACATCAATTTATTTTTATTAAACTAAATATTCAATCGTGTTCTCACATAATTGGGAGCTAAGCTGTGAGGATGCAAAGTCATAAGAATATAATGGACTTTGGGGACTCAGGGAAGGGTAGGAGGGGGATGAGGAATAAAACTATACACTGGGTACAGTGTACACTGATCAGTTGATGGGTACACCAAAGTCTCATAAATCACCACTAAAGAACTTACCTATATAATCAAAACCCACCTGTTCCCCCAAAACTGTTGCAATTAAAAAATAAATGCTGAGTCATATTGTTACTCTAATGAATAACTGATTTTTATGGAGTAGACATTTCATAGCAATGCCTCATTCTCTAGTCTCATTTCTTCAACAAAATTATATTTTTATGCAGAATAGGAATATATACCTTTCCCAAGAATACAGTATTTGCTTTGCTTTTATGTGTAATACATATGGACATATTGCTTTTTTTCCCCCCCTCCAAGAGCTAATTCTAGATTCTCACTATTTTTGATGTAGTGGTTATGTATTTATTCTTAGTTTAGTTTATGTTCTCAACCATAGTTTTGAGATATGAGGGGACTTCAAAAAGTTTGTGGAAAAATAAAATTAAAAGATAAAAATTAAAAAAAAACTTTATTTCTTCACGTAAGCTCCATCAAATTCAAGACATTTTCGTAAGGCAAAATACCAGCCATGCAGTCCATCCCTAAACAAATGAAAGTCCTGGGAATTTAACCATGTCAATGCAGTTTATTTTTATATTTTAAGTGAAGAAAAATGGGTGCTTTTTAAAGATTCTTTTAAGTTTGGGAAACAGAAGTCAGAAGGAGCCAAATCAGGACTGTAGAGTAGATGCCTATTGATTTCCCATCAAAACTCTCATAAAATTGCCCATGTTTGATTAGAGGAAGGAGCAGGAGCATTGCTGTGGTGGAGGAGGACTCTGGTGAAGCTTTCCTGGGTGTTTCTCTGCAAAAGCTTCAGTTAACTTTCTCAAAATACTCTCATAATAAGCAGATGTTATCATTCTTTAGCCCTCCAGAAAGTCAATGAGCAAAATGCCTTGAGCATCCCAAAAAAACCATTGCCACGACCTCAGCTCTTGACTAGTACACTGTTACTTTGACTGGACCACTCCCACCTCTTGGCAGCCATTGCTTTGATTGTGCTTTTTTCATACTGGTAAAGCCATGTTCCATCTCCTGTTACAATTATTTGAAGACATCCATTAGGATCTTTATCCCATTTGTTTAAATTTTCCATTGCAAGTCCTACTCTTGCCTGAAGCTGATCTGGGTGCAATGGTTTTGGCACTCATTGAGTGGAAAGTTTGCTTAACTTTAATTTTTCAGTCAGAATTGCATAACTTAAACCACTTGAGATGTTCATGATGTTGGCTATTATTTGTGCTGTTAATCATGAATCTTCTTCAATTAGGGCATAAACAAGATGATTTTTTTCCTTGAAAATTTATGTGGATGGTCTGCTGGTGTGGGCTTCATCTTCAACATTGCCACATCCCTTCTTAAAACAAGTTATCCGTTTGTAAATTGCTGATGTCTTTGGGTCATTATCCCCATAAATAAAGCATCAATGTTTCACCATTCTTCCTCTGAAGGTTCACTGTAAGTTTTATGCTTATTCTTGCTTCAATTTTAGCAGAATTCATGTTGCTTTATTATGGGCTTTTTCAAAGTGATCCTCATTAGACATGTCATAACAAGTTAGTACAAGTATGCGTTGGTGCCAGAAATTGAAATCCCTGCATAATTTTTTCATAATATGCATTTTCCGTGAATGTTTTCATGACTCCTTGTAAGCAAGCTTTAATGTTGAATGGATACAAAGGGATGCTCCCTTTGGAAATTGATACCCATTAAATGGCAGAGAACACAACTGGTGGAAATACTTGTTTTCTCCTCTTAATTCAGCAAGTTGATTCAGAGTTCATGGAGAACAGCTTGAAACACAAATTGAGCTCATTTTTAAATTTGTAGGTTTTTATTTGATGGGAAAAGGATAAAGATTACATATGGTCTTTGCAACAAAGGAAAATTCAGCATAGAAATGTACAATTCTTTCCAAATTGAACAGTTGGGGTGAACTGTATCAGGAGGAATATGACGGGTTCCTTGGAGATGATTAGGGAAGGCAAGTTGAGGCCTGAAGTGCAAACTTCTCTGTAATGTGCCTCGTCATCTTCTTACACGGTGGTTTAGAGACACCACAAACATTTTATCTTTGCCTTTTGAAATTCTGGGGAAGTGTCCTCCCCAAAAAATGATGCATCAAGCGATAAATAGGATTAAACAATTCCTCGGACAGACCTATATTGTTGAACCCATTTCATGAGACAGACAAGGGATTGGGCACTGGAATCACGGAGATTGCAAAGTCAGGGCTAGGCCGGAAGTGCCATTGTGCATGGTGGCAGTGTGTCTGGGCCTTGGGAACATGGCTCACCTGTGTGCAGCTGCCTTCCCGTGCTGCCTTTCATGATGCCTCCCCTGCCTGTGATGATTAGCTTATATGACCATTTCAGTACTCAATTCACCAAGTGAGGTTCTGGACCTTAATTTTCCAAGAGTGAAGGAGGACACCATCCATGGATGGGCAAAAAGTGTGTTTGAAAGTCATATTGACACATGAGACAATCCTCTATGCAGGATTATAAAGGACCATGCTAACATCACTGTGCAGATCAGCATGTCTTTTGCCCAAAAGTGTCCCATCCCTCCCCTCTGTGACTTGGTCCTGTGCAAAGCCACAGCTGCAACTGTGTGACACTTTGTGTGGCAGGACATAATTGCCCTGGTGCAACTGGGTCCAAGTCTCTAAGATTAGAAAGGATGGGACAAGGACCTGGTGCTAACAGTTAGCTCAGCTTCACCTCCGCTCTTACCTCTTGTTCTTTATTTAGTCTCCACTGGTTTCCATTTCATGCTAACAACTTTGGGAGACTCCTGAGATATTCTCCTGGTTGATAGGGCCACATTGCACATGTTGGAAATAAAGACTTATCCTCTGGGATCCAACGTGATAGATTCAATAGACATGTCTCCTGAGAAGGTCAAGGAGGGACATCTGGAAAGGCTGCAGTGAGCCAACACCTCTACCATGTTGTTGTCAACCTAAAAAACAGCAGAAAGAGATTCTCTTAAACAAAAGATATTTGGTAATATAGCACTGCAATAGGATTACACATACCATAATAACTATGTGCATATTCAGGGGGGTAAAGGAAGACAAAGGTTTTTAAAACATGAGGAGGACTACATAGTTGTTTTGAAATAATTATTCTTGGCTACAGAGATTAGTAACAAGGTTGGTGCCAGTCCTAGGTTGGACAGGAAGCTGCTGGGAAGTACTTGCAGAAGCATTTGTATATAAGGTTGTGATGGTCTTTGTGCAAGGTTGTGGTTTATGCAGAGTCTTTTTCGTTATCAGGCATGCCAGTGTGAGACCTCTTCATGGCATTCCCTGGTTCTGTTTGTCAGGGTTACCTTAACATTAGTGACTCCAGTTTGATTCTGACAACTTTCCCATTGTTCAGTCACCCTAATGGAGAGTCATTTGGAACCCTTTACAAGAGTAGGTGTGGCACAAATCCTCCCTTATTGCAGGACGGATTGATCAATCCTCTGCTCTTCCTGTGGGGCCCTTTAAGGAGCTGCCAAGCAACTGCATTCCACACCAGGCAGCATGTAACAGAAGTGTCAGCACTTTCTGGCTGGGAATCAACAATCCTCCTATTCTCATCTTTTCTCCTAGTTTTTGGCAGAATTTTCTCCTGCTTGGACTTTCCTTGTACTTATGATGTGAGACACAGTAGCACCTTCCCAGCTGTGCCCCACAGTCCCCACACCAGCTTCCCTCATCTTTCTGCCTGAGCTCCCTTAGATGGCAGCCCTCTGTTCCCCTGGGGTCTTGAGATCTTCTACCCACCCTGAGTAGGGTTGCTCTTGGTTTATCTGAGCCCTGCAAGGGAAACTGATATCACCCTGTATAAATGTGCAGAATAATCATAAAATTGGAAAAAAAGCTAGTCCTGTAATTTAAAAATAAACATGAATATGAAGACTATAATGTACTGACAGTAGGAAAAAAGAACTCTTCTGGGAAATTCACTCTGCAGGAATGTTTTAAAAATCAATTAAGATCTACAACAGCAGTAGCAACATAACCTCCATGCCACAAATCAAGGTAAGAGGCAAAATGCCTTAAACGTAATTCACATTTCTTAATTTTTTTTTCTTGTCGAAGACTGCATGGTTTGGCATTGCAATGTTGTATTCCAGAGTCCCCAGTTGTAGGTTGTAGATTAGTTCTAATTAGCTTAGTCTTTCACATATATCGCATATATGAAAGCTTTGCCATTCACTGTGGTTGCTAACAGACTGATGTCCTCATGATAAATCACGTTAGTACTAGGCATGGCCAGAAAAGAGATCAATGTGTCTGTGACTGACTGGATCATCTGTTGGGTGGAATACACATTAGACAACAACTTGCATTGGACTTCTATTTAGAACTGAAATTTTGTGTTTTCAATCCTGTATTTGACATTGCAAGGTGTGATAGTTGGCAAACATATATAATCTTAGTATTTGGCAATATTTTTAATGTGTACTTTATTTAAATAAATACATATATGTTCTCTATCAAACACAGCTACGGAAGAGATCAAACACAATAAAACTCCAGGCTAACTCAGTGTTGAGATCATTGCACCTTTGCATTATTGGCTGAGTCCAAGTTATTGTCTACATGTATTTTATCTCCACATTGTAGATGGAGCAAGTTCAAATAGACTTTAGAGTTGAAATTGGAAATATGATAATCTATGTGACAGGATTCAGTTTGATACATATAGTTCTTCACTGTATTACACAATTCCAATGCTTAATTTCCATATAGTGTTTTCTTCTATCATCTCACATAAAATTTTAAATGTCAAAGTACAAACACCCCAGTTAAATGTCATTTGTGTTGACTTTTTCTCAAGAAAATTTAAAAATAGAAATTCCTGAAATAGACAATAAATGTAAGAATTAGAAGCAATGCACCTGAAAGCAGTCCAGAAAATTCAAATTCAGTTCACCATGGAAAATACTTGCAGCTCCATGTGTGTTATGCACACACCTGTGCATGTATACACATTTAATACGTATTAAAATTCACCTAGTCTTTAATCCTAGCTATAAGTAGCCACATTAAGGTGGAAAAATAGTAAATCATCTGAAGAGGAGAATAAAATGGCTTCTGAAATATCTATAAGTTATGTAGATCTTAAAGTCTAGTAAAGATGTAAGAGCAAATCAGAAGGAGTGAGGTGCTCTCTAATGAAAATTACTTTAAGTGTACAAATGATTAATGATGGGCCAATGTGTTTTCTGCTCATGTTAACTCAGATAATCTATTAGTTACAATAAAAAGCTGCCTGAGATGCAGCAGATTCATATAAAGGCATGATGAAATTCTGAGTTGCTCCCTCTAGGGTAAGTCTTCTTCAAGTGGGTACCAGCAGAAGCTGCCTCCTCCTAGCTTCCCTCTTCTTTCTAATCATAGACAAAATGAATAATTTGATTTGGTTATTATTTTTGTGCATTTTAAGGTAGGATTTTTTGGCTGTAGGATACAATTAACCTATCAATAAGTCTTCACATATTTTTATTAAATTGCTTCCAGATTATAGTAGTTGGTGCACATCAAATGATATGATTGAGTCTTCTCAGGAAACCTGATTTATTCTGTGGAGCTGGAGCTCAAGAAAGTAAGGAAATTCCTCTGCTTTTGCTTTCAGCTGCTTTCGTCAACTGTGATGATTGTTACAGTTGGCCTTTGCTTCTTTAAGAGGAGCTCTTCAATAGTTCTTTCATGTGACACTTTCCTCTCGTTTACCAAGTCTTGAAAGCCTTAACCTTTGCATCATTCAGTAAGATGAACTTGACTTTGAGCCATTAACTCCCTTGAGCTATCCTCTTGGAGTTGACATTGTTGTTTGTTTGCTGTTTTTCAGTGTTTATAAAATCAATGAGGTGAGTGGCTATGTGATACAATAGTAGAGGGTAGTGAAGAGGGAGGACGTGGAGGAAAGAGGAGAAGTTTGGCTAAAACAAATTTCTCTTTGGACACGAATGTTCAATATTCCTAATGATTAGAATTTGGGTCTAAAAAGAAGAAGAAAAACCCAATGTAAGAATTGCTTCTACAATATATGTATGTGAAACAACACCAAATGGATCCTACAGGATGGGGCTACATTTCAATTAATCTATACAAACCTCCAAATAGCCCAGAGTGTGTGTGTGCGTGTGTGTTTGTGTGTGTGTGTGTGTGTGTGTATCTTCCTTTTGGAATCCTTTTCATTGCAAAGTAAGTTTTCTTAAGGTCATTTCCTTTTGGAGGAAAGAACTAAAAACATTTTCAGAATATGTGCTAGGGTTTGAAATGAACAGTTATGGTGGTTCTTACATACCAGAGAAAATATGCAGGTAGATATTCTCTTGAATGACTAGGAGAAATGGTGATGATATTCCCTTTGAAAACACAAAATGTTACAAAAATGCTAAATAACAAAGATAAAATGCTACTGACTCACTATAGTTTTGGTTATTATCAAAACTTGACTTCACTGACAATCAGGGTTGGTGAGTTGTAAGCATCAAACTGCAATTTGCTGGTTCCTGGGTTTCTGTTTAGATGAGGAGCTGTAGTTTGGATGTGCATTAATAAAGCTACCTCTGTATTTGACATACCTACCTATGATGATTTCATAACAGAATGAAGAGTCAATCCATGTCCTCAAAAATGACATCTTAAAAATCCACAAATTGAGTTTTATAGGCCCAATTATGTCAAATGTATCATCTGAGTAAAATTTTCATGTCAAGAATACTCATTATATCCCATTACCTTTAAAAAACATGAGCAACTAAATTATTTAAAAGTCCATCTAGATACTGACATTTCATTTTTTTCCAGCAGAAAATGTGAAAAAAGGTAAAAAAGGTAAGAAAAAGTCTTTCTTAAAAATATCTGAATGGTAGTGTAATTGTTGGGCAGGTTCTTCTTGCCCATTGCACAGATAAACCCAATCCACTGAGACAGCATTATTGCAGTAAAGAAATAGTTTAATTAACACAAGGCTGGCCAAGTGGAAGGGCAGATGTTTATTATTACTGTAATCAGCCTCCCTGAGAACTCAAAGACTAGGATTTTTATGGATTATTTGGTGGGCAGGGGGCTAGGGAATGGGTGCTGCTGATAGGTTGAGAAAGAGATCATATGGGTATGGGAAATGGTCCTCATGTGCTGAGTCTACCTCTGGGCTGGAGCCACAGGACCGGTTGAGTCATGAGCCATGGGTCTGGGTGAGGTCAATTGGTTGCCAGAATGCAAAAGTCTGAAAAACATCTTAAAAAACAATCTCAGGTTCTACAATAGTGATATTATCTCCAAGAGCAATTGGAAAAGTCACAACTCTTGTGACCTCTGACCACATGACTCCTGAGCAGTAAGGGAGTCATTTTAGCAGAATTCAGGCCTCTCACATAATCCTAATTTTGTGCCCTTTCATTAATCTTACAAAGACCATTTCAGTCCCTAAACAAGAAGGGGATTGATTTTAGGGAAAAACTGTTATCACCCTTGCTTAATTAAACTATAAATTCCCTCCATGATTAGCTTGGCCCACATCCAGAAGTGAAGACAGCCAGCCTGTGAGGCTTGAAGCAAGACTGAGTCAGCCATGCTTGCCTTCGCTCACTGTCATATTTTTGCAAAGGCAGCTTCAGTAGAATCTATGTTGTAGGTATGTAAGTGCTTAATGTAAAATACTTTCAACTTTGCCATAGGTTTTAAAATTTTTAGAGTAAGATGCTGCCAAAAAAAAATCTGTCTATTCTTAAGGCTTTGAGAACAATTACTGACACAAGCAGCTGACCAATTAAAAAGCAAGGAGATATCCCAAGTTTGGAAGAGAGTTAGCAGCTGTTCTACTCAGACCTTGACCAGCCCAGTGCCTCCCTGCTGTAGCCCTAATCGTAGGCCTCAGCTTCTGCGTCCTGCTCAAGCATGGCTTTATGACACAGTTTGCCCTCTTGCTGGGCATCTATAGAAGTAGAAAGTTTGCTCTCAACATTAAGTCAAAAGCTTCCTCCTTCTTAGTTATGCATTTTTTCCCATAGGTTAGGGTGGTGCCTCTCAACCTTGGTACAATAGACGTTTGGAGATGACCAATATTTGTTGTGGTGGCTGTGCTGTGCATTGTAGAATGTTTAGCATCATGCTGGGTCTCTACCCACTAGACTCCAAGAGGTTTCCCTAGTTGTGACAACAAAACATATGCCAAACATCCCCTGGAAGACATTCCCTGATGAGACCCATTGCTCTGGAGCAATTCCCAGTTATTTTTTCTTTTTTAAAGTGAAATGCTGCTGAGTAGTCAATGTGTAATTTTCTAACCTAAAGCTAGAGTTTTATTTGTATCAGATTTCATCTCGTTGAATTGGAGATGTCATTCGACCTGTTGAAGTCTTTCTGAATTGTAACTTCCTTGTATCCTCTAAGCTCTCTCTTCTTGAGTCCTCTTTCTTGGCTGGGCAGCCAGGCAGGCTGATGTGGTAACCTGGCTTCTGCGTCCATCAGGATCCCAGCAGAAAACAGATGCCTCACTCACTGGGTGACTGAGGAGAGTTTAATGCAGATTTACTGTCAGAGATAATGGCAGAATTTTAGAAATCAACAAGTTGTCATTCATAATTGCCAAAAGTTAGAAGCAACTCCTGTCATTGATAGATGGGATAAACAAAATGGGGTCTATCCATACAGTGGAATGTTACTCAGCCTTAAAAAGGAAGTAAATTCTGATGCATGCTGCAATATAGATGAGCCTTGAGGATATTGTGCTAAGTAAAAGCCAGTCACAAAGGGAAAGATTCTGTATGATTCCACTTATATGAGGTCCCTGAGCAGACAACTTCATAAAGACAGAATGTAGAATGGTGGTTACTAGGGGTTGGTGGGGAGAGGAGAGTGGGGAGCAATTTACCAGGTGCAGAGCATTAGCTTTGCAAGATGAAAAGAGTTCTGGAGATTGGTTGTGAATATATGTGGCCCTACTAACTGTGCACTTAAAAATGACTGTGATGATAAATTTTGTGTTATGTGAATTTTACCACAACTTTTTAAAAACAAAAAACTAATGAGCAATAATGCGGTTCCCCAAAGCTCTCAACAGCCTTGGAGGAGCAAGATGAAGGCTCCCAGCCTTGAGTGTGTAGCTCTATGAAGAGGACTGCCTGACAGCAGCTGTGGCCTTCAGGGGGGATTTCTGGAGAGACACACATGCGGAGAACAAATACATCAGGCTTCGTCTACTTGCTTGCTCCCTCTGATGTCTGCCATCACCTCCAATGGCAGAACCAGCCTGGAAGGCGACGACCCACTGATGTTACCTTTAGGGTCAGCTGTCTGGGGCACACAGCACAGAGGAGAAGAAGGGCCAGGGCCCTGCAGCAGGTGGGGACATCCAGCTTAGGTCCCACTGGCACATGCTGAGGGGACAAGAGGGGTCTCTCCTTAAGCTCTGGCTTCAGAGACCCAGAGGGCAACATCTGGGACCTTTCAGAGGGGAATCAGAATCAGAAAAGGATGAAAAGACACATTCACCATGTAGAAATACACTGAATTGATTAAGGGGCCCTAAGAACATGCCCACAACAAAACCCAGCCCTTGAAGACACCCACAGAGTGAGTAGCTGGTCACACCCAGTAAGCAGAAGCAGACAGCATGAGCACAGCGGGCCACCCCAGAGAGGAGCTTTTTATAGAGACTACATGACCAGCAAGGATGAACAGTCTTCACAGGTTTGTGTGTCCATGTAAGTTGCTATATGTCCTACATCATTCTCACAGTACTGGGTTCGTAGTTGGCGTCGCAGGGCTCTTCCCATTTAGTGGAAGGGTGGTGGTGGCCACCGATCTTCAAGCTTGGCCAAGAGAAATCTTAGAGCAGAGAGTAAAGAAACAAAAAGGAAATGAGCAGGACTGATGTTTCTGGAGAGGAGGTGAAGGCAGCGGAGGGACACAGGCTTCTCTTCTCTGCCTTCTAAGGTGATCCCTGAATAGACACTCACAAGCCCCCCAGGCTCCATAAAGCATGGCATGGGATCTACAAGTGTCCTTGTCTGCTAGGGTTGCCATAGCAGAATGTCACTGACTGGGGGCCATAAACAACAGACATTTATTCTCTCACAGTTCTGGAGGCTGGAAGTCCAGGATCAAGGTGCCTGCAGTTTCTCCTGAGGCCTCTCTCGTTGCCTTGCAGATGCTGCCTTGTCTGTCCTTACATGGCCTTTCCTCTGTACCCAAGCGTCCCTGAGGTCTCTTTCTCTCCTTATGAGGACACCAGTCCTATTAGATTAGGGCCCCACCCTTATACCTCATTTAACCTTAATTACCTCCTTAAGGGCCCTATCTGCAAATACAGTAAGATTAGGGGTTAGGGCTTCCACATATGGATTGTGTTGCCCAAGACACAACTCAGTCTATAACAACTGGTAAGGTGAAAAGCATACAGGCTGCAAAATCAGACTAGCCCCACTTCGACTCACCTTGGGCAGATACTTTGACCTCATAGCAGGGACAACATGGCTATCCTTAAGGATGGTGTTGTCAGGAACAACTCAAGTGAGAAAAATTCATGGAAAGTGCCTGGCATAGGACCTGACCCATGGTAGCGTCTTAACAAATGTAAATGCCTTTCTCTTTCCCTTCAATTACAGTTTTCCAGTCTTGCCCTCTCTCACTCACCTCCCCAAGCCCTAATAAGCACACTAGAATCTATTGTTTTACAAAAATTCACTGACTTTATTTTATTTTTTCTTTATAATTGAAACATGAAAATTGTACATATTTATGGTATCCAACACGATGTCTCAATATATATAAATATCTGTCCACACTGCCCAAAACGATTTACAGACTCAATGTGCTCCTTCTCAAAAATACCAGTGACATTCACAGAAATAGAAAAAAAATGTCCTAAAATTTGTATGGAACTGCAAAAGACCCAAATAGCCAAAGCAATCTAGAGCAAAAAAACAGAGATAGTGAACTGAAAAGGGGTTAAGTCCACCGGTTGATTTAAGTGGCTCAGCTTAGGGAAGAGGAGAGTTAATGAAAGTAGGATGAGGAGTCAGATGGAGACTTCCTTAAGGAGAATTCTAAGTGTCTTTCAGGGTTTTTTGGTGAGGTTGCTGTCACTGTCAATTTTAGCTAATTTTAGTTCAAAACACAGGGTTTTGTTTGGGCGTTAAAATGTTTTATTCATACTACTCTCATGTTTAAAAGTCATCAGTAGGTGAAATGAAATGAAACAAATAGGAAGGAAAGAATTTTTCTCCAATAATCAGGCAAGGGCTGGTTTAAAGAAAGAAAGAGAAAAATACAGTTACAGAGAATCTGCCTGGAATAAGTTTATGACCACTGCAGCCCAGATTGTCTCTGTTGTAGTCCCCACCCTATGAGATAAAAACAATGTTTCAAAAGTGAGACACTAGCTGAAGTTGCAATAAGAGTTAATCTGCCACACTCCTAAGGAACCTGGGTCCTTCTGCTCTTCACAGGCTCCCTGCTAGGGATTGAATGCTTGTGTCACCCTTACCCTAACTTCATATGTCGAGGCCTAATCCCCAGCGTGATGGTATTTGGAGGTGGGGCTTTTGGGAGATAATTAGGTCATAAGGGTGGAGTCCTCCTGAATAAGATTAAGGCCCTTATAACAAGGTATGAGAGAGACTGCTTCTTTCTCTGCTCTGTGAGGACACAGAAGACTGCCATCTGCAAGCCAGGAAGCAGGTTGTCATCAGGCACCAAATTTGCCAGCACCTTGATCTTGGATTTCCCAGCCTCCAGAACTGTGAGAAATAAATGTTTGTTGTTTAAGCCCCCCTCCCCACCCCCACCAAAAAACAAACCAAAAAACAAACACAAAAAACAAAGAATCATTACACTACCTGCACTACCTGACTTCAAAACATACTACAAAGCTATGCTAACTAGAACAGCATGGTACTGGCATAAAACAGAAACAGATGATTGCAAGAGAATAGAGAGCCCAGAAATAAATCTGCATGTTTACAGCCAACTAATTTTTGACAAAACTGCCAATTGCACAAAATAGGGAGAGGTTACTCTCTTCCATAAATCATGCTGGGCAAACTATATATCCATGTGCTGAAGAATGAAATTAAACCCTTATCTCTCACCATGTACAAAGACTAACTCGAAATAGATTAAAGACTTACATGTAAGACCTGAAACTATGGAAACAACTAGAGGAAAACATAGGGGAAAAGGTCCATGACAGTGGTCTAGGCATAGACTTTATCTTTTAGAGCAGCTTAAGGGTTACAGAAAAATTGAATGGAAAATTGAGTTTCCATCTCTCCCTTTCCCTTCCCATATGGATTTTCCCCTATTATTAACATCTTGCGTTAGTGTGATACATTTGTTAACAACTGATGAATCAATATTAATATATTATTAATTCAAGCCATAGTTGTATTAGTCAAAGTTTACCAGAAACTGAAAGGAGATACATAGATATATATAAGAGGAGGTTTATCATGGCAATTAGCTCACACCAATTATGGAGGCTGAAAAGTCCCACTATCTACCACCTGCTAGCTGGAGACCCAGGAAAGCCAGTGACACAGTTCAGCCAGAGTCTGAAGGATTGTGAACCAGGGACCACTGGTGTAAGTCTTGGAGTTCAAAGGCCCGAGAATTGTAAGCCCTGATGTCTGAGGGCAGGAGAAAATGGAAGTCGCAGCCAAAGAAGAGAGAAGTTGCCCTTCCTTCACCCTTTTGTTTTTTTTTCGGGCCCTCAACAGATGGGATGATGCCTGCTCATGTTGGTGAGGGCCAATCTCCTTTATTCAGTCTCCTGATTCAAACACTAATGTCTTCAGGAAACAGACATTCTGTGTCCTGAATGGTATTGTCTAGGTTTTTATAGTTTTGGGTTTTATATTTAAGTCTTTAATCCATCTTGAGTTGATTTTTGTCTAACAGAAGGTGTAAGAAAGGGGGCTGGTTTCAATCTTTTGTATATGGCTAGCCAGTTATCACAGTATCATTTTTTGAATAAGGAGTCCTTTCCCTATTGCTTGTTTTTGTCAGCTTTGTTGAATATCAGATGACTGTTGGTGTGCAGATTTATTTCTGAGCTCTCTGCTCTATTCCATTGGTCTATGTGTCTGTTTTTGTACCAGTACCATGCTGTTTGATTACTGTGGCCCTGTAGTATAATTTGAAGTCAGATAGTGTGATGCCTCCAGCTTTGTTCTTTTTGCTTAGGATTGCCTTGGCTATTTAGGCTCTTTTTTTGGTTATTTTTTCTAGTCCTATGAAGAATGTCATTGGTAGTTTAATTGAATCTATAATTGCTTTGGGAAGTATGGCCATTTTAATGATATTGATTCTTTCTATCCATGAACATGGAATGTTTTGCCACTTGTTTTTGTTACCTTCAATTTCTTTGAGGAGTGTATTGTAGTTCTCATTGTAGAGCTCTTTCACCTTCCTGGTTAGATGTATTTCTAGGTACTGTATTCTTTTTGTGATAATTGTGAATGGGACTACCTTCCTAATTTGACTCTGGGCTTGGCTGTGGTTGGTGTGTGGGAATGCTAGTGATTTTTGCATGTTGATTTTGTATGAGACTTTGCTGAAGTTGTTTATCAGCTGAAGGAGCTTTTGGGCCAAGAGCTTTTTGTTCTCTGCTAGCTTTGGGGTTGGTTTGCTCTTGGTTCTCTAGTTCTTTTAGTTGTGATGTGGGGTTGGTAAATTGAGATCTTTCTAATTTTTTGATGTGGGTGTTTATTGCTGCAAATTTCCCTCTTAACACTGCTTCAGCTTTGTCCCAGAGATTTTGATATGTTGTATTTTTGTTCTCATTAGTTTCAAAGAATTTCTAGATTTGTGCCTTAATTTCAAGGTTTTCTAGATGTAGGATCATGTCATCTGCTAACAGAGATAGTTTGACATCCACTCTTTCTATTTGGAAGCCCTTTATTTCTTTCTCTTTCCTGTTGTTATGGCCAGGACTTTCAATACTATGTTGAATAGGAGTGGTGAGAGAGGGCATCCTTGTCTTGTGCTGGTTTTCAAGGAGAATGCTTGCAGCTTTGGTCCACTCAGTATGATGTTTGTGGGTTTGTCATAGATGGGTCTTATTATTTTGAGGCATGTTCCTTCAATACCTAGTTTACTGAGACTTCTTAACATGAAGGGTGTTGATTTTGTTGAAAGCCTTTTCTGCATCTATTAAGATAATGATGTGTTTTTTGTCTTTAGTTCTGTTTATGTGATGTATCACATTTATTGTTTTGTGTATGTTGAACCAGCCTTGCATCCCAGGGATAAAACCAACTTGATCATGGTGGATAAGCTTTTGGATGTGCTGCTGGATTTGGATTGCCAGTATTTTGTTGAGGATTTTTGCATTGATGTTCGTCAAGGATATTGGCCTGAAGTTTTGAATTTTTTGTGTGTGTCTCTGCCAGCTTTTGGTTTCAGGATGTTGCTAGCCTCATAGAATGAGTTAGGAGGGAGTTCCTCCTACTCAATTTTTGGAATAGTTTCTACAGAAATGCTATCATCTCTTCTTTGTACATCTGGTAGAATTTGGCTGTGAATCTGGTCCTGGGCTGTTTTTCATCAGTAGACTATGACTGATTCAACTTTGGAGCTTGTTATTGGTCTGTTCAAAGATTTAGTTTCTTTCTGGTTCAGTCTTGGGAGGGTTCCTTTGTCCAGGGATTTATCCATTTCTTCCAGATTTCTGGTTTGTGTGCATAGAGGTCTTCTTAATATTCTCTGACGGCTATTTTTATTTCTGTGGGGTCAGTGGTAATATCCCCTTTGTCATTTCTGATTGTGTTTATTTGAATCTTCCCTCTTTTCTTCTTTATTAGTCTAGCTAGCTGTCTGTTTTATTAATATTTTTCAAAAAACTAACTCCTGGAGTTGTTGATCTTTTGAATGATTTTTCATGTCTCAGTGTCCCTCAGTTCAGCTCTGATTTCAGTTGTCTTTTGTTCTCTTCTAGCTTTGGGGTTGATTTGCTCTTGGTTCTCTAGTTCTTTTAGTTGTGATGTGGACTTGGTAAATTGAGATCTTTCTAATTTTTTGATGTGGGTGTTTAGTGCTGCAAATTTCCCTCTTAACACTGCTTCAGCTTTGTCCCAGATATTTTGATATGTTGTATTTTTGTTCTCATTAGTTGCAAAGAATTTCTTGATGTGTGCCTTAATTTCATTGTTTACCCAAAAGTCATTCAGGAGCAGGTTACTGAATTTCCATGAAATTGTATGGTTTTTTAGTAATTTTCGTGATCTTGATTTCTAATTTTACTGCACTGTGCTATTTTAATTTTCAATGCCCTAATAACATATGAGTTTGAGCATCTTTTCATATGCTACTTGCCATCTGTGCCATCTGTGTATCTTCTTTGGTGAGATGTCTGTTTAAATCTTCTGCCCATTTTTAAATTGCTTTTTTTTTCTTATTGTTGAGTTTTAAGAGTTCTTTCTATATTTTGGGTGCAAGTACTTTATCAGATATATGTTTTGCAAATATTTTCTCCCAGACTGTGGCTTGTTTTTTCATTCTCTTAATGCCTTTTGTAGAGAATAAGTTTTTCATTTTCATGAAATATAACTTATCCTTTTTTACATGGATTGTGCTTGTGTGTGTGTGTGTGTGTGTGTGTGTGTTTCATGGATTGTATTGTAACTCAAAAGTCACTGCCAAACTCAAGGTCACCTGATTCTCTCATAGGAGTTTTATAATTTTGCATTTTACATTTAGGTCTATGACCCATTTAGAGTTAGTTCTCATGAAAGCTGTAAGGCATGTGTTAGATTTTTTTTTTTTTTTTTTTGCATGCGAATATCTGATTGTTCCAGCACCATTTGTTGAAAAGATGCTCTTTTCTCCATTGTATTGCCTTTGCTCTTTTGCCAAAGATCAGTGGACAATATTTGTATGGGTCTATTTCTGGGCTCTTTATTCCATTCCATTGATCTATGTGTCTATTCTTTGGTCAATACCTCACTGTCTGGACTGTGATAGCTTCATAGTAAGTCTTAAAGTTGGGTATTGTTAGTCCTCATCAGAAGCTTTTGATAGTTTTACTTTGTGTACAGATTTTATTCCTTTTAAAAATCTGAATTTATCACAAGATTCTTCTTGCAGCATCATTCTTAGCTTATTTCTTCTCTTTTATTCTGTATATACATTCTTTGCAGGTACATTGTCAAGATTTTAATTTGGGAAACTCCCGTTTTTTCCTGAGTTGTTTTTCCCTCCATTTTGAGTTAGGCAGGCTACGGCATTGTCAGAATGGACACGTAGTGGTAGTGAATACTTTTGAACTGTTTTAAGAAATGTCCTGTATCTGCAAAGAGCAAGTTTGAATGTTGCAGTGTAGCCTATCCAATTGTAAGTTGGTAATTTTTACAGATGTGCTACAATATATACTGTTTTCTATTTGATAGTTGTGTTTTAGAATATAAAATACCGATAGTTTAATGACATTTTTGTTAATAAAATACTATTACATATTTAATATGAATACAGACAAAAATCAATGATGCATTAAAACCTAAAGGAGTGGGATATGAATATAATTTCTGAAGCAATGACAAAATGGAATCAATAGAAAATTTCAAAAACGGAATTATTTGATATAGTCTATATAAGTAAAGCGAACTACAGTAGTTGAGACACAGATGCAGATGCTAGAAAATTCTACTGAGATTTATATTTTAACATTTCTTAAAGACTCAAGTACATACAGCTAGAGGCTGCAGAAAAGCAGAAAAAGGCTTTCACATTTATCAAATGATCGATGGGTCTCTAGCGTTAATAATTGTTTTGAAAATTGCTGTTTCCTCTGAGGTTGCCTTTTAATCAGCATTTGTTCAGCTGCATCATTGTAGGAATTTGTTTATTGCTTTTTGAAGCTGGAGAATTACAGGCCCTCTCTCTTTTATTTTACTTTTAAGAGTCAGCTTTGTGTTTGCAGTGTCAAAATTTACATTTTAAGGAGATAGGTAGGGAAAGCAGAGAAACAAAAACCTGCATCTTAGAGAACTTTTGTCTTCTTGGCTGTGAAATTCACAGTGAAAAGAATACCACACTAATGTTTCTGTTCATTTCCAGGAACTTTCAAGGCAGGATTTTAACAATGCCCCATTTTTCTTACTTTCTTTCCTTTTTTTAAAACATGGAAGTATCTGATAGTGGGGTTAATTATTCCATTCTATTGAGTGAACATTCAGAACCAATGCCTGGATAAATGTCACAGTGTTTCCTAACAGAGAAATCTTCTGTATTTCAGTGGGTTAGGGTGACCAGGTTTGCTGCAGAGGCTGTGCAGTGAATAAGGGTGTTGCTTCTAAAGGACAACATTTATACCTCTGACAGCATTAATTTCTATTTTTATAACAACAGTTTTCCAGCTGGTGAAGATAATGTCTTGTCCTAACAAAATTAATACACAATTAATCCTTGAACAATGCAAGGTTTAGGTGTGTTAACTTCTTGCCCAGTTGAAAATTCTTGTAGAACTTTTGATTCCCCTAAAATTTAATTACTAATAGCCTACGATTGACTGGAAGCCTTACCAGTAATATAAACAGTCAATTAATACATATTTTGTATGTTATATGTATTATGTAGTGTATTCTTACAATAAAGTAAGCTAGAGAAAAGAACATGTTATAAAGAAAATCAAAAGGAAGAGAAAATACATTTACTATTCATTAAGTGGAAGTGGATCATCATAAGGGTCTTCATCCTCATTGTCTTCACGTTAAGTAGACTGAGGAGGAGGAGAAATGGGAGGGGTTGGTCTTGCTGGCTCAGGGGTGGCAGAGGCAGAAGAGATGGAGGAGATGGAAGGGGAGGCAGGAGACGCAGGCACATTTGGTGTAACTTATTGAAAAAAAAATTGAAGAAAATTTGTGCGTAAGTCGACCAACAGAGTTCAAACCTGTGTTCTCAAGGGTCAACTGTATTATGAAAATTTTCCAGTAGATGAAAGTAAAGTGTCTTATGGAAGAGAAACCTTTTTTCTAATTTGTACAGCTACAGGGATGATCATGCTTACAAAGGTGAAAACTGCTGGAAGCAGAGTAGATTTGGGGAAGAAATTTCTTGGGTTGCATTTTTCAACCGTTAAAGTTGTTCAACCATGAGGCCAAGAAAGCAATTGAATGTATTCAACTAAAAAGAGAGATTTAGGTTAGCAATATACATATAGGAAGAAACACTACCTACACAATGGTGACAATATAGTGATGGGTAAAATCATGAAAAGATGGAGTGTAGAGTTGTAAGAGAAGTTCTAGCATTGGAGGAAATCCAAAGTTTAACAGGGAATGGAGGAGGAATCAGCAAACAGACGAGGAAGGACAACAAGGGGTCCATAAGAAAGATGCAACCATGTGACTTCAGGGGAGCCGAGGAAGAGAGAGGCTCAGGAAGGGAGTCATCCTCAGTGTGGAAGTTGCTGAGAGAACAGGTTGGATGAGAAAGGCACAGGGTCCCCTGGACTCAGGAGGAGGAGGAAAGGCAAAATGCAGTTGCATGAGAAGTGACTGAGTGATGAACAAATGGCAGCTCTGAGACATTTAGCTGTGGAGGATGGTGATAGGGCAGTGACTGAAGAAGATAAAGGATGGGAGGAGTTTCTTTTTTACTAATGAGAAAGACTTAAGTGTTGGGGGACAGTTTTTCATGGGTCTCTCACACTCCTGTGCATCTTGCAAGCAGAGGCATTGACTGCCTTTGTTCAAAACTATATTTTCAGGAATGTTTGTATGGGGAATAGGCTTGGAAGATAGAGACAGTGTTTTCCTCCCATCAGGGGGTAGATTTGTTTACTGTCAGTCAACAAGATAATGTCTCCCTCTGGGGAAAATCTCAGGCAGGCTTTAGGGCTCACTATGAAAAACTGGTTTCCCTAAGCACAAGGCTCCTATAATGCACCTTGAAATGACCCCAGGTATTACTTGGCCCTTTTCACGTTATTTTATGGGCATTGGGGCTCAGTAAACCAATGTCAGTAGGCTGGTGCTTGTGCTGTTTGCTGTGAGTAATAAAATCCTTTGCCTCTGACCCAGGAGTCTTGTGTTTTCTCCCATCATCCATAAAATCATGGCAAGCTACTTGTTTGCTTGCAAGCAGAGTCAAATCTCAGGCTTTCACAGTTTTTCAGAGTAAGCATTGATGGTAAAAATCCTGTAGAAAGGGAGAGAAGGAATCATTATAATCAAGTTTTCTGAGATCAGTGAGGAGATGAGATTTAATGTATAGTTGGGAGTTTTCAAAAACAACCTCCAAAATCTAGAAGTCTTGGCATGATTCAGCCACACAGATTCTAGCTCTTTGATATATAGTCCTTTGCATATAACATTCTTCTGCTCTCAGCTAATGTGCTGCTGCTAATTTTAGCAAGTTTCAAAGCCAGAGCAAAAGACAAGAAAAATGTTGTGTGTTGTATTCTCCTCACAGGCTTATATTTGCAACATACTTTTTTGGATCCTGGTTATAAATAGGGTTTGTCATTTACTGATATTTTACATAAATAATTTTATCTCGACATCTTCGGTGAATGTGTGTGTCTGTGTGAAAGTGTGTGTGTCAGTGTATATGTGTGTCTGCATGTATACGAGTGTGTCTGTGTGTGTGCATGTGGTGTGTCCGTGTGAATGTGTCAGTGTGTCATGTGAATGTGTGTGTATGAGTGTGTGTGTAGCGTGTCTGTGTGAATGAGTGCGTGTCAATGTGTATGTGTGTCTGTATGAATGTGTATGTGTCAGTGTGTATGTGCGTCTATGTGTATGCAGGAGTGGGCCTGTGTGTGTGTGCATGTGTTGTGCATGTGTGTCTGTATGTGTACTTCATTTCTTTCTTCCATCCATTATATTATTGGGAAGAAGGCTTTCTTTCATAAATAGCACACTTGGCTTCTAAATTAACTCTTCATTGAGAGGAACATGAGCACCATGAAACACAAACCCAATCTAGGGAAACAATGGTGTTTCCTGCTCTTGTGTCTGTGGGACTGGCGAGTATCAGTGCATATTTTTTATTCTTTATAAAACTCCCAAATCAGAATACTCTGGTAATCCTGATTATTCACATTCATTCCCCCTTCTAAAATTTATTATTTCATTTGAACTGAAAAAGGCTGTCATTATTTTTTTTAATAAACTTAAATAAACAATTTTGGTTCTTACATGCTTTGCTTTTAATTTGGAATTTAAATAAAAAATTAAGAATATTTTAACCTAAAAAATATTTTTTAAGGATAAATATGCTTTAAGATAATAATTCTTCATATACATAGATAAAATAATTCCATGAATGTGTTTAAATAGAAGCCATTTTTTCTCTACTAGTTTCTTGGCCTGGGTTTCCCTCGTTCTCTCCTGAACCTTTCTCTGCAGTTACATGGCTGTTCTAATTGAGCGTGCTGTAAGCAAGCTGGCGTGCACACCTAATGCCATAAGCCAGGCAGCCTTTGCTTTCTTCCATTGTAATCTCAGTGGCACATTAGATTTTAAATTAACCTTGTGAAATTGTATCTCTCAAAGGCACTTTTTAAATTAAAAAAAATCATAGTCATAGTCACTGATATATGTAATATATATAATATATGGATAATAATATATGGATATATATCTTTTACAAGAAACACTTTAGTATTCACAAATTGAGTTCATATCAGTCCTTAAACAGATGTGGCAAATACAGACCTGATGTGACTGTGCTGAAATAAACACACGTGATAACTTATGTGGAGAGGGATGCTGATGGTTATAATGACCCTGCTGAAATCTATCCTCTGCATCTACATTTGCGGAATGGAAACTCCCAGCCATTTAACAAGCCACTTATGATAGCAGACCCTAAAACAGAAGATCTTAACTTTTTGTACCATGAGCTTTTTTTGTACTTAACTTCTGTGGTAGTCCTGTGAGGATGATGAACCCCTCCTCAAAGTATTTTAAAATGCATAAAATGAAATACATAGAATCACAAAGTATAGCAGGTACTGTTGGTGCTCTTCGCAAATCCACTTGGAGTCCCCGTACCATTTCTGTGTGCTCATTTCCCAGATTTTGTGTGTGCTGTATCCTGACCCAGACCTGTGAGTTTCTTCCGACGACTGCTCTTGGCCAGGTGGAGCTCTTTGCCCATAGACAGAAAGCTAGCAGTGACTGTGAGTTTATGGGTTCTGAGCTCCCTAAGCTAATAACTGACTGTGCCCAGAGTTCGAAACCCCAGTTCTGTTACCTCTGGTTGAAACATACTCTGAGTTCTAGTGTTCACTCCAGACCTCCCAGTGGAACCAGGCTGAAGCTGAGGCCTCACGGGAAGTCTGAACCTTGCTGTCCTCTTTCCTTCCCTCTCCTTCCCCACTCCTCCCGTTTCTCTTGGAAGCTCTGCGTTCATAAAACGCTTGCACATGAGCCCTCAACTCACAATCTTTTGTCTGGAAAACCTCACCTAAGATACAAAGGAAACTGGAAATTCACTGACAAAGTATTTTTTTTTTTAACTGTGACATAGTATGTGAATTTTTATTGACACAACAAATACCAGGATTCAGTGGTAAGTCTGATAATTACAATAATTTTGAAGCAGGGACGAACATAATTGATATTGTAAGACATCTGCAACAATAGTATTTCTAGTACTACAATGATTGCCCACATCCATAATAATAGGAAATACCAAATTTCAGTTACCATTAGTGAAAATAAAGATGTAATTTCTCCACCTGTTGTAGGCAACATAATAGCCCCTCAGAGACATCCATTCCTAATCATGGAAACTTATGATTCTATTTCATTACCTTACATGGCAAAGGGAAGTTGACCAATGTAGTTAAGTTAAAGATCTTGAAATAGGGAGGTAATTCTGGACCTAATGTAATCATAAGGGTCCTTATAAGAGGTAAAGAAGAGCATTAGAGTTAGAGAAAGAGATGCAATGATGGAAGCAGAGATTGGAGTGTTGCAGCCACAAGCCAAGGAATGCCAGTGGTCTGCAGAAGCTGGAAACAAGCAAAGAAGTGGCTTCCCCCGTGGATTCCCCAGAAGGATGCAGTGCTGCCCACACCTTGATGTCAGACTTCTGACTGCCAGGACTGGAAAGACAAACATTTGTGTGATTTTTAAGCCACAAAATTTGTGGTCGTTTGTAAAAAACAGCAGTAGGAAACTAAGACACCACCCGAGTTCATAGATCCCTGAATTCCATCCACTGCCCTTGACGGGTCATAGACTCCAGATTAAGAGCCCTTTCAGAGAGATTAATTCCTTGGGAAGGATCTCAGTTCCCTCAACTACAAAATAATGGTGGTTTGTCTTAATGATGAATATGGCCTAGCTTGCTGCTTGGGTCACTGGTTTCACTGTCATTCATGGCCTTTGTCAATCTGGCCCAGGGAAGTTTGGCACCTAGTACTAGAAATCGGAATGCCGAGACAAATTCCCCACACTCAACCCTACTCTCATCTCAAACTAGGGAACACAGATATTACCAGCCAGGGTTAGAACAGGCTGGAGGGATTCACAGTTAAGTCTTGGTGCACAGTAGCCGAATGACTGGGGACTATGGTAGGGTGGCCAAGGAGAGTGGCTGTGTGCCAGGGCTTGGGCAATGGCCCAAGTGATGCAGGAATTACTACTTGGGCAGAGACAGACCTCTTACTCATGAAACACATATTCAATCACTCAGTAATACAGACTTCTGTTCAAGGACCTTATACTATAATTGGAGAGAAAAGGCAAACACACAAGTAGGCAAAGTAAGGAATTTTGCACTGAGAGCCAAGCCCTGTAAAGGGTGCTATGGGATTTTAGAGGGGAAAATAAATCAATAAAGGATAATCATAGAAGGCTTCATGGAGGAGGTGGGACCAGGCAGGTAGTAGTTGCACAGCCAGAGAAAAGAACAAGGAAAAGTCTAGTAGATTATAAAACATAATGAGCCAAAACTTGGAGGTGAGAAGAGGGCCATGTGCTTATTTCAGCTAATTGTGCTGAATTAAAATAATTCAGGGTTGTTCCCAGTGCCGTGCGCTGCAGCTGTGGTGTGGTCTTTGCCCTCAAGGAGTCCGTGGTGGCAGAGGAGGACACACAGGACAGGAATATGCTGAGCCACATTCAATGAGAAAGATGTATGCACAGTGAAGCTTGATGATGGTGAGCTGCTTCTAGAAGCATGAGGTGGCATGGACAAGAGGGTCTTTGGAGAGAGGGCTGCTTAGGTGGGACAGCACAGTACGAACAAATAGGGTGGAAAGGCTGGCCTTGGAGCAGGGACTAGTGAGTATCAACAAGCAGCTCCATTCAGCACGTGCAGGTCTGACGGCCTGAGTCCCTTCCACCCCTACAAGTACAGGCAGGTGGAGGGAAGGCAAGCCAGAGAAACCCCCAGCACTCCGGGACTTGCTACTATACTTTATTAATCCTTTAGTACTTTCCTTAAATAGGTCAAATCCCTCATAACGCAGTCCATGGAGTTTATCGATTTTTGTGGTACAGGATTTTGCTGCATTACTTAAAATCCATTTCCAATTTATAAGCGCTCAATATAAAACTGCTGTTATTCAGCCTTTCATTATTGAATGATGAAGGGAAGAAAAGGCTTCAGAAAACCGAAGAAAGAAAGGAAGAAATTGCATGAATTTTTTAAACCATAGACCCTACAAACAAATCCTTTTTCCATCTCCATTTCCCAGGAATTTGGTAGATGGTTTGGGATGTCACGTTTTGCCTGTTGCTATTTCATTTTCCCGGAGAGCGTTTGACTCGGATGTTAGAGATAGTGGATAATTTATGCTTGGAAGAACATTGAAAAGGCCATGAGTAGCTCCATTTCATTCCTTCTCTGAAAGAACCAGTCCATTTAATAAGAAAGGGCCTGCTCCATCCATGTGAGGCAGGACAATCTTAAGTAGTTAGGGATTTTTCAATACAGAGAAGTTTTCCAAATGAGATCTAGTTAGCAATTGTTACGAGTGATCCTAGACAGCAGAAATGGCTAAACCGTTGGGGACCGCCCTGTCCTAGATGTGATAGTGGCCTGAATGTTCATTCCCCATATCTAGTCCCTCTCTAAATCCCCTGACACAGCACAACTGGGAAAGGCCGTCCCATGCAAGCTGTCTCTCGACTTCTTTTGGCCACATAAAAATGACTCTTGTGCCTGGAACAGTGCCTTTCCCAGAGATAATGAGCCCACACAGCCTGTGCCAGACTAATTGCCTTTGTGGGGATATCTTTCCCCATTGCAAGCTTAGTACATTCCCATTTGCTGTGCTCAAGTGTGTGCCTCACACGGCACCTGGCCAACCTCACTGCTGTATCTGTCCTCCACAAGGAGGGGATGGGGTCCTTCTGCTGAGGGATGAACAGGGTGTCTGTAGTCACATCTCTGCATGGGCTGCCTGGAGAGACTCACTAGCTGTAGGGAACCAGCACACAGTACTGAAGCTGGTCTCTTCCCTATGTAAGTGAAAGCATCACTCCAGACAGTGCTTGGCGACTCTGATACCAAGAAGCAATGTGCAAAAGTGTTTGGAGTACTTGCCTGGGTTTGGCACTGGTGCACAATGAAGGAGGCTTGGGGGCCAGGGCTTCAGCCCCTGGACAAGGTGGGAAGGTGGGATCAGCTCTATCTCTGAGGGGCTCAGAGACCTGAAGTGTCGATTGAGGAGCTTCAGTCCAAGAAGAGTGGCTCTCCACAAGGAGCTGGAAATAATGGGGGGCAGTGGAGTTGACCATCTCCTACCACCATGAGTGTGTGACCCCGGCAGTATCTGCCAGGAATTGCTGGCCCCAGCACATCTGTAGGGAGCAGCATTGGAGGGCTGAGGTGCTGTCTGCTGTGGATAGAGTTGTATCTTCCCAAATTCATATTTTGTCCTCCCTAAACCCCCAGGGAGTGTGTTGAAGACAGGACCTTTAAGGAGGTGACTGAGGTGAAATGAGGTAATAAGGATGGAGCCCTGCTCCCATAAACCTGGTGCCTTTAAAAGAAAAGGAAAAGATGCCAGAGTTCTCGCTCCACAATTTGAGAACTTAGTGAGGAGATCCGGGAGCCAGGAAGAGGCCCTCAGCAGAATCTGGGCACGCCATCACCCTGAGCTCAGACTTCCCGCCTCCAGGGCTGCGATGAAATATGTGTCTGTTCTTTAAGACCCCGACCTGTGGTATTTTGTTGCTGCTGTTCAAGCTGACTAATTCACGGTTTATCTCTCAGGCTGGTAGGGGCTGGTACTTAACATTTCAGGAGAAATGGGCCCCCAAATCCTCTGCTCAGCCCATGACCTGGGGCAACAGGTTACTGTGGGCTGGCTTATTGCCAGTTCAGAGGGGTGGAAATCACCCTGCCTCTCTAACACCGGCTGGTTTTCCAAGAGGTAGCAACAGCAGAGACTGTACTGGTTAGGGATTGCATCTAGCTAGGAATAATAGAAAATGTAGCTATTAATAGATTGGCTTGAACAAATTAGGGGTTTTATTTTTTTCACTGTAACAGGTAGTCCAGAGCTAGGCATTTCAAGGTTGGCATAGCAGGTCCATGATGCTGTGAGAGACTTGGGTTCTTTCTGTTATTCTGCGCAACTGCAATTAGCAGACAGCATGCTTATTACCTTGTAGTTTTCAAGATGACTTCTCTAGCTCTAGCATCAAGTTCCTGAACCTGGTCAGAAGAAGAGAAGGCCAACCAGCGTGTCAGCTGACACTGACCATCCCGTAGCAACTTCCACTTATATCCCATTGGCTCAGACTGTGCTCTTCCTACCTGAAGGCAGGCTGGGAGATTTGGTGCAACAAAATGTTCTGTTGGTAAGAAGAAGCAGAAGCAGAGAAGGACACTGGAAGGCAATGAGCACTTTCTGACACAGAGGATTCACAGAGCTGAAAGCAGGCAAACCAGAAACAAAGCCAAACCTCACCTATGCAGACCTGGCTACCAGAAGGGAGAAGACAAAGCAAAATACCTAGAATAGGGGCTGCTGTTGAAATTAAGGAGTCGACAAAGTCAGCAACGACTTTAACAATAACAACAAAAAGTAATAGGGGCAATTAAAGGAATTCAGTTAGATAAAGACGGGCTTTTCAGAGCTAAGACACATGATCTTTTAAAGCAGGGGTCCCCAACCCAGTACCAGTCTGTGGCCTATTAGGAACCTGGCCACACCTCAGGAGGTGAGTGGCTGGCGAGTGAGCATTACCACCTGAGCTCCGCCTCCTGTCAGATCACGGGTGGCATTAGATTCTCATAGGAGTGCAAATCCTGTTGTGAACTGCACATGCGAGGGATCTAGGTTGCTCACTCCTTATGAGAATCTAACTAATGCCTGAGGATCTGAGGTTGAACAGCTTCATTCCGAAACCACCCGCTCCCCAGGTCTGTGGAAACATTGTCTTCCACAGTATTGGTTCCTGGTGCCAAAAAGGCTGGGGACTGCCTAGGCGGGCGGATCACCTGAGGCTACTCTGGAGGCTGAGGCAGGAGAATCACTTGAACCCAGGAGATGGAGGTTGTGGTGAGCCGAGATCGCACCATTGCATTCCAGCCTGGACAACAAGAGTGAAACTCCGTCTCAAAAAAAATAAAAATAAAATAAATAAATAAATAAATAAATAAACAAATAAAGTTAATTTGGGCCAGGTGTGGTGGCTCACACCTATGATCCCAGCACTTTGGGAGGCCAAAGCGGGCTGATCACCTAAGGCCAAGAATTCGAGACCAGCCTGGCCAACATGGCAAAACCCCATGTCTACTAAAAGTACAAAACTTAGCCAGGAGTGGTGGCACACTCCTGTAATCCCAGAGACTCTGGAGGCTTAGGCAGGAGAACTGCTCGAACCCAGGAGGCAGAGGTTGCAGTGAGCAGAGATCATGCCGCTGTACTCCAGCCTGGGTGACAGACCAAAACTCATTCTCAAAAATAATGATAATAATAATTTGATAAAATGAAAGAGCACTCATTCTTGAGAACCAAATTAATTGCCTAAGTGGTTAAGTTGAAGAAAAATATCAAAGCCTAGACCCATGAAAATCATAATCAAAAAGGTAAATTCCTTGAAGGTCCTGGCTAGAACATCTAACCAAAAGAAAGATTTGGATCTGCTAATGAAAAGGGCTATCAAGTGCCAGATAGGATGAATTTCTTTGGAAATATTGAATTCTCAGAAGAAAAAAGTAAACCTTTAAAAACCAAGATCTAAGGAGAATAACTTACAAGGCAAATGGCCTTAAGTTGACACCAGGCTTCTTCTCTGCATGACTAAAAGCCTGAAGATAGTGGGTTAACATGTCTACACAGTGGAGACAAAAGGAAGACCACCACCACCTGTCACGGCAGGGTGTTTGCTGGTGTGAGGGGATTGTGAGGGGACATTGTGCATTGGATATCTCAGGCATATACTCAAGAAGGTACACCAATCACATCAACTCACTCTTCCACGGTCACGAGAAACCAGAAGTTGTGAAGATTGAGAGTTTAAAATAGCAATCAAAAGTAAACCTAGGAAAATCTTTAGAAACTTCTGTTGATCATGTAAATAAAAATAAAGTGAAAAATTCCCTATTGCTTCTGAAGCATTTTACAATAATCTGATTGCAGGGCCCTCAACTAAATCAATGGAACCATTTCTTCATATGCCAAGATAAGAATGCCAGGGAATCCCTGTGACAAACATTCAAACACAGAAATATGCCTTAATGTCTGCTGGTTAAAAGGGGCATATGGGGGAAATGCATATATAGAATTTAAAGTAGGTAGGTGATCTGAGGGGAAGGATGTAGACTCTGTTACAGGTTTGTCTGCTAGTGTCCGCCAAAGCCCTGGCCCGTGTGAAGCTGTGTGATGGGGGAAAGAAGGGAAATGTTGAGGGGCAGGGAAATGTAGGGGGTTGGTGGCAGCTCCTGAGCCTGGGGGGAGGTTTTGGAGGTCCTTCTTGGGGATTATATGTAGTCATGGTGTTGAGAAGTCATTTCTTTTAGAACTTCCGTTTTGAAAAACTAAATGAAAGGGAAATGGAGAGAAAGGGAGGTGAAGGGAAGGTAGAGGAGAAGAAAGAAGTCCAGGTTGGGAAGTCAGAATGGGCTGATTATGAATGGGACCAGGTGGCATGTTTTATGCCCACAACACTGACAGTGCTAGTTGGGGGTCTTCTGTTGCAGGGGTCCAGTTGATGGCTCATGTACAAGGTTTACATGATTATGGGACAATCATTTATCTGAAAGCCAAAGAGATGGACCTAATAACTCAAACAGAAAGGGACTACAGTTTTCCAGAGAACAAAGCAAATGACAATAAATAGATAGGTATTGGACTTGATGATGAAAAACAGGAACAAGTTGTGCAGAAACAACAGTAACCTTTAGAAGAGCAGGGCCACAGGTGGGCTCTGCCATCTGGAAGAAATGCAGGTGAGTAGTCTGAAGAGAAAATTTTGGGCTAAATAGTCTGAGCAGTAGGTGCCTTGGCACCTGTCACCACACCTGTGCACTGAGTCCTGGTGCAGTCACAAGCTTTTACTGTGCTGCCTTACTCACATCCTCTTAGGTCAAGACCCTTTCACATGCCAGTGAGTGTTCCCTTAACCCAATAAGCCCCTCTTCCAACATACTGTTAAGCTACAGCCATGGTTTCCTGGTAATAAAGATAAACTCTACCTAACTCTTGGTTAGCATCTTAGTCCCCGCTAGATATGGAATCCTCTCTCAAGCCAAACCTTACCTCCCTGTGAGGCTGGACTCCACCTCTGACCATCTTTCCCAGCCTACTTTTTGCCTGAAGTGCATGTCTCCTGCAGTGCAACCATAGCTATCTGAATATCATCCCCACTTTATTGACTTGTTATTTCAACAAATATGTATTGATTACCTACTAAGTTTTGGACACTCACAAGGCCAAATGCCAGGGATTTTGAGCTAGATGAGGTAAGGTCTCTGTCCTTACCAGAAAATGAGAGAACTCATTTTCTGGTGAGAAGGAGACAGTCACATCAGGAGATAACTCAATGTAATGTGGAAAGTAGATAAAGACAGGCACATGATAGAATGTGGGAAGTACACTGAATGTGGGAAATACAATGAGAGAGACAGGCACATGGTAGAATGTGAAGATGGATTAATGGTGCTTCATCCCACTTAGGGAAGGAGAATAGATAGTGGAGAACATACTGGCCTGAGTCTTAAAAACTGGATAAGCACTTTGTATATATAACAGGGAGGAAAGGCAGGTACTCCCCTAGAGGGGACAATATGAAACAGGCAAGGAGGGGAGCTATCACATGGTATGTATGGTGGGCTACACTTGTCTAATATTGACTGAAAGTACAACTTACAGGAACAGTACAGTGTCCGTATGCCGCCACATCCTTCCTACATTCAGGACAAACAACATTAAGTGGTCACAGCACCATTTCCTGCTGAGTCTGATTTTAGCCTCAAAATCCTTTGAAACACACAGCTCCAGGCAACCACAGCTAATTGGTCAGTATTAGCATACAAAAGGTAATTTATTTACCATAGTTTCTGTAAGCAACAGGGACTATTGAAGCTGAACTGTGACAGGGACACACATCTTTGTCTTCACTACACTGACTGCAAACTCATTGAGCCCGAATTCTGCATCAGATGCCAGAGTGCTGGTTCTCGGTCCACCCTGTGCTTTCTCCAGTCTGCTCTGTATATCAGGGAACAATATTCTCCATGTCTCTTTGCCTTTGTCTTTCAGGTAGGTTTTGCCAGTGGGAGGCATGTGCCAAAAATTGGAGGCAAGGAGATGGGGGAAGCTCTCACTCTGCCTTGTGGCATTTCTGGCCAAGTCCCCTGGTGGACCCAGGATCCCCTAGGCATGCTCTCCCTCTGTGGGCTCAGCTCCCACCAGACTGGCCTGCTGCAGTTCCAGCTTCGGGTGGGTGACCACCTCATTCCTTTGTCCCTGCAGCTGCAGGAGGGATGAACCTCTGGTTGACCTTACTATCCCTGTTTGTTTGTTTAGTCTTTCAGCAATTCCACTATCTTATTCCTGACCTGCAGAATTCAATTCCTTGTTTGAAGCACCTGGAGTGACTTTATTTTTCGGAATAAAGCCTTCACTGACTCAACTTGTGTCACTTCTACCCTGTCTGGACTCACTTTCCTTTCCCCACTCAGTAGCAGATGGTGCCCCATCATGCTTCAACACTGAGTTTATACTGTGTATGAAGTTAGGGACCTAGTAGAGGAGAGGTGGGTTAGGGATGAGGGGGTGACAGAGAAGAGACCTCTCCAACCCTGTCTGGACATTCCAGGTAGTCGCTCTGCACAGGGCCCCAGAAGAGTGCCTCAGTATCCCTGGCTGAAAGATTTTCTTCAGAAGAGAGGACCCTGCCACCCTCCTGCCCCCTGCTTGGGAAGTCTGAGTTCTGTGAATTAACAGGAAGAGCTAATGAAAATTTAGAATGTACTGAGGAAAGGACTTATGAATCCCAGAATTGACCCTTATTTCACAACCTTTTGGCGAAATGAGAGAATAGTGGCACCTGTGGTACCCATTCAGAATGGGAAGTTGTCTTATGTATCTCTCCCTCTGCACCTCCAGCCGCTTATTCCCTCAGAGTGAGAACGGTTCAGAGAAACAGGCAACAAAAAGGAATGGCCTTGATATTCCTCAAATCCACCTGAGAGTTTCTTTCCAGGTAAGCCACAGAAAGAACAGTAGCCTTCCTCTAGGATCGCTTTTCCTTCTGGGTCTCTGCAGGATTATCATTGAAAGATGGTAACTTAACAGGTTCTGAGGCCCCTCAAATTTTGTTCAGAAATATATAGAAATACGGTTTCTAAAAATATTCTCAATATACCTAACGGGATAAGGATGATGATGTCAGCTGAGTTTCATTTTAGGCAGCAGTAAGTAATTCTGCTTACCTCAGCTTTTGAGAACACATGATTCTTACCTGTAGATTCTCTTTTGAAATGATTATTCTTCACATAAAAATAAGTTTTTTCTCATTTTAGAAAGAGCACTCTTGTTTAATTAAACCTTCCTATTTACGCTCATTTTGTAAAATTTCTCTGGGATTTGGAGCTGGTCGTCTGTGGGAATTTAAATCCATGGGGAACAGCTTGTCAGAGTCTTGGTAACTTTATTAGTAAAGATCTTTCTCTCTTCCTTTTCCTGCTGACTAGGCATTAAGGCTTGATCTGAATCATCTGTTATTTTGAAACTGTACATAAGTACGGGGCTCTCAGATTCAGAGAAAAACATAGAGGAAGAAAACAAAAAATGACTCCTGTGGTACTATAAATAAGCAAACCTGTATTAAGTGAATAATTTTTATTTCTTTCTTGACGAAGGAATTCAACTGATTCTCCACGTCATTTAGTGACTTAATTGTCTTAATGACTCCAGGGACTCCTGTGTGGCTCTGCCTCATATTAACTCATGGAATCTATGTTTCTTGCTCTGTTTTTATTGGGAAAGCTGGCTGTCTTTTTGAATAAATGTAGATTGTTCTTTCTTTTATGTGGTTGTTTTATGAAGGTGTTAAAAATGCCACTCTAAAAGACGGGACTGGCAAATTGTTTAGTTAAATTGTGCGTGGCAGATGCCTATGAATTCTTCACAGCTATTATAGTTTCCCTGTAATGTGCCATCATCCTGAATAGATTACACTTTAGATATTTTCAATGTTTATCCAAAATGATGCCACAACCTTATGTGGTCCACTTGGAAACACCCCCACTCCAAGCCCCAGCAGCAGCTCATGGAGTTTGATCAAATGCTTCCATGCACACTCTGATTTTATTACCCCTTCATTTCCTTGCACCAGACAGATAGGGAATTCAAGATGCACCTAAACAATGAGGGACATCCTTTATTCAGGTCTAAATGCTGTATTGATGTTATAGAATGACTGAATTAGCATCATTCCATTTTGTGTTTAGGGATATTAAATGTCATTGAGAGGAAATATATTTAAGAGGCAAAACCCTAAAACTTGAGGATTAAAGAAGAAAATTTTCAACACATTGGTGTTTTCACATGAGCATATGGAGATATAGCAATTTTAATAATGTTGCTGCTTTACTAAAAGCTTCTGTATTGAAGAATTTCTTGATTATGTAAGCAAATCTGATAACCCTCATCCCAGAGGGAAAAAACCATCATCACATATCATCAGGGCCTGGGATATTAGAGCTGACCCTACAGTCCTGGCCAAGTGTTCTGTCCTTTTTAACCACATACATGACAAATGACGGACTGCTGTGTAATATATTCCCTTGGGCAACCCAAAACTTCCAGCCTTTGATTCACTCTGCAGTTCAAAAACTTCTACCTAAATTCAAGTGATTGAGAAGGATACAATTTTGGAATATCCTTAAGCTCGTTTTAACCCATTATTTTTTAGTTTAACAAACCGCAGGGAAATTCACATAAAATTAATTATTTAAAGTGCACAATTCAGTGGTATTTAGTACATTCACAACATTGTACAACTACCACCTATTTTAAGTTCCATAACATTTTCATTGCTGATACGGTTTGGCTCTGTGTCCCCCTGCAAATCTCATCTCGAATTGTAATCCCCACATGTCAGGGGAAGGACCCAGTAGGAGGTAATTGGATCATAGAGGTGGTTTCCCCCAAGCTGTTCTCCTGATAGTGAGGGAGTTCTCACTATCAGAGAGCTGATGAGAGAGCTGATGGTTTTAAATGTGGCACTTCCTTCCTCTATCTCTCTCTCTCCTGCCGCCTTGTGAAGAAGGTGCCTGCTTTCCCTTCACCTTCCACCATGATAGTAAGTCTCCTGAGGCCTCCCCCGCCATGAGTAACTGTGAGTCAATTAGATCTCTTTTGTTTATAAATTACCCAGTCTCAGATAGTATCTTTATAGCAGTGTGAAAACGGACTAATGCAATCGCCCCAAAAGGAAACCCCATTAAACAGTTACTTGTTATTCTCACCTTTTCCCAAGCCTTGGCAACCATCATTCTTCTTTCAGTCTCCGTAGATTTACCTACTCTGGATATCTTATAAAAAATGAAATCACACAATATGTGACCTCTTGTGTCTGGCTTCTTTTACTTAGTATAGTGTTTTTGAAGTTTTTGCATATTGTAAGATGTATCAGTATTTCATTTATTTTTATAGGTGAATAACATTTCATTTATGTGTATGTCATATTTTGTTTATTCATTCATGTTTAATAGATTTAGGGTTGTTTCCACCTTTTGGCTTTTGTGAATAGTGTTACAATGAACATCCATGTACAAGTATTTTTTTAGTATCTGTTTTCATTTTCGGGAGTATTTACGTAGGAGTGGAATTGCTGGGCTATATGGTAATTCTATTATTTACTCTTTGGGAAACTGCCAGACTGTTTTCCATAGCAGTTGTACCATTTTGCATTTCCACCAGCAATGTCTGAAGGTTTCAGTTTCTTCATGTCCTCACCAACACTTGTTATTTCAATTTTTCTTTCTTCCTTTTTTTTGTTATTATAGTCATTCTAGTACGTTTGAAATGGAATCTCATTGAGGTTTTGATTTACATTTCCCTAATGGTTAATGATGTTGAGTATCTTCTCATGTGTTTTTGGGTACTTGCGTATCATTGCAAGATGTTTGTCCAAATTCTTTGCCCATTTTCTAATTGGGATACTTCTTTTCTGCTGAGTTGTAAGAGTTCTTTATACATTCTGGATACTAGATAGACCCTTAGCAGATGTTTACAAATATTTTCTCCCATTCTGTAGATTGTCTTTTAACTTGTTTGCTAATGTACCTTGGTAAACAAAAGTTTTTAATTTTGATGAAGTCCAACTTATCTATTTTTTGTTGCACTTGCTTTTGGTGCTACATTTAAGAATTCATTGCCAAATCTCAGGTTATGAAAATTCACTACTATGTTTTCTCCTAAGGGCTTTTTGGTTTTTATCACTTACAGGTAGATCATTAATATATTTTGTGGATATGCAGTTATACAGCTCTACTTGTTGAAGAGACAGTCTTCCCCATTAAATTGTCTTGGCATCCTTATTAAAAATCAATTAGCCATAGGTTTATGGGTTTATTTCTGTAGTCTCAATTCTATTTCATTGGTCTATATGTCTATCTTTATACCAGTACCATACTCTTTTTATCACTGTAACAGGTAGTTAGTTTTGAAATTGTTTTCAACTTTTTCATTTTCAAGATTGTTTTGGTTATTCTGGGTTCCTTGTAATTCTTTATGAATTTATGAATTTGAGAATTGGCTTTTCCATTTCTGCAAAAATAAACATTGGAATTTTAATAGAGATTGAATTGAATCTGTAGAACACTTTGAGTAGTATCATCATCTTAATAATCTTAAGTCTTTTGATCCATGAACATGGATGTCTACATATATTTAGGTCTTCTTTAATTTCTTTCAGCAATGTTTTATAGTTTTCAGTGTATAAGTCTTTTAACCCTTCGATTAAACTTATTCCTACGTATTTTACTCTTTTGGATGCTAATTGTAAGTAGAAGTAACTTAGTTTTTAAAAGGCAAATGAAGCTCAAATGTGATGCTTTATTATCAACACATTAACTACCATTTAGTTCAGCTTTGCCCCAGTAATTCTACTATGTTGTCATTGAGGTAGAAATCTTAATCCTCTCACCCTTCATTATTATTAAGCTTTTGCTTCCACAATTCTTTATAGTGCACAGTTTTAACTAAAGGTGACAATTAATATAAATTTATTTATTTTTACCTTCAGAAACTATTCATGCCATGCCAAATATATGTTATATGTGACTGCATATGAACACATAGCACAAATACTATAATGTAGTGTCTGACTATTTTAGGATGAGGCAGTTCTACATGAGCCAGTGATTCTGTTATACAGTATTAGACATTTTTTGTAAGTGAGCAGTCATTGAAAACTTGTTCTTTAAAAGCATTAATAATTATCTATTGTTTTGCTGAGATTTAAAAAAATAATGAGCACCAAAACTTACTGCCTGTCTGCAAACTAATCAAATCTAGTTTGGTTGGGAATAGAGTGAGATGTTGTTCAGAGAAATTTAGAAAACTCTTGTTATTTCCTATAGAAGTAGAGTTTTAGGATTCTTTCATGGATGTCTCAAGGTCCTTTAATGGCTTATTAGGAGAAAAGGATGCAGAAGAGAATGATCTCTAAATTGTTAGGAGTAATAGAAAAAGGCTTTCCTAGTTCCGAGTCCATGGGAAGACTTGGTTAGTGTATTGTTTCATAGAACCTTAGCCTGGTTGTTTTACTTATGTAGCTACAGGTCATGGTAATTAATTACACTCCAAGATAATTAGCATCTAGGTGGGCAGAGTTTCTGTGACATAAAGAGAGACAAAAACTTTTTTTTTTTTTTTTGAAACAGAGTCTTACTGTCTCCCAGGCTGGAGTACAATGTTGCAGTCTCGGCTCACTGCAACCTCTGCCTCCCAGGTTCAAGTGATTCTCCTGCCTCAGTCTCCCGAGTAGCTGGACTTACAGGTGCCTGCCACAATGGCTGGCTAATTTTTGTATTTTTAGCAGAGACAGGGTTTCACCACATTGGCAAGGCTGGTCTTGAACTCCTGACCTCCGGTGATCCACCCACCTCAGCTTCCCAAAGTTCTGGGATTACAGGTGTGAGCCACCACGCCCAGCTGACAAAAACATTTTTTCCACTAAATCTGTAACATTCAAAGCTACAGAGTTGGGGAAATAATCCATTTCTCTTATTTATGCTGAGGGACTTATGAACTGTTGAATAGTTTGTAAAACAAAAACCCAATATGGGCACAGTGGTCCCCGCTTATCTATGGTTTCATTTTCTATGCTTTCAGTTACCCTCAGTCAATTGTGGTTTAAAAATGTTTTAAATGAAAAAATCCCAGAAATAAGCAACTCACAAGTTTTAAATTGTGCACCATTCTGAGTAACATGGTGAAATCTCACGCTGTCTCACTTAGGACATGAATCATCCTTTGTCCAGCGTATCAAACTATCTAAGCTACCTGCCCACTAGTCACTTAGTAGCCATCTCACCTATCAGGTCAATCAACTGTCATAGTATCACAATGCTTGCATTCAAGTATCTCTTATTGTACTTAATAATGGCCCCAAAGTGGAAGAGTTGTGATGCTGGCATACTGTTATAATTGCTCTATTTTCTTATTAGCTATTGTTAATCTATTACCATGCCTAATATATAAATCAAACTTTATCATGGGTATGTATGTATAGAAAAAAACATATGTAGTATATATGTCCATATACTATACTATGACATATATATATATGCATGTGTGTGTGTATATATATATACACCTGAAACCCTATATATAATATAGGGTTCAGTACTATTCACGGTTTCAGGCATCTGCTGAGGGTCTTGGAATGTATCCCTCATAGATAAAGGGGGACTACTGTATAGCCTTTCTGACTCATGATTAAATTTCATTAACTATTGCTGAGATTATGTTCAAAGAAATGGTATAAGGTTTTTAAATTAACTAGGTCTCATAATCTCATCTGTAAACTACAGATCTTACTCACCTTTACTATTCAATGAAAACCTGTATTTGGGGATAAAAGGACTATCTATGATTTCTATTTTTTTTCTTTTGAGCCATTAACAAAAATCTTAAAACTTTACTAACAGGATTTAAATGATATACATTCAGGTTGGGAAAACCAAGAAGACTGCTCCTCAGAAAAGGGAATACCACATCCTCCTCATGGTCATTAGTCAAGTCATCTGACTTCTCATTTTGGGGATGGTCTATGGAGTGTTGGCTTACTTGCTACATATGGGCCACCTGGAATGGTGTCACCAGTCATAAGTACTATACCATTCATTTTGACAAGAAGACCCTGTGTATAACCCAATTATCTACATACTGATAAGCGAACAAAGAAGGCCCTGTGTTCTACACTTCCTGTAACTTAGCGGAATTCAATCTCTCAACCAAGTCATGTACATTAAAAAGTTACCTATGTTTCACTAGGGAATAGAGTCTTTTTACCAGGCCTGTGGAATTAGGAAGTCAATAAGATAATAAAAATCATCATCAGGTTTTCCTGTTTGGTTTAAATAGAAGAGACAAGCGTACTATTTCTAAGAATATGTTGACCAAAATCCTGTAGCCATTGCTTCCCCAGGCTACACTGACTGATGCTGTTATCAGTCCTTGTGGATTACGGTGGACTGCCTGTCATCAGCATTGCTCACTAATATTTCCTGTTCTCCTTCTGCGAACATGGAAGGATTAAACTTTCCTCTCTCCTAAAACTTAGGTTTGGTCATGTAACTAGTCTTGGTCAATGAATGTGAAAACTGATGTGTGGCACTTCTGGGTGGAAGCTTTAAAAAGAGCTAGCACAGAATTAGCCACATTCCCCATTCCATGCTCTGTTGATTACAGAAGTACCTCTGTCAAGAAAGCCTCTGTTGAGAGGAGAGAGCTGTGGACATGGGGCTGGGATAAAAACATAGCTGTCACCATTTCTGTGAAGGGATTAGGATTCCTGAAGGCCTGGATATTCTTATGTAGGACATGGAATTTTGCCTCTGGAACTCATTTTTTTTCCAAGTGCAAAATTGAATTGGTTAAGTTCTTAATATTTCTAGAAATACAGCACCACATTGATGACAAACTATCAACCAGCCTGTTCAATAACACTGACAATATATCAAGCACATGTACTAAGTTCATAAAATTACTGCTAATATAAGTTACAGAGAAAAATCAACTCTCTCAAAACGTTCCTATAAAAGCAGAAAATATGTCTTATTAAGCATGTGTATTTTAAAAATATTCATTAGGGAAGTTTTAATAAGTCAGAAATTAACTTAAATGGGGCACTTAGAAACTTTATTAAAGCTGATGTTCAAAATGTACACTATAATTTGTTTCAAAATTTCAGAGTAAGTTGATGAAAAGACAAAATTTGGGGACACTATAAAAATAATGGAATAAGATATATAGATATGCATATGCATATATTATATGCACACATATATACACATAAACACATGTATATGTGTGTGCATGTGTGTGTCTATGTGTGTATGTATAGAAATATATTTATACACATACATATTTTCTCACACATGGACATTCTTGTACTTCCTCCTGAGCAACAGAACTATTTATCATTTTCTGCTCTTTTAAAATTTTGACATTTGGTTATCATCTGTGATACCTTGATAAATAATTTCTCAAGTTTTTTTGTCCATATGAAAACTTCTGAAACGCATCTTTTGAGTTCTTGGGTTTGACAAATTCTCCACTTTATTATGATAATGGTTTGAAAACATCAGAGGGCAACCGTGGGTCAACCAGAGCTGTGTTATGTTTTCTCTTGGTATAACCATTTATAGTTTTCAAAATGCTTTGAAATAAATCTTGCTATGTAATACACGTGTATGTCTTTGTATATTCACACATACACATTTAAATGATTTTACTAGCTATGAAATTCAAGTGTCTCTTATTTTAATAATTAAATAAAACATATTTGAGCACTATTTAATACACTCAGGGTACTATGAAAGGTATTGTGGGGAATAAAAATTATTAACATTTATAACCCTCAAGAAACTATTTGATAATTCAAAGTGTTTGGTGAAAAGTGAGTAATAAAGATGTATGGGATGTCACGTTTTAAAATAGTCTTTTGGATCTTGAAATGAAAGCCATTTAAAACTTCATGATTAAAGGTGAAATTGGCTATGTAAAATCAATTGTGAAATAAAACAGGGAAGTACGTAGGCAATCTAGGATTTTATGCTACCATTACCTCTGCCTCCTACTCTGTCCACGCCCTTGCTTCTTCCTCTCTACACTGGTATAGAAAAGGAGTCTCTCAAAAGTATAGAAATTGAGAGAAATTCAGCAAGAATTTGCTATCTGAAAATGCTTTGTAACTGAGATTGACTGTTTAAGACTTTTTAAAATTGATTTTTAGTATGTTTTCTCTCAGGCCTTTTTACATCTCCCTTCTGGCCATGGTGTGATATGAATTTAAATCAAAGCTCAATTTAGGATAAAGTGAATTAGAATAATTTAAATTTTAATTTGTTCAATAAAGGCTTATTTTTGGGTGTCATTTCACTTATCTGATTCCTTGCTGTAGACAATGGGATATTTTGACTTTAATTACATACACATACTTAGGGCACCAAATTGTCATTAAAGTGGGCCTGTTAAACAGTTGCTCTAATGATGTCACTCCTTTGTATAAACCCTTCTGTGTTCCTTGTTTGGGGCTGATTTTTTTTTTTTTTTTTTTAAGACAGGGTCTTTCTCTGTCCCCCAGGCTGGAGGGCAGTGGTACAATCATAGCTCACTAAAGCCTTGGATTTCTGGGCTCAAGCAGTCCTCTCTCCTCAGCCTCCCAAGTATCTAGGACTACAGGTACGTGCCATCATACCTAGCTAATTTTTTTAAAAAAAATTTTGTAGAGTTGGGGTCTTGCTATATTGCCCAGGCTAGTCTTGAACTCCTGGCCTCAAGTGGTCCTCCCACATTAGCCTTCCAAAACACTGGGATTACTGGTGTGAGCCACTGTATCTGGCCTGAATTTTATCCCCAACAAAATTTATATGTTGAAATCCTAATCTCCAGTAACTCAGAATGTGACTATCTGCAGACAGGGTCTCTAAAGTGGTAATTAAGTTGAAATGAAGTCTTTAGGACGGGCCCTAATCTAATCTGACTGGCATCTTTATAAGAAGAGGAGATTAGGACACACAGACCCACAGAGAGGAAGGACCGTGTGAAGACAACGGGGAGAGGGTGGCATTTACAAGCCAAGGAGAGAGAGCTCAGGAAAAACTAGCCTTGCCAACAGCCTGATTGCAGACTTCCATCCTCCGGAACTGAAAGAAAATAAATGTCTGTTGTTTAAGCCACCTAGTCCGTGGCACTTTGTTATGGCAGCGCTGAGAAACTAGTACATTCCTTTTACATTTAGGAAAAAATCAACAGAGCCATCCATGAATTGACCTCTGCCCAACACTCACTTCATTTTCCTTGACTGCTCTTTTCCTAAGCTTGCTGTAGCCACTTCAAACATCCCGTAGTTCCCTGACACAGTGTGTGAAATATTCCTGGGCCTTTGCATATGTTGTGCCCTCTGCTTGAAGAAATGCTCTTATTTTTCTAGTGCAATGCATGTTGCATTTCACCTTCTTGGGGATGCTCCTTGCAACCCCAGCCTTGTGCTGATCACTCTTCTCAACTATTCTCAAATCTTGTAGGTACATGTAGTACTCAATTATTCTGTAGTCTGAACTCTTGAAAGGCAATAGCGTCCATTCTTGGGATCTATGAGATGAATAATAAATGTTTGATGTGTGGATTACACACATATCATACATAGACTATGAAAACATTTTCATGGCAAAAGACAATTTTCTAACATTCTTAGATTGGGCCTGATTTGGTTGTGTGTGAGCTCAGAATACCAGATAATTTATGCAATTATTAGGCCAAGCAATGTTATCAAACTACTTCAAACAGTTGTGGTAAGAAAAACAAGTTGTTTTTAGAGAAGTGTTTCATTTTTGAGGCGTGCTCAGAGTAAAGAGAAATTACTTGGCACATTAGTCAGGATTCTTGGTTGCAAGTGATAGAAATTGACTGGTAGTTAATCAGAGAAGGAAGGATGCTGAGTAGTTTACAGCAGCAGTGAGAAGGCTCAAAAGCCCGTCTGAGAGAAGCAGGAGACCAGGCAGCCGGACCGAGCTGAGCTCCCTGCCGAGAGCAGTCTGGTGCAGATTTCATCAGGGCTCACATCTCAGCTGTCTCAGAGGCTCACCCAAAAAGCAGGATTTGAGTCCTGGGTAAGAGCATCAGATTACTCCAGCCTTGGCTACCTGCCCACAGCCCAGGTTGCTGGCAGGCTAGGGGTGAGAGGAAGCATCTGGTCTCTCTGCTTCTGGCCTGGGAGGGAGGGCTCTGCCTCCCATAAAGCCTGGTAATGAGGCACTCCTTCAAAACTGGAAGAGCCTTTGAATCAAGGTAGCGGCCCTCCTCTAAAGAAAATGTGAAATATTTCTACATCCCCTCCCTTTGACCACTCAACACCTATGTAAACCTTTCTTCAATCCTATGGAAGAAAGTACTCTTGCCTAAAATAATATAGTCCTTTCTTGTATGATTAAAAGTACAGCACTCCTCAGTGGAATATAATCCAAGTTGTAGTCATTTACTTCAACCACTCCACGTTCCTTGAGTAATACACAGTCTTCTAGAGCAATTGCAGTGCCCTCTCAATATCCTGCAACCTATGCTCTCAGTTTCAGTGTTAGTACTACCAGGACTTATTGTACACCTATATACAATATGGGAAAGAAAAGATCACTAAAAAAATTATGAACATAGCATGACCCAGCATGGAAGGCAACGTCAATGGAGACTGCATTCCCCATAATGTATTCTATGTTCCTTCTGCCTTCTGCCAATAACTAAGTTGTTGTTTACCCATTGGGATAACTCAACTTTTCATTACCAATGAATATCAACCCTTGGCATTCTAGCCCATATACAGTGATAGCATTGGGCGTGGTTGCATAAGGACCTGGGAGAATCACCTGGGCTCCATTCACTTGCCTTCCTGTTGCCATTGTGTAAAAAACTTCAGTATTTCCTTCATAGTGAGGACCTATGCCCCCCAAACACTACAACTTCTCCTCTTTACTTTTTTCTTTTCTTTTTCTTTGTGCCAAATGGCCTGAAAACATAAATGGCCAAGCAGTTGAAGACATTGTTGTGATCCTTAATAGGAGGGTTTCTTCCATAGCTAGTAAACCTCCAAACAAGAAAAACACTGAAGTACAAGGACTGGAAATACAAATGTTTCATTAGGCTATAGGTCTAATCATGAGGCATGCCACCTTTATTCTTACCTTTAGATCCATGTATTTTGGCCAAGGGTGAGAAAGCACCACATACTGACTGCTGGTTCAGTGGACATATTGCATCCACAGGACAGCATCCCAGCCTCACAAGATGCTCTTCTCCCAGCTGGGGTCAAAACTGAGTTTTTAATATGTATTTAAGAATATATATGCTGCCTATATCTGGAGGATAGTACACCTGATAAATCCTGTGAAAACCACAAACATTAAGGTAGTTGTTTTTATAAAATTAATTATTTGTCAGAAGCAATGTAATGTGGGGCAACATGACAACGTATAAGATGTTTAGAAAGTCTGGGACGTAGTGATGCTGAAAGTAGCATGAATGCAAACTGAAGCACAAAGTTCATCTTAATTCCAGTGAAGCAGATCGCTGTGCTTCTATGACGGAAGATGCTTGGTGCAGTCACTGTGCTACCAAGAAGCTGGCTGTTCCTAGGGTATGGTAAATATTAAAATCTCAATTTGGTGAATGGTGCCAGCCGCTTGGGCACTATGCAGAGGGGATGGCAAAGCAAGTTGTGGAGAATTGCTTTTGACCCATTTCGTCACCTCCTTTCCGACAGTTTGGCCACTCTCTAGAATACCACCACGCAAGAGATTGGCTGGTTGGAGGAGGATGCTGACCCACAGTGACAGAGTAGGACATCTCATCCAGCCTGGGAGCAGCCGCAGAGAATGCAGATATTCTGCTACTCTTGCACCATTCTGAAAAGACAATCCATATCCTCTTTTCCACGCTTTTTGTCTCCAGGTCCACTCTGTTGCTTCTAAATCCCTTGCTATTTGGCCAAAGCACTGAGCTGGAATGAACTGTGCACCCCTATCTCTAGCCACCCCTCATTCCAGGAAATGTGGGGAATGAAATATGTGGCTTGAAGTTCTGCTTACCACAGGGAGGTTCCTCCTCCACTGTCCTTTAGTGCCACTGCTGAGCTGTGATGCCATGCAGAGTCATCTGTTTCTTCCTAATGAATTGTTCCTCAGGAATGTACCCTGAAGATAAAAGTGAAGCTTGAAGAAAAAGGAACAAGGTGGTGGGATGAGGCTCTCTGAGATTGGGTGCTGCAGGCTTGCTAGACAATGGGGTGCAAAGCTTCTCTAAGATGAAACTGACAATTCCCAGGTCAGCAAGGGCTGCTCAAGTCACACAGATGCCTGGTGTATCAATTAGGGATGCTTCAGGATGCAAACAACAGAGTATACAACTCATAGTGACTTCAGCACATAGGGCTTTGCTTTTCTCTTGTACTCTTGTAGAAATAAGTCGGAGGGGATGCAGGCTCAGTGACCCAGGACCAGCACCTTTGCAGTTATCTTTGCAGGGACTTCTGCTTTGGTCTTATTGGCCCAAAATCTGTGACCTGTGGCATCCTACCCCACCCTCATCTACAGAAGTGGAGGAATATTTGATAATATAGCTCCTCCAGTCCTGCTAATGTTACAGACATGGGGATAAGGGTTTGAGCACATAGGAATTGGTTTGACAGCCAACAGCGTCTACAGCACCTGGTGATATAGTCAGATGCTGAGTCTCCACAGAGCCTAGTTACAAACTAAGAAATGTTTTCTCAAAGGGAAGGTAATTCCTGATGGAATGCAGAGGCTCTCATTCTCCACTTGGGCTCACTGCGGGCTTCAGACAGCAGCCAAGCTGTTTGGGTACTTTGCCCTTAGTTGGCTCTGCCAGTTTGTAAGTTGATGAACCCAGCTTCTTTTACTGCAGCTGCATCACTTGAAAAACTGATTTTTCCTCTGGGTACCAATCAAAACTGGAAGTAATTTGAAAAAACAGTAAGTGAATCAAAATGGGCCCCCCAAAAGTTATGGAATATATATATCCAAAGTCCAACGTGTTGTCTTCTTGGAGGTGGGGAGCTCTAGGTTTAGCAGCTTGTCCTTTGTCTCCTTTGTCTGGGAGGGGTATCCCGATGTGCCCCAGGACACTAGACCCCAGTGCTTTATCAGGGTGAGCCCTGCATGTTCATGGTGCTTATCTCCCTCCCTCTGGCAGTTTGCCTTTCCCAGTGATTTAGGGTGTGCACCACTTCCTACTGGTTAGAGCCAGAGTGCGATTTCATCACTGTAACAGGTTCACGGACTTCTCAGTTTTCCTTTCTACTCAGTGGGTCTAGTAGCCAATATGGGAGTTATCCCAGTTACTGAAAATTACAATTCCAAGTATGCATATTCTCCTAGGAGAATAGGAACCTGAAACTAGGAACTAGGAGAATAATCTTAGGAGCTATGATTGACGTTTCAACAACTGCCAAGGGAACTCGGTCTATACTGCACATATTTACTAATCTCCGTGACACCCCTACTCTGACCCATGGATAGCAGCAGTGATCTAGGTCTCAGCAATCAGCAATTTTCTTACAACTTTAATGAGACACATTTTACGCATCATATAATTTACCCACTTCAAGTGTGCAATTCAATGAACAGTAAATTTACCAAGTTGTGCAGCCATCACTATTAATCAGTTTTAGAACATTTTCAACAGTCCAATAAAGTCTCTCTGGCACACAGGTAAAAGAGGTCTTATTGAACTGATAGAAATATTATTAAACAGACTTTGAAAAAAATTGTGAAATAATCGCGCTATATTCCATTGTCGTAATCTACTTAACCGGGACTACCACTTAGATTGTTTAATATCTTGTACAATGTACATAAAGATATGATGAACTTCACAGGTGGTAAATATTTTCATGCATTTCTCAACATATACCTAGGATAAATTTCTAAAAGTGGAATTAGTAGACTAATATTTTTAAATGAAAAGAAAATTCAGAAATTATAAAAAATTACCAGAGTCTGAATGAAGATAAAAATAGTGAAAGGGCCTTTTGTAACTCTGCAGTTGGCAAAAATGTCAGGGGAACAATTATTTCCAGTGACAGCTGACACCTACTGTGATAAAGAAGATGCAGCCTTGTCTCCGTAGGCCCGAAAGTGTCCCTAGGCAGTCCTGGGAGCTTCCCTCTGTGCCTTTACCTCTGCTGCCAGAAAAGTAATTCCTTAGAAACTGCCCGTTAAAATTTAAAATCTGAGTGTTCCTGAAATCTTACAGCCAAAAGTCACAAAAATGATCTCAGGTCTGGGCCCAAATAGGCAGCTGTGATGCCTTTTCCTTGACTCTTTATTTTTCCCCCTGTGGTGTGTGTATAGTATTCTGTTTTCAGAAGGCTAGGCCATAGAGACTCTCACTTGAGCTGCTTTGAGTTGGATGTGGCCACACTGGGGGCAAAGAGCAGCACTCCAGTGTGTAAGGAAAACATTCATCAGAGCCCTCTCTCACCTGTCAGAGCCCTCACGTTAGTAAATCTGAGAAAAAATACTTCAGTTTCTCACTGTGAGTCAAGGAAGCACCAGGGCTGGAATTGAGATGGTGCAATTCGCAAGTTGCCTCCAAACTACTAATTTATCATCCTCATTTTACAACATTTTGCCACCACCACACCCAAGGGAATAGCTTTGACAAGCCTTCAATTCTTCTATTCTAAAAGAACTAAATCCATAGCATGCACATGCGTGCGCGCGCACACACACACAAATTTAAATGACATTTATTATTTCAATAGGCATTTTTCTTGTACTTTACGATTTTCCAGAAAATTCTTAACTAGCCTCTAAATAGTTTTGCACTCAAGGCAATAAATTCTCAGTGTTGAATGATTCCAACCAGGTTTCGCTGAGTACAAGTGTCTTGGTTTACCTCTTCCTTATTTAAGAAGTGGGAGAACAACCTTTCCTTTTCCAGGCTTTTGAAGGAGTCACAGAAGTTCTGGGAATTGAAGGAGTTCGAATATGTCCCCACAAGGGTACTTCAGAGGACCTGGAGATATCTGGTTCCCAGCCTCACAAGCAGCATCACCATGATCTGCAAGCTGAACTCAGGCTCCACCCAGGCTCTGGGTCGTAAGCCTCCTTTTGCTTCCTATTACTCATTGATAGATGATCAATACAAATGACAAAGGACAAAGCTAGAATGAGCCTGTGATATCAAGAGGCATTGGTATGAACACATGGTATTTTTAATACATTTATAAAAATGTAAAAAATAATAGGATAGCTTATTTTACATTATGTTACTTTACTATTTATTATTTTGCTTTACATTATAATTAAAATACATGTGTCTCCATAAAGAGGAACAACAGACACTGTGGTCTACTGGAGGGTGAAGCATGGGAGGAGGGAGAAGATCAGGAAAAATAACTAATGGGTACTAGGCTTAATACTTGGGTGATAAAATAATCTGTACAACAAACTCCCATGACATCAGTTTACCTGTATAACAAACCTGCACATGTACCTCTGAACTTAAAATAAAACTTAAAAATAACAATAATGATAAATGCATCTCAAGAGAATGAGAAGACAGTCCATGAACTTGGAGAAAATATTTGCAAAAGACACATCTGATAAAAGACTGTTTTCCAAAATAAAGAACTCCTAAAGCTCAACAATAAGAAAACAAACAATCTGATTGAAAAATAGTCAAAAGACCTAAATAGACACCTCACCAAAGAAGATATACAGATGGCAAATAAGTATATGAAAAGATGCTCAACATCATATCTCATTAGAAAGTTGCAAATTAAAACAGCAATGAAATAACACTACCCACCTACTAGAATGTCCAAAATACAGGACACTGACAACAGCAAATGCTGGTGAGTATGTGGAGCAACAGGAACTCTCATTCATTGTTGGTGGGAAGGCAAAATGGTGCAGCCACTTTGGAAAGTAGTTTGGCAGTTTCTTTCAAAAGTAAACATACTCTTACCATATGACCCAGAAATTATGCTCCTTGATATTTACCCAAGTAAACTGAAAACTTATGTCCACACAAAAACCTTTCCCAGTGATTTAGGGTTTGCACAACTTCCTACTTGGAATATTTTTATAGACACTTTATTCATAATGGCCTAGAGAGAGGAAGCAACAATCCAAAACTTGAAAGAAACCAAGATGTCCTTCAGTAGGTAAATAGGTAAATCATGGAATATCCAAACAATGAAGTATTACTCAGTGCTAAAACAAGATGAGCTATCAAACCATGAAAAAGTGTGGAGAAACCCTAAATGCATATTACTAAGTGAAAGAAGCCAACCCGAAAAGGCTATGCACTGTGTAATTCAACTATATGACATTAAGTAAAAGGAAAATGGAGACAGTAAAAAGATTCATGGTGGCCATTAAATTGGGAGAAGGAGAGATGAGAGATGAATAGACAGAGTACAGAGGATTTTCTGGGCAATGAAACTACTCTATATGACACTACGATGCTGGAAATTATACAGTTGTCAAAACCCATAGAATACAAAAGATTAAAACCGAACCCTAATGTAAACTATGGACTTTGAGTGATAATTATGTGTTAGTGTAGGTTCACTGCTTGTAACAAATGTACCGCTCTGGTGTGAGATGTAAATCGTGGGGAAAGTTGTGCATGTGTGGGGACAGGGCTATGTGAGAAATCTGTCGTTTTCACTCAATTTTGCTGTACTCCTAAAAGTGCTCTAGAAAATAAAGTCTATTAATAAATCAATAAAAATTGTGTATATACATAAATTAGTATATATACAGATATTTCCTAGTTCTTCCTAATGTTACTTAGAAGCAGGAACACCCCAGTAGCAACAAGCAATCCTAATGTCCAGGTCTTGGCTCCTAAATACAAACATTTTCTAATAAAGTAAACCAGGGCTCCTGGAAGAAATGCTTGATTCTAAGTGTGATGGACTAAGTGTTTTTGTGTCCCCTGCCTCAAAGTCCTATGTTGAAGCCCTAACCTCTAATTTAACGGTATTTTGTGATGTGGCTTTTTGGAGGTAATTAGTGTTAGATGAAGTCTCATATAAGAAGAGACACCAGAGAGTGCTCTCTCTCTTCACCATGTGAGCACACACCAAGATGGCAGTCTCCTACAAGCCAAGAGAGAGGCCTCAGAAGGAAGTCTTCCTTGTAGGCAGCTTGATCTTGAACTTCTTGCCACCAGAACTATGAGAAATACACTGCTATTGTTTAAGCCACTCATATATTATAGCATTTTGTTATGGCAGCCCAGCTGACTAATTCACCAAGGCTGTGACAGGAACAATCGAACAATCCAGGATGAGCCTGGAGCATCTTGTGGCAAGAGAAAGTAAATAAGTACTATTCAAAAAAAAAAAAAAAAAAAAAGAAGGAAAGAAAGAAAAAAGGAAAGTATATTAAAACGACACAAAACCTAATCTAAAGAGTTTATAATGGACAAAACTGGAACAATTTGAGCAATGAGCTAAAAGAAATAACTAATATATAAGATAAACATCTGTGAGTCTATATTACATAAATGATTTAATAGACAAACAAATGAGGGAAAGGGTGTAACTCTTCATTACAGGGGAGGCGCAGTTAATATGCGCAGGAGAAATGAGGGAAGTAGACAGTGACCATGAGGACACCGCAGTAATAGCTACTGTAGGTGCAGTCCATTGATGAATGCTAATGTTAGAGGACAAAAGTTTAAGGAGAACCAGAAATTTGCATAGCCTCAAAGCGTGTCCCCTCAAGTATTCACTATTTACAAAAGAAAAAATATTCAGAATATACTAACCGCTAAAGAAGACACATAGACAACAAATTAAGCATGCTGTAACTATTAATACTTATAAAAACTTAGCAAACCATAATGGTAGATAGGTGTAAAAGTAATTGCATTTTTTTCCATTAAAGGTAATGGCAAAAACTGCAATCACTTCGCACCAACCTAATATTTATATATCCTATAATTTTGGCTTTTTCAAAATCTTTTGACTTTGATTCTGAAATCTCAAGTAAATTAACTCAAATTGGGTATTAGTAAAGCGCAGTTTCGAGTCTGTGAAGATCTAATGGAACAGGCCTCTACATACAAACACTCTGATAAGCTTACTGGGTCCTCCACTTGAGGTAATTGTCCAGGTAATTGTCTATTTCCCTAACAGGAAGCAGTATTCCACTAATAGGAAGCAGCTGGCCAGTTGTTCTCGTCACTTCCTTGCTCCCTGGACTTGTGGCTCCTTGCCCTCCCCATGCTCCCAAGCCCCCAGACCTCCTGGACAGCTTGTCATCTGTGAGCTTCCTCTGGTGTGTGTTTTCTCACGAGCCACAGGGAGAGGGACTGGAAGAAGCTTGCAGCTGTGGGACTGTGCAGAGCCCACCGTCAACCAGATTTGCACTAGTTAGGATTCCTGTGGTTGCAGAGTCCTAGATGGGTTTACAAGAAGGGCGAGGTAATAGGACCAGAGGGGTTGCTGAGCATCTAGACCATGTGGGCCAGGCTGCACTCAGGTTCCTCACCTCTGCTCTTCTCTATTTCATTTTGCAGGTTGGTGACCAAGTCTAGAATCATGGCTCATGCATATTTATATAATACATGTGCTTCTGTGATACATATTTATTATTAATATATAATTAGTTATATCTTGATTTTACAATATACAATAAAACAATGGTATTTATAATTCTAGACTTCATTGCCTCCTCATAGACACAGATGGGATATATATGAATATACCTGGGTCCCATGGTACAGGTATTGGGGCAAGTGAGGCAGGGTAGAGGAATGTCTAACAGTTCCCAATTTTACATGTCACAGACCAGGCAGTCAAGGTAGACTGTACTCCTTTCTCGGGTTCATTTCCAGAATTCCTAGCGGGAAAATACCGTTTGGCCCCCTTCACCAGATGTTTTACTGCTGCCTGGCCAGGAAGGCACTGAAGGTCCTGCGATCATCACCCACCTGTGTGGGTGGAGGTCCCAGCCTGATAATCTGAAAGTGTCCACTGTAGTCCATAGTCAGGACCCTCACCTAGGACTCACTATGGGGAAGGCACAGTCTAAGCACTTTACACAGACTGTGTGGTTTGGAGCCTGGATTGTGACTCCAGGCAGTCGGGCTCCAGTCTGCAGTCTTATCACTGACTATGCTGGTCAACATTCAAATAACTGTTTTGTTTTTAGATTTGTTTCCTAAAGTTTTAGGTGTTTATTGTGGAGAAATTGGAAAATACAGAAAACATTATGAATAAAATGCGCCAAGCATGGTGGCTCACACCTGTAATCCCAGCACTTTGGGAGGCTGAGGCGGGCGGATCACTTGAGGTCAGGAGTTCAAGACCAGCGTGGCCAAAATGTTGAAACCCTGTCTCTACTAAAATACAAAAATTAGCTAGCCAGGCGTGGTGGCAGGCATCTGTGATCCCAGCTGCTGGGGAGGTGGAGGGAGGAGAATTGCTTGAACCTGGGAGGCAGAGGTTGCAGTGAGCCAAGATCATGCCATCGCACTCCAGCCTGGGTGACAAGAGTGAAACTCTGTCTCAAAAAAATAATAATAATCAAATTAAATTAAAAAAATAAAATGTCATTATTAACATCATCACCATGTAGAGATAAATACTGTTAACAGATTGGTGTATTTCTTTATGGAACTTTCCATTTTGTGTGTGAATGAGTGTGTCTGTGCTTTCCCAGTTGAGTTCAAATTATACTCACCTTATAACTTGGGATTTGCTTTTGTTTTTGTTTTTAAGATTTGAATCATGGACACTTTCCTATGTCATTAAATAATTTTTGAAAATCTGACCTTTTAGAAATCTGATTTTTCAAATTTTACTGCACAGTGTTTAATTTTATAAGGTTACACATTTATTATTGGGTTTTTTGTTGTCTACATTTTGTATAAATAATTCAATCATAAATACGTATGTGTAAATATTTGCATGTCTCCAATTATTTCATAAGTTTATTTCATAAGTAAACAAGTAAATTTATGTCATGAATTCCTATGAAATTCTAACTTTATGAAATTTATTCATGGATTGTTGTGACAAAGCTCTGAGGTTTTCAAGGCCTTGAAATTTGTGGTCCAATTGCTTGCCTGAAAAATTTACCAATTTATACTCTCATTATACAGACAGTTTGATAAAGAAAACTACCTATTTGTCTCATGAGAAATGAAACTTTATAAGCAAAGGAGAAATATACAGTCTCAGAAGACTTTGAATCTTGGAGGAAGTGAGTTTTTAGAAGGATGGTCTGAGAATATGTGCATGCCTTTACATTTTAAATGAAAGATATGGCTGATTGGATTACAAACAGAAAAGAGATATAAATTTGGGTAGCACAGTAGTTGCTTAGACTTAGAAGATGGGGAATTTCTTACCTGAAGTTAATTAGCTAAAGATTAAACCTTAGAAGGAAAGATAAAGGGTTTATATTACTCTCTCTTCCTCCCTCTCTCTCTCTCTCTCTCAAACCCAGCAAGCAGCTAAATACCAAAGTAATCACTTCTAGGAATGCAAAGGAGAGACAAGATCCATTATCCAGTAGACAAATATGAAAAATGGGACATATGGTGAGGGGAGGCACTTTTCTCAAATCTCATGAAAAGAAAAGGATTAATTAACTTCAAGAGGACAGAACAATTTTGGGAAAGGAGACAGAGCACAAAGTGTGTTTAAAGCAAGGAGGCAAAAGTGTTGCTGAGCCCCAATCAACAACTGCTCAGCTCTCGCCTCCAGAGTGTAATAATTAGCAGGAAGCAAAGAAGACTGTTAGGGGCAGGAGCAGCACCTGGCCATTTACAGGATGGTGTCAGTGCTCAGAACTTAGAGATCCTCTGTGAAATACAGGCAGAAAAAAATAGGGGGAAAGGACATTAACAAATAACAGACATTAAAGAACAAGTGATGATAGCATGAAAAGAACTAAGGTGGTTAAATGAAGAAATAAAAGACACAACATTCATTTCTTATGACTGCTATAATTAAAGTCCCTCAAAGTTGGTGGTTTAACAGAATACAAATTTATTATGTTACAGCACTGGAGGTCAGAAGCCCAGAATGAGTCTCTCTGGGCTGAAATCAAGGTGTCAGCAAAGCCGCTGTCCTTCTGAAGACTCTGGGGAGAATCAGCTCTGGGTCTTTCCCAGCTTCTAGAGGCCCTGCATTCCTTGGCTCATGGTGGTGTGTGATTCTAGCCTCTGAGCTGTCTGCACATCTCCTCTAACTCTAACTTCTTGCTCCTTTATAAAATCACATTGGGGCTACCCAGATAATCCAGATGACCCCCCATCTCAAGATCATTAATCACATCTATAAAGTCCCTTTTGCCATGTAAAGTGCCATATTCACAGGTTCCAAGGATTAGGACGTGGGCGTCCTTGGGCAACCATTGGTCTGCCTACCACAGACACTAAACACATCTGAGATCTCTGGATTCCAATAGTTGGAAGTGATGTTTCAGGGAATCCTGGACAGGCTTCCCAAGTGAAGCTTAAAGCCCCTTTCTGTCTATAGGCAGAATAAATGATGAAGGATCAGAAAGGAAGCAGAATCATGGGGATGGTAGTTTTAAAAATCAACAATAGATCAATGAGAAGAACAAGAAAAAAATATTGGGAATTCAGAGAAAAAAATTATCCCAGATGGACAAGAAGCAAAGAACATTGGACTTTCCCTCTGTAAGATATCACTGATGCCATTTAGAATCAACAATCAGTGCATAGTGGAGGATTAGTGAACCAAAGCCCCAAGAAGGAAGACCACCCCTGACTTTGACGTATGTTCTCTGACTGGTCATCTGAATTCATGAGAAAATGTTCAGTGTTATTTTGGAGAAAGTGAATAGATTAAAGTTTATTTGTCCATTTCGACAACTCTTTTTCATGTTGGAGTAATGTGGAAGACCACGGGCATGGATGTTAAACAAACTCTTTAACATATAGCTGTACGTGACAAGGGCAGGAAAAGTCCTGGGTGTGTGGGGAGTAAGAAAGCCAAAGGTCCTAGCATTTGCCTAGGTGGCAAATATCCTGGGAGGAGACTGGATGTAGGAAGTAAAAATTCCTTCCAGAGAGAGGGGCCTGAGGAATACCACAGGGTGGCTTCTGGCAGAGATCTCTTGGCCACAGCCTTTGCATAGGCTAGGATTCCATCTGTAATAGCCACTGTAGCACTGATGTTTAAAGCATTATGCTATAGAGGCAAATATCTTTATCTTTGGTTTTTAAGGTGAAATAAACATGATCTCTCTCTCTCTCTCTCTCTCTCAAATCCAGCAACTAACTAAATACTGAACTGATCACTTTTAGGAAAGCAAAGGTGATTACAAGATTGTAAAACAGGACTGATTATAGACTAAGGTTATCAAGTAATGGGAAGAATATAAAAAAAGAGAAAAAAATTGAGGATAAGTGAATTTATCCCCAGATATTTTCTTCATATTTGTTATTGAAACAAAGTAAGAATAAATGAATTGATTCTAATGGAAAGAAAAATTAAACTAATCTCATAGAGATAAGATATGTTTCTATAGTATATTGAATATAATTCAGTCCTTACCTATTCTTTTATATATATATACGTATATATATACACACATATATACACATATATACACATATACACATATATACACATATACACATATATACACATATACACATATATACACATATACACATATATACACATATATACACATATATACATATATACACATATACATATATATACACATATATATACATATATACACATATACATATATACACATATATACATATATATACACACATATATATACACATATACGTGTATATATATATATATATTTTTTTTTTTTTTTGAGACAGAGTCTTGCTCTGTTGCCAGGCTGGATTGCAGTGGCGTGACCTTGGCTCACTGCAATCTCCACCTCCTGGATTCAAGCAATTCTCCTGCCTCAGCCTCCCAAGTAGCTGGGACTACAGGTGCCCACCACCACGCCCAGCTAATTTTTCTATTTTTAGTAGAAACAGGGTTTCACCGTGTTGGCCAGGATGGTCTCAATCTCTTGACCTTGTGATCCGCCTGCCTGGGATTACAGGCGTGAGCCACCACACCTGGCCAATCCTTACCTATTTTTGATGGATAAGAACAAATCCATCAATTGAGGAAAAAAATACATAGTTTCCAGGAAAATAAGGACAAATTAGATAAGCAATGGAGAAGTAATGGAGAAGTTTTAAATAACTCAAAGAATTGTAAAATTAGAAATAAAATGTCCAATCAGTTTGGAATGACTCCATTCTCATTAACCATGCAACATAACATATGGACTCATTTTGAAATTATCTCACTTTCATTGGCAAAATTCAAATAAGTAATTCTCCTCCAAAATGAGTTTTTACTAAATCTTCATTGTCAAGTGGCATGTGTATCTTTTTGCTGAGCCAGGGAAATAAGTAAGTGCTGAACTTACACTCACTGCCAACAGATGAGAAAAAAATGCTGGAGGACTGCCATTTTAATGGAAGAAAATGAAAGTTTACTCTATATTAAAATCCTGAAAGGCCTTAGCTCTAGCACAGGGAATGTCAGACCCAAGGTCAGTCTACTGGGGGTATAGAATCTCAGTGCAGGGTGGGAGCAGATTTCAACTCACTAGACATGTTTTCTCTGTAAAGAATTCCAAGCTCTTGCTTCTTTGGAAGCAAAAACTTAAGATGTAGGAAAATATGACTACATGTTGGGAATATCACCAATGTAAAAAAGGGCTAGCAACTTTTTGACGCAGTTCCAAATGAAGCAATTTGTTGAATGGAAGTGAAACATTTTGCTGTCCATTCTGTCCTTGGAACATCTGTGCTGGGAAACAAAGTGCATGAGAGACCACTGTTTTGGGCTGGCCTCCTGCACTGGGCCCTAGGAGATCAGGCCAAACCAGAATGGAGTCACTGGTGCTAAGTGCCATGTAATCAAATTGAACATTGAAATAGGACAGTTTTCCTAAAAACAGGAGATTCTAGTCAACCTGATTCGGTATAATAAGGAAGTCCCCTCTGTTTTTTGTTTTTTTTTTTTTGAAACAGGGTCTTGCTCTGTTACCCAGCTGAGTGTGCAGTGCCATGATCATAGCTCACTGCAGCCTCAAACTCCTGGGTTCAAATGATCCTCCTGCCTCAGCCTCCAGAGTAGCTGAGACTGCAGGTATGTGCCACCACACTGAAGTAATTTTTAATTTTTTTGTAGATATAGGGGTTTCTCTGTGTTGCCCAGGCTGGTCTTGAACTCCTGGGCTCAAGCCATCCTCCCACCTCAGCTCCCTACAGTGCTAGGATTAGAGGTGTTGGGGCTGTAGGCCCTTGGCCCCCTAAAGTTTTGCTAAAAATCGCTGACATGAGGCACATTGATTAATAGGAGAAAAGGCATACAAATTTATTTAATGTGCATACACAAGAGTCTACAGAATGAAGATCTAAATTCCCAATGAGTTAAGAAACTTGTATACCATTTCGAGGTTACAGAAAGACTAGAGGCTTAGATTCTGGTAAAACAGGGTGTGGGAGGTGGAGAAGAGGCTTGGCTGCAAAGGAGGACTTGTTATGTAGATGAAGCCTCCCTCAGACAGAATAGATGGTAAACTGTTTCTTTTCAGACTTTTAAAGGTGTCAGATTCTCAATGTCTCCCCCGGATCTGGGGAAAGGAACAGAAAGGAGAGGGGTCTGGATGCATTAACAGAGATTCTCTACAGATGCACATTTTTCCCACTTGATATAGTTTGGCTCTGTGTCCCCACCCAAATCTCATCTTGAATTATAATCCCCATAATTCCCATGTGTCAAGGGCAGGACCTGGTAGGAGGTGACTGGATCATGGGGGTGGTTTTCCCCCATGCTGTTCTCAGGATAATGATGGATTTCTCAGGATATCCAATGATTTTATAAGTGTTTGACCATTTCTCCCACACACACTCTCTCACCTGCCGCCATGTAAGACGTGCCTACTTCCCTTTCCACCATGATTGTAAATTTCCTGAGGCCTCCCCAGCCATGCAGAACTGTGAGTCAATTAAACAACTTTTCTTTATAAATTACCCCATCTTGGGTATGTCTTTATAGCAGTGTGAGAACAGACTAATACACCACTTAAGGCAGCTTTGAAAGGCCACTTCTGTCAGGATGCCTAGGTGGCAGCCATTTCAACATATGCCAAAGAAATATATTTTGGGGCAGAATATTTTCATTTTCTTCATAGGTGTGAGTGATTGTGCCCAGTCAGTCCCCTCTGTTTTGAACCCTATAAGAAAAGTAACTTCGAAATGACCAATCTTTTTGTTCTCTCTGTCTGCATTTCTCAGCCCTTTTCTGTCTGTAAAGCCAACCTCCTCTGCTCAGATTGTCAGAACACTCATTCTGTTTTACGGAATAAAGTGTTGCCTGATTCTAGAATCACAAATATAGGCCAAGTAAGATCTTTAAACTGAATTGCTGTGATTTTGTCTTTAGACATTGCCTAGGATTCAATCAGAACACTTTGGCAGCTTTGGTGTGCCTCATAATCTTGTATTTCTTCATGCCCTTTTGCTATCGTTTGTCTGTGAAGATGGAGGTGAGATTGAAATTTGGTAGAACTTGTTTAACAAGACACAGGTGTTAATCAAAAATAAAATTCTAGGGCTGGGCAAGGTGGCTCACGCCTATAATTCCAGCACTTTGGGAGGCCCAGGTGGGCGGATCACTTGAGTTCAGGAGTTTGAGACGAGCCTGGCCAACATGGTGAAACCCCGTCTCTACTAAAAATAAAAAAAATTAACTGGGTGTGGTGGTGGACACCTGTAATCCCAGCTACTGGGGGCACTGAGGCAGGAGAATCACTTGAACCCAGGAGGCAGAGATTGCAGTGAGCTGAGATCACACCATTGTACTCCAGCCTGGGTGACAAGAGCAAAACTCTATCTCAATAAAAGAAAAAAATCTGAGCCCCTCAACCCATTGAACAGACCCCACCTCTCAGCCAAGTGCATTTCTAAGTTAACGTGAAAAACTAGGTCAGGTCATGATGGGAAGTGGGGGTCAAACATGCCTCATTTTACTCTCCTCCCGTTGGAAATCAGGCACACCTGACCAGTGTTAACATTAAGAGACCTTAAGACTGACAAAGCAGACTCTTTGTAGCAATAAGATACCAACATGACGGATAGTAGGCCCTAAAAGAAATCAACATAATTAAACCCAAACTATATTTATTTGACATGTTTTGAAATGGTCCTCAAATATGTCTCTTGTGGGGAAAATCTACATTCTGCAGATAACCCCTTTCTTTTTCCAGGTCTTTTTCCTGATTTAGGAGAGAATTAAGAGTCTGACACCTTTTTAAGTCTGATAAGAAATATTTACAATCTATTCTCTCTGAAGCCTGCCACCTGAAGGCTTCATCTGCATAATAAAAACCTTGGTCTCCACAATCCCTTATCTTAACCCAGACACTCCTTTCTGTTGATTCCAGGTCTTTAAATAAACTCTTTCAACCAATTGCCAATCAGAGAATCTTTGAATCCACCTATGACCTGGAAGCCCCCTCCCTCCACTTCCAGTTGTTTCGCCTTTCCTGACTGAACAAATCTACATCTTACATGTATTGATTGCTCTCTTGTGTCTCCCTAAAACATATAAAACCAAGCTGTAGCCCGAACACCTTGGACACAAGTCCTCAGGATCTCCTGAGGCTGTGTCACGAGCATGTCATTAACCATGGCAAAATAAACTTCTAAATTGATTGAGACCTGTCTCAGCTACTGTTTCATTTACACGGGTCACAAAGACCTGCTGATAAAACAGCATGCAGTGAGAAGCCTGCTAAAACCTGTCCAGCCTCTTTACTTTTTAATAAACATACTTCCTTTTTTTGGTGGGGAGTGGGAGACAGAGTCTGGCTCTGTTGTTCAGGCTGGAATGTAGTGGCATGACCTCAGCTCACTGCAACCTCTACCTCCCGGGTTCAAGTGATTCTCAAGCCTCAGCCTCTCGAGTAGCTGGGATTAGAGGTGTGCACCATCACACCCAGCTAATTTTTGTATATTTTGTAGAGATGAGGTTTTGCCATGTTGGCCAGCCTGGTTTCAAACTCCTGGTTTCGAGTGATCATCCACCTTGGCTTCCCAAAGTGCTGGGATTACTGGGGTGAGCCACTGCACCTGGCCAAATAAACATGCTTTCATTTTACTCTGTCTGCTTGCTCTTGAATTCTTTCTTTCATGGAGCCAAGAACCCACATAGCCTCCTAGGCTGAACACCAGTTTTGGGATTTGCCCCATGACAGAGCTGGTGGTAGTTTTAGAGGTAAGAGAACAGGGCAGCTTGTTGCCGACGGGCAGTGGAAAGGGATGTCACTACGTACATGTGCTTGTGTCCATAATTATTAAATAAGGGGAAAGGGATGTAGGTGGAGGAGTTTTGGCCATTTCATTGGCTTGTTCTTCTGAATCCAGGAATTTATCCTATGGCCTCCTATAACAAATGGTTTTAGATATGATTCTTGACTTCCATCTAACTTACAAATAGCAAAAATAATAATATTGCAATGGTCATATCAATCTCTTTACACAAAGGAGGACATTTTCCAGTAAATTGGTTACTATTTGTCTAATGATGAAATATTTTTCTGCCTTCAGGTGATTTATTTAATTTGCTATGGTTATAAAACTCCTACAGTTCATTCCCTGGGCCCCATTTCCCACTAAGATGTCATAGTGGGACAATAGTGGGCTCTAAGATCAAATAAATGCCGAGTCCTGCTTGGGGCTGGCTGGCTGCTCAACCTTGCTAAGGTATTTAGGAACTCTGAACTTGCTTCCTCCCCTGGAAAATGTGGAGATAGAAGATGACCCCTGATCTAGATATGAGAATCAAGTGCACATATGGCAGATAACAGAGAACCAAGAACTGTGGTTGCCCTTTCTAAGAAAAGGATAACATAACAAGTCCCTTCTTTTGGAATGGGTAGAACTTATGCCCAGGCTCTTGAGGTGCTGTGGAGTTCCCCACATGCTTGGGCAAGGGAGCAAAGCTTGAAATGGTTTATTCATTCCATCCTAGCCTTCCCTGCTTCCACTTTGTTTGTAATTTTTTTTTTTTTTTTTTGCCATCTTCTATCAGCATCTCCTGCCTAATTAAAAAAAAAAATCTAAATGCCCTATCAGACAGTTTGACTTGAAGTCCCACGGAAATTTAACTCAATTCATTGAAAAATTGAACTCCAAACCTGAGCACCAGCCTGTATATTTTATTATCTTTTCTTTTTTTTAAAGTTTCTTACAAACTAGTGAAACTTTGTTAGGAGCTGATGTTGGTTTCATACCTTCCTTCTCCAAACCCCTTCCTACCCTCCTAAGCTATTTATTCTGGATTTCATTTTTTGAAACTATACCACATCTTTCTTAGAAACTCTTTTTATTCCTATAATTTTAACATAATACATTTAATACATCTCATTCGCTGTCAAAGTTCTGTTCCTTGGAAATGGCTTCCTGTTTAAAATGCCCCTTCCTGATGTGTTACCAGTTTTATTCCATAGAGCGGAAGTTGGCCAGTCAACACTGTGATCCTTCAGGGCAGGGTAAATAATTCAGTGGTAATCCACTGTGGGATTTTTCTTTTTTTTTTTTTTTTTTTGAGACGGATTCTTGCTCTGTCGCCCAGGCTGGAGTGTAGTGGCACGATCTCGGCTCACTGCAACCTCCGCCTTCTGGGTTCATGCCATTCTCCTGCCTCAGCCTCCTGAGTAGCTGGTACTACAGGTGTCCACCACCACACCCAGCTAATTTTTTTAAATATTTTTAGCAGAGACGGGGTTTCACCGTGTTAGCCAGGATGGTCTCAATCTCCTGACCTGGTGATCCGCCCACCTCAGCCTCCCAAAGTGCTGGGATTACAGGCGTGAGCCACCTCGCCTGGCGCACTGTGTGATTTTTCAAGCCAGTGTCCTGAAAATCAAGGGTCTTGTTTTCACATCCAACTAATATGAAGGCTAAGGTTCACAAACTGGTATTTGAAACAACATTTCTCATCCTCCCAGCAATTCACAGCTTCAAGAATGTTTATCAGCTGCTGACATTGGGTGAGAGACCCAGTGGATGCCTTGCTTTAAAATCGTGAGGAGATAGTAAACACACATTGCCCTAACTGAGCCTTGGAATTCTTTGAGGAAAACTAAAAGTCAACAGCAGAAATTATCTGCACTACTAATTACACATCCGGGACTTGGGCGAAAGGTCTTATTGTGAGGAATTGTGAAACGTTGTGTCTACCAAGGTCAGCGCTGTCCTGACATAACTTGCTGGATACAATTATAAATGAATTAGATATGACAGCCTAAACCCTCTGTTAACTCCAAAGTCACAAAAGACTCTATACAATAAATGCACAACAGAATAGACACATGAAATCTGATGTTAAAATAAAAATATATGACTTTGTTTTGCTTGGCTCCTACCAAACTTAAAGCATTCTGTCCTTTCAGGAGGTTGTAGACAGCTTTTCTCTAGCGAAAGCCAGAAAATTCTCTCCTTTACTGCCTAGAAAAACTTTAATAACCAAGAACTGGCATAAAATCTGCCTTTACAAATCTCCATTTCTGGTACAGAGTGACAGGAAAATGAGCCCCAGCATTCAACCAATCCCCTTTGTGTATTAATAATCCTCAAACACGGCTGTGAAAAATTATGAAGCATGCCCAATTGTGGTGCACTTAGCTGCGTGTGATTGGTTTGTTTGCCTCCTGGTTCTTTGAGTATACTGATCTGCATGTCAATTTGGGAACAGGGTGAGAAGCTGTTGATTTTAGGGTAAAAAAGTTAAGAATATTTAATGGCTACATTTTTCTCAATTTATTCCCTTAAATCAATGAAACATAGAACTCAGTTTTTTTTCTTATGTAAAATCCATCTAAAGTAGTAAGAGGTAATGCTCACCAAATGCTTTCCATGCACCAGGTACCACACAGGGGTTTTGCATCCATTTATTCACTTACTCTCAATAACAGCCTTATGAGTTAGGTACACAGAGATATAAAAGGAACAGGGCCCTTTAAAAAATGGTGTCTTTGTCAGTTTTGTGTTGCTATAACAGAACGCCCAAAACTGAGTAATTTATAATGAACAGAAATATATTGGTTCATGGTTCTGGAGGCTGGGAAGTCCAAACTCCAAGACCAACGTTTGGTGAGGGCCTTCTTACTGTGTCATCTCATGGTAGAAGGTGGAAGGGCGAGAGAGAGAGAGAGCACCAAACTCCCCCTTTTATAGCAAACTCACTCCAGTGATAGTGATAGTGGCAATTCTCTCCACCCTCATGGCCTAATCACCTCTCATTAGGCCTCATCTCCCAACACAGCTACATTGGGGATTGTTTCCAGCACCAGCTTCTTGGGAAATACATTCAAACCATAGCAAATTGGTTCCTGGGAAATTAGCTTTTATATGAAAACCATCAAGAACAGCATGTATGTGCCTTGCACTAAATATTGCCTCCTGACTTAGCTTTGAGACAATGAAGAGCTGAATGTGCTTGCCATTTCAATCATTAATATGCTACAAAAGACTGTAGTTAATCAGAGCAGAGTGTCTCAAACATTAATATCTACCCAACTCACCTGGCAATCTTGTTAGAATGCAGATAATGTTTTCATGGGTCTGAAGTGGGGTCTGAGAATTTGCAGATCAAGCTGATGCCGCTTTGCCACTTCTCAGAGCACACATGAATTGTGGAGAACCAGAAAACAGACTTGATAGAACCACAAGACAGGAAGGGCAGCTACTGAGCATCTTCAAGATGACAGGGATAACTGCCCAAGGTTCACAAATGGCCAAGTGAGCTAACCCAGTGGATGGTTTAGGGCAGAACTAGGGTGAGGCATGACAGGCACCAGGGCACAAAATCCAAGGAAACCCCTGCTCTCAGGTACCCATCTGCCTGTGAGAGTGAGTGTCGTCTTCAATTGGTGTCATAGACATTTTGCTTGCCTTCCTCTAGTTCCTGTTCTGATTTGCTTATCAAATCAACCTCATCCAGATGAGAGATCTTACCTCATACTAAATTTTCCTGGTAATTCTGGGCTCAGGTGGCTCTGAGTCACAGACAGACAGAGAGGAGTGGGGCAGCCTGGATAGCACCCAAGACCCTCCTTCCCACGTTAGAGACACTGTCAGGTGAGATTACTAGATGGGCTCCAAGTGAGGTTCTGTGAGGATCCATACAGTGTGGATGCTGAAGCCATTCCATACTGTGCCCCAGAGAGTTATACTACTTATGTGGCATTCTCCCCAGGGAGCCTTGCATTATAGATTCTGGTTTTATTTGCTCAAAGTTATTCATTAGGCCGGGACATTCTGTTAATGGCATTTAATAAATAAAGTCTCTTCCTCCTAGCAGATATTGTTAGTCTCTTTCCCCATTTGTTTCATTGCCACAAAGCTCAGACCAGAGGCGTTCTACTGTTAAGCAAGTGAATGGATACAAGGCCAGCAGCTTCCACTCTTTCCTCCTGTCTCCTTGAGGCACAATTTTTACGTGTTCAATGATTTTTGGCTCACTTGGTAATAGTATTATCGGCAGTTTGCAGGAAGTTTGCATAATTCACACAACTCGTGTAAGTGGAGGAGTCAGGAGTAGTTCTCAGCAGTTGACTTCAGAGCCTATGTTTTTAATCCCACAATGGACTCCTTTAAAGTCTGTGCTGACCACAAACCCTCCTTCCTTCCCACACCTTTCTGGGTCTGTGAGCCTGGCCCATATGGATGGCATCAATGGGTTTCCTTGACCTCTAGCCTCTTGTCGACTTGGGTCAGTGGGGATGGGCAGAGGTCGAAGAGAGGAGAAGATGAGACTGGGCATTTATTCATCCTGATCCCCTCCTCCAGGGTCACCTCAGGCTGGACTCCATCCCTGGACTAGGTCACAGGTGCTCTCAGGTGGCCCTCTCTGTGAACTGGGTTTGAGTGATCCCTGTTTCTCTTGCCTCTTCAGTTCCAGAGGTGCCCAGGTCCTATGTTAACCCTTATGGTCTCCAACACCACACCCAAACCTTTACAATCATTTTATTAAACTTCCTTGAATGATGCAATCTGAGTGTGATGTCTGTTTTCAGCCAGGATTCCCCCAGTTGGACTCTCACATACCTGTGGACCTCAAGTGCTCCTTCATATGTGTTTTCAATGAACTTCATCCAAACCACATCAAATGGCTGTGTATAACACTAAGGAAATGTCATATTGTCTCCTAGTCCTCTACCATGGTAAGCTAAACTTTCATATTTTGAAATTTCTCCCTTATTTTTAATGAAATAAGCTGTATGTGTCCTATATTGCACATGAATCTTACTGTGTGGGATGTCACAGACAGTGACATTCAGGATATTTTGAGTCCTTTCTTCCTCTCAGCTCTCCTGGGACATAGATTAAAACTGTCATCTTCAATTAAGAGAGAAGCCAACTCCAGCAGAAAGCCCGACTTTCTCAAGGTCACTGCAAGTTGTTGACGAGGGCAACATCCAGGCTCTGGCTTCCTGCCTTCCCTATGGCTTTCTTAGACTTCTGCAGAAACCCAGAAGTGTGTCCATTTTCTGCCTGGTATGATTAGTCCATGGGATGAATTATATGGAAAACAAAAATAACTGGCATAAATATCCCTGATGAATATAGAGGCAAAAATCCTTAATAAAATACTAGCTAACCAAATCCAACCGCATATCAAAAAGATAATCCATTATGATCAAGTGGGTTTCATACCAGGGTTGCAGGGATGGTTTAACATATATAAGTCAGTAAATGTGACATGCCACATAAACAGAATTAAAAACAAAAATCACATGATTATATCAATAGACACGGAAAAAGCATTTGACAAAATCCATCATCCCTTTATAATTAAAACCCTCAGCAAAATCAGCATAGAAGGTACATACCTTAATGTAATAAAAGCCATCTATGACAAACCCACAGCCAACATAATACTGATTGAGGAAAAGCTGATTTCCATCACACTTTATTGAAGAACTGCAAATGGACTGAGGCAGCCCTAAATCTGAGCCTATTGTGGTTGCAGATGTTGTTGGAAATCGGTGACCACTCTGGGCAGCCTACTGGGGGCTCTTTAGGCAGCTCCTCCCCTCTCGTCACCCCAGCTCCTCTATTCCCACTATAATTAGAAATTTTTCATGGCCCCAGAATAGCAGCATGGAACTCTGCAATGTACCAATTCGTAAGTGCCATATTTACTACGTATTGGTAAATCACTCTGGATACTAATTGGATCTTAACTGTATCTGTTTGATTGTTTTTAATAGAAAAAAGTGAAGTTTATTCTTTAGGAAATAAGTTTACAACGGACCACATGTGTGATTGTAGACAAATTTGCTTTGAACATTTAAAAACAATAAGAAGGCATGACAGACTCCTTGAGCTGTCCTCAGAATGTATCTCAGGGACAGAATCAAGCAAGAGCTGTTTTAGGTTGACCCCTTGGGGTTGCCTGGGGATTGTTTACCTTTTTTCAGAGGCAATACAGGGCTGGAGTCCTACCCTGCTCTGATCCTTAAGAGACTCACACTCCCCCATCCCACTGTGTCCAGTAGGGTCTGCAGGTGAGTTTTCATCACATGTTTGTGTGCTCCTCCCTCTGCAGTTGACTTTGCACCTTTCTTCCTGTCCTGGACTGTCAGCAGGTGTTGTTGGAGGCTGGAGAGCTACTTGAGTCTCACTGAAGAATTTTCACTATAAATGAAGGCACTGCAGTCTCAGACTATGACAGCAATTGATACTGTCTGTTTCTACCATATGGAGACATTAAGATGTTTTACCAAGTATCATGGTATTTTAGCAGGCTCTGTAAATAAAATGCAAAATGCTGCAGCCCAGCCTCTTGTTTCTGCTGCTGGAGGCTGGGAAGAGAGACAAGGGCTGACATGGAGGATGTGAAATCTATAAAACTCTTTAAGCTTCACTTGGCTGAGGGTTGGTAGTCTCCTCCCTGGCCAAACTATCCGGAAGAATTGTAAACAAGAGATACATTTGCTTGATTTAAGTTTTACTTATCATTTTATTATGAAGAAATTTAACCGTATAGCAAAGTTGGAAGAATTTTACGGTGAACATCTGTGATATGGGCTGAATCATATTTTTATGTTAAAGTTGTAACCCCCGGTATCACATAATGTGACTGTATTTGGAGATGAGCTCTTTGAGTAGGTAGCCAAGTTACCATCATGTGTTAGGGTGGGCCCTCATCCAATCTGACTGGTGTCGTTATGAAGAAGAGGAGATTAGGACATCCACATGCATAGAGGGAATATCGTGTGAAGACACAGCAAAAAGGCAAAGAAAAAGGCCTTAGAAGAAACCAGCCCTGCCAACATCTTGATCATAGACTTTTAACCTCCAGAACTCTAAGTCAACAAATTTCTGTTGTTTAAGCCACTCAGTTTGTTATGGCAACCCCAGCAAACTCATGTGAGCCATGTGATGATATTGAACTGTAAATCCAAGGTATGTGTGTGAATCCGTTTCCTCCCCAGGAGGTTCCATGGCCCCCGTGTGCATTTGTCCACCCCATCCCAGGATCCTTTGAACTGAGTATGAAGCAGGGAAGCCTTTATAAACATGGAAGGAAGCCTGACTATGTTATTTCCCCTGGAACAAAAGGTGTCAATCTACACCCATCACCTAGATTGCACTGTCATTATCCTTGCTTTATTGTGTGTCTACTTACCACTCCATCCCTCTGTCATCCATCTTCCCACTTGGTTTAAATTTACATAAGCCCAGAAGCATGTTAGCTGGAAAAGTCATTCTGACCTGAGAATAAGCCCCTGATAGCCCTCTCTATCCCAAGGATTTCAGGCTAATCTGGTCACTGAAGTTATTCAAGGTGGAGCCTCAAATAGAACTTCAGAGAGAAGTGGTCTCATTGCAGTCTGCTGCTGATAATCTTCACAGATATGGGTAGACAAGCTTCTGGAACCTTGGCTCAGTACTACCATGTGAATTTTAGGGCACTGCTCTTGTTAGAAGTGAACCCCTCTTCAACAGCTATACTGAACTGCCAAGGACAGGCGCCTGTGGCCCTCCAGGGAAGATACTGGAGGGAGAGATTCCTTTCATTTTTGTCTTTTGAAAGAGACTCAGTTTGTCCTTCTTGTGATCTTTTTCTTAATCATTCATGCTTGACACTATGTACTCATCATTGATATCAGTGATAATTGTGCATTTCTGATGCACAAGTAATTTAAACAGATTAATAAAAACAATAACTTTTTTCTTTTTTTTGATCGAGAGGGTCTAAATTCTAATGCTGTGCCTCACTGATCTCTCTTTGAAAATTCCTGTGGTACCTATCATCCATATCACTGATCTTGGCCCTTCCAGTCCACTCAGTGTCACTCCACTTTTAATTTGATCTGACTGTTGGTTGCAAACTCTTAGAAGGCCCATCCAGTCTAAAACATACTACTTGTTCCTGCCCCATCCATCCAAGGTCCCTCCCGGTGTACATACTAGGTCCTTACTAAACATGTTTTGAATGAAGGGCCTGATGGAAGCATTTCCATCTATCTTTTGTGGGAACCAATACCCAAAGCTTCACTGATCTCCTGCTAGTCTATCTGTCAGAGATCATGGCTCTGGGATCCCTGTAGGAGACAGACACAGAGTGAAATGATCCTCATGAGTTAAACAGGCAGGTGACTGCAGTCAGTTGATGCCTCTGTGACCAAAGCTTTTCCTCTTATTAATCATTGTCTCCACTGCTCTGCCCATCTAAAGTCTCCCTTCAAGGTCTAGCCGGACACTTGTGTCTCTAAAGCCTTCCCTGAATACTCCATCCAAAGTAGTACATGGTGGCAAAGAACAACCAGCCAGTTTCTGATAATATATCTAATAAATATGATATATAAATACATATATGTACACACACATATATATATATACACATATGTAATATGCTTTTTTACCTTCAACATTTTTACATTTGGCAGTTTGGTTTCAAGTATAGTATAATGTTATTGTTAGTAGTATAACAGATATGCCCCCATCACAGGTAGAGGGTACACATTAGGTCGCATTACTTTTATTAATCAAATTTAACTCCTAGGAGCCCCCATTCTGCCAAACCCAAGAAAGCATTTTGCTTCTTTGACTTCCTGGGTGATAAATTAATCCAGGATGTCAGTTCTTGTGTTTAGTGCCTTCTAGAAAGCTGGAAAATCCACTAAAGCAGAATCTCTTAAGCTTCCATGTGCATGTAAAGCCTCTGCAGACCTTATTGAAATGCAGGTTCTGATTTGGTGGGAAGGAGGCCCAAGACTCCACATATCTGATGACCTCCCTGGAGATCCCTGCACTGCCACTTTGTACACCACATTCAGAGCAGCAAGGCAAGAGGAGGTCCTATCATGGCAGGCTGGGCCCTTGTTCATTGCTGAGCTGTGTATATCTGGTCCCCCAAGCCCTGTTGTATCCCAGGGTCCTACCTGCTCGTGGTGGGATTTACTCAGGTGGCTGAAGGCTGCACTGCTGTCACTGGTGTGTCAGCGACAGACATCTCAAGGCTCCCTCTAAAGAAAGTCTCTTGCATACAGTACTATGGTCACTCTGTAACTCCGAGGACTCAACCCCCCACCAGTACAGCTTTGTACACACACACACACACACACACACACACACACACACACACACACTTCCCCCAGGAAAGCTCATAGTGTTAGCATTTCCAACATGACCACATGCTGTAAACAGAATGAGTCTTCTCCCTTCACACTCTAAACCCGAAAGTAGAGCCTGGGACTATTATAGGCTTTTCTTTCTCTTGTGCTGTAAGTGACTTTCAGGTCCCTGATGTCCTTGATTGCCAGGTTTCTTATATGAAATCATCCGTGTTCTTCAGAGGTGTGGTGATGATATTGAAGGTGTGTGTGTGTGAATTCCTCTCCTCCCCAGGAGGTTCCATGGCCCCTGTGTGCATTTGTCCACCCCATCCCAAGAACCTTTGAACTAAATATGAAGCAGGGAAGCCTTTATAAACATGGAAGGAAGCCTGATTATGTTATTTCCCTTGGAACAAAAGGTGCCAATCTACTCTCTCTGTATGTATGTTACAGGAATCACACACACTCACACTAAAGGCCACAGGTAGAATTCCTCTCGAGCTGCACTGTAGAATTTGGTGGTTAGGGTTACATGCAGAAGTGTGGCTAGTCTAAATTGAGATGAGTTGTGTGGACCCAAAAAATCTGAGACAGGTCTCAGTTAATTTAGAAAGTTTATTTTGCCAAGGTTGAAGTTGCGCGCCCGTGACACAGCCTCAGGAAGTCCTGAGGACATGTGCCCAAGGTGGTCAGGGCACAGCTTGTGTTTATACATTTTAGGGAGACAGGAGACATCAATAAATTTATGTAAGAAGTACATTGGTTCAGTCTGGAAAAGTGGGACCAATCGAAGCAAAGGCAGGAAGACACCAAGCGGGGAGGGGGCTTCCAGGTCACAGATACATGAGAGACAAATGGTTGCATTCTTTTGAGTTTCTGATTAGCCTTTCCAAAGGAGGCAATCAGATATGCATTTATCTCAGTGAGCAGAGGGATAACTTTGAATAGAACGGGAGGCGGGTTTGCCCTAAGCAGTTCCCAGCTCTACTTTTCCATTTAGCTTAGTGATTTTGGGGGCCCAAGATATTTTCCTTTCACAGTTGTAACTGTAAAATACGTGCAGAATTTCAAAGAATTTAGTAAAACAATTAAAATAAAGATTAAAAAAGAATATATCTCATTGATAGTGTTCATATTGGTTATATGTTGATGGAGTGGAGGGGATAAAAACTTTTCTTCTATCCTCTCAGATTCAGTGCCTGGGATGAGCAAATTCTACTGGAAAAAGAAAGATTAACATGAGAAAAGGCACATACGTTTTTATTGATGTTAATATTTTTATGTGCACAAGTACTGCACAGAAAAGTATAAACCCCAGAAAGCTGTTAGACTTGGGGGCTTAGATACCTTTTTTTTTTTTTTGAAACGGAGTTTCGCTCTTGTTGCCCAGCCTGGAGTGCAATGGTGCAATCTTGGCTCACCGCAACCTCCGCCTCCTGGGTTCAAGTGATTCTCCTGTCTTAGCCTCCAGAGTAGCTGGGATTACAGGCATGCGCCACCACGCTCAGCTAATTTTGTATTTTTAGTAGAGACGGGGTTTCTTCATGTTGGTCGGGCTGGTCTTGAACTTCCAACCTCAGGTGATCCGCCCACCTCAGCCTCTCAAAGTGCCAGGATTACAGGCGTGAGCCACCGCGCCTGGTTGATACCTTTTTAACAATGGGTTATTGATTGAGGAGAGGTGACTGGACAAAGGAAAGAGTTGAGGCTTCCAGGGCTAATAAGTGATGAGGAAATCTATAGGGGGAACAAATGGAAGGTAGGGTTATTTTAGTAAGGTTTAATCGGTGCTGGCTCCTCGTATCCAGTGATAAGGGTCACCCTCTTCATTGTAGTCCAGGAGAGAAGGGAAACCTACGCTCTGATTTTAGGCAGAAAAGGAGAGGGCAGAGAGTTCATCTTGCTCCTGCCGTTTCTCAGTTGCCATCAGCTCAACATAATCAATATGCCACAGTAGCACATTTTTGGGTGGCATATCCTAATCCTCTTCATTGAAATGACAATATTTTGAATGCTTCAGATTAAATAAAATGCCTCATGAAAATTGATTTCACCTGTTTCTCTTTATTTTTTAATGAGGCTAATAGAAAATTTTAAATTACATATGCAGCTCACATTCCATTTCCATTGGACAGAGCTGCTCTAGGGAGAAAACAGTTATTTGTTAAGCAAATTATTTTGGACCCTTGGAAAGGGAGAAAATAGTCCACAGAGTAAGGCATGAAAAGAAAGGAGGAAAACCATAGAGCTGGAGATAGGAGCTTGAATTGGCAGAAAGAGCAGAGGACGCTTGTTAAAAGCAGGAAATCCAAATATTCATTTACTTTGTTTTCAAGTTAGTGATGTAAACCCTCTTTGTCCCTCTTGAATTTCAGGAAAATCTGCGCAGAGGCTTTCAAGGAAAATAAAGGGTAAGAGTCTAGTTCAGCTCTCTCTGGTGTGAAGTGGGGTTATAAAGCCCCAGATTGTTAAGTAGTGAGTGGCAATTTGTCAGAAGCAGAAAAGTCCAAATCAGAAGCCTGTACGCACAATGAGAGCCTCCAGAAAAATGCAGAATTCTTAGGGAGACAATTGAAATCATTAAGAAGCCATGGAATGGGCTTGTGTGTCTTGCAAGTGGGGCAGCCTTACAAAAGGGGTCACCCAGATGTCATTTTCTGGACAGTAGAGGCTCTATCAATGAACACAGCGTAGTTTCCAGCACTTTCTTATGAAAATTTGCAAACAGTCATCAAAGTTGAGATAATGTTATAATAAGCACCCATATACTCACTACCTAGTTCTATCGTTAACATTTTACTCTCTCTCTCCCTCTCTCTCTCTATATATATATATTTAATTGGCCAAGTGTGGTGAGTCATGCCTGTAATCCCAGCACTTTGGGAGGTGGAGGCAAGGGGATCACTTGAGCCAAGGAGTTTGAAACCAACCCTGGAAACATAGAAAGCCCTCATTTATACAAAAAATAAGAAAAATAGGCATGGTGGCATGTGCCTGTAGTTCCAGCTACTTGGGAGGCTGAGGTGGGAGGACTTTTTGAGCCCAGGAGTTCGAGGCTGCAGTAGGCCATGATTGTGCCACTGCACTCCATCCTGGGCAACAGAGTGAGACCCTATCTCAAAAAAAAAAAAAAAAAATTACACATCTATTTCTTTATCAAATCCCCCATTTATTCATAATTCCTCTTATTTTTGATACATTTTGAAGTAAATTCCATACATCAGTATACATCCTTCTAAATAGTGTGTGGCTGGGTGCAGTGGCTCACGTTTGTAATCCCAGCACTTCGGGAGGCCAAGGCTGGTCGATCATCTGAGGTCGGGAGTTTGAGACCAGTCTGGCCAACATGGTGAAACCCCATCTCTACTAAAAATCCAAAAATTAGCTGGGCATGGTGGTGGATGCTTATAATCCCAGCTACTTGGGAGGCTGAGGCAGGAGAATTGCTTGAAACCCGGGAGGCAGATGTTGAGAAGTAGCAGGACTGTGCCATTGCATTCCAGCCTGGGCAACAAGAGTGAAACTCTGTCTCAAAAAATTAAAATAAAACAAAAATACTGTAGTGTGCATATTGCAGGGGATCAAGGTATGCCTCCACAAAATATGCCACTTTGGCCTAAGGATTATTTTGAGCCATAGACAATTGAGAATCAATGGATGCAGGAAGAGTTCTCTTTCTTCCCCTTTTTTGCCTAAAAGAAGGGCATAAATTTCCCTTTGTGAGGTGTTTCTCTGTCCTATACAAGAAAGATGAGAGCAACTCATCACCAGAGACAGAGTTGGCATCAACGGGTTTACATAAACAGACCAAAGGAAAATAACATTCAGCTTCCATTAATTTCTCACATAGGTTGGTGTAAAGGTAATGCAGTTTCTGCCAAAGTAATGACAAAACTGCGATAAATTTTGCACCAACCTAATATTTCCTGTCACTTTCCCATAATTTATCACTCCTAGAAGCTCAAACCTTTTTTCCTTTGTTAAAATGATTAAAATGGTATGTAAGCCCCAAGTCTAACTGCTTCTTTGAGTTTCACTTCTTTTCTGTGAACTCCCATGTGTGTAAAACATTAAAACATTTTGTGTTTCTGTCCATCTGTCTTTTTACATTCTTTGTTGTTATTGTTGTTTTGTTGTTGAGACAGAGTCTTGCTCTGTTGCTCAGGCTGGAGTGCTATGGCACGATCTAGGCTCACTGCAACCTCCGCCTCCTGGGTTCTACCAATTCTCCTGCCTCAGCCTCCCAAGTAGCTGGGATTACAGGCACGTGCCACCATGCCAGGCTAATTTTTGTATTTTTAGTACAGACGAGGTTTCTCCATGTTGGCCAGGCTGGTCTCAAACTCCTGACCTCAAGTGATCCACCCACCTTGGCCTCTCAAAATGCTGGGATTACAGACATGAGCCACCATGTCCGGCCAATCTGTCTTTTTTCAGTTAAATTTACAGCCACTGTAAATTTTAAAAAGCAACCACTCTTCTGATTTTTTTCCCACCGTAGGTTAGTTTTGCCCTTTCTTGAAATTCATGTAAATGGAATCCTACTGTGTGTACTCTTTTGATAAGGCTTCTTTTACTCAGCATGATATTTTGAGATTCATCCATGTTGTTGCAAAGCACAGCATTCAAAGGCTTTCCTCACTCAAGCAAGCCAAAACAATTTTATTTCTACTGGACTAAGCATTCAGTATGAAGCTTAACATAAAGACATAGACCATCATCATAGTTCTTCTTACCCAATATTATCTTTCCGATATTGATAATAGTAGAAAGAAATATCTGTGGACACCATAGTATCACTTCAAATGTTCATGAAGAACAACAATACTAAAACACTGTGTCTTCCTTTTGAGGACATTTGATAAATTCCTCAACCATAAATAGATCATAATGCTTCATTAATTTAGTGGATTCATTTCTTTTCTGATTTTTTTATTGCAGTAATATGCACATAACTTAAAGTTTACCACTGTAACCATTTTTAAGTGTACAGTTCAGTAGTATTAAGTACAGTTAAAGATTGTTATATAACTATCACCATCATTTATCTCTAGAACTTCATCTTCCCAAATCAAAATTATGTACCCATTAAACAATAACCCCATCCCCCATTCCTCTAGCCCCTTAAAACCACCATTCTACTTTCTGTATCTATGATTTTGACTACTCTATTTGCCTCATGCAAGTGGAATAATGCAGTAGTTGTCTTTTTTTCACTGGTTTATGTCACTGAGCATAATATGCTCAAGGCTCATTCATGCTGTAGTGTGTGTTGGAATTTCCTTTCTTCTTAAGGCTAACTGATAAGGAGAGACTTACTTTTGTCATTTTGCTATTTGTTTTCTACATGGCTTATAGCTTTTCTGTCTTTCCTTTCTTGCATTACTGTCCTCTTTTGTGTTTAATTTTTTATAGTGAAATGTTTAAATTCCTTTCTTATTTTTTGTGTGTATTCTATAGCTATTTTCTTTGTGGTTACTATTGAGATTATCTTTAATATCATAAAGTTATAATGCTCTAATTTGTATTTAAACCAGCTTAACTTCAATAACATATGAAAACACTGCTTCTTTACATCTCTGCCTCTACCCTTTCAGTCGTTAATGTACCATAATTACATCTGCATACTTTGTATGTTCAACAACATAAACCAATTGTTTTTAAAAGTGAATTAGTTTCTTAGATTATGTATGAAACAAAATGTGGTTACAACCCAAAGTTACAGTAATTCTAGCTTTTAGACTAATCATTTCTTATTTTGTTTTTTAAATAGTCTTTTACACACACTGAAGATCATGTGAAGAAAGAGAGAAGATGGTCATCTATACACCAAGTTAAACGACCCTCAGAAGAAACCAACCCTATGGACAACTTGATCTTGAACTTCTAGCTTTCAGACCTGTGAGAAAATAAATTGCTGTTGTTTAAATTTAAAAAAACAGTCTTTTAAATCATGTATGAAACAAAGTGTTGTTACAAACCATTGTTATAATAGTACTAGCTTTTGTAATTGCCTATTTGTCCATCTTTACTGAGATCTTTATTTCTTCATATGGCTTTGAGTTACTGAGTAGTGTCCTTTTATTTCAACCTGAAGAACTCCCTTGAGTGTTTCTCTTAGGGTATGTCTAGAAGTAACAGATTACCTTAGCTTTCGTTAATCTGGGAATGTTGTAATTCTCCTTCACTTTTGAAGGACAATTTTTACCAAATATAGAATTTGGGGTTGATATTTTTATTTATTTTAGCACTTTGAATATATCAGCCCACTGCCTTTTGGTCTCCAGTATTTATGATGAGACTCTCTTTTTTTAATCTCATAATTTACTATTTATTATTTTTAAATGTTTCTAGAGATATACAGTAATTAAACATATTTGTGGGATACACATGATATTTTGATACAAGAATATACAATGTGTAAGCTGTATATTCAATATACAATCAGTGATCAAATCAGGATATTTATTAGGATATACATCAACTTGAACATTTATCATTTCTTTGTGTTGGGAGTATTTTAAATCTTCTTTACTAGCTTTCATGAAATATAAAATATTGTTAACTAGTCATTCCACTGTGTTATCAAACACTAGAACTTATTCCCCCATCTGCACTATATCTTTGAACCTATAATCTTATTGATGATCTTTTTATGTGATGAATCACTTTTCTATTGCAACTTTCAAGACTCTGTGTTTGGCTTTTGACAGTTTGATTATATTGTGTCTCAGTGTGGATCTTTTTGAGTTCATCCTACTTGGAGTTACTGAGTTTCTTGAATATTTTTACTTATGTCTTTTATCAAATTTGTAAAGACTTTGGCCATCAATTCTCTTAATAATCTATCTTTCCTGTTTTCTCTTCTGTTTCTTAGCCTACCACCACACGTGTTGTTCTGCTCAACAGTGTTCCAGAAGTCCCTTAAGCTCTGTTCACTTTTCTTCAATCATTTTACTTTCTGTTCCTCAGATTCAATGATTTCCTTTGTCCTATTTCAAATTTGTTGATTCTTCTTCGTTCTCAAATCAGCCTTTGAATCTCTCTAGTGAATTTTTTATTTCAGTTATAACACTTTTTAGCATCAAATTTATTGTTTCTTCATAGGTTTTCTATATGTTTGCAAATATTTCTATTTTGTCCTTATGTCATTTTCTTGGCTTTTTCTGCATCTTTTGTTAGCTCTTTCAGTATCTTTAAGATAATTGTTTTTGTTTAGTAGATCTGACATCAGGTCTTTTTCAGGAGCTGCTTCTTTTTTTCCCATTAAAATGGGCCACACATTCCTTTTCTTTTGTATGTCTCTTGATTTTTTTTGTTAAAAATGGACATTTGAAGCTAATGATTTGATAACACTGGAAATTAGGTTCTCTCCCTTCCCTGGGGTTTACTGGGCTTTTGTTTTTGGTTTTGTTTTTTTGTTGTTGTTGTTGCTTACTGTTTTTGTTTTTTTAATTGTTGTAGGCTGTCTCAGTGCTGAGGGTTAGCCTGAGCTTAAGGTTAGGCTAACCTGACCTTAAGGTAAACTTAAGGTCTTCTCAGGTCTTTCTGAGCCTGTGCCTTTCCCTGGGCATACATAGTCACCTTCCAATATCCCCCATATATGCAGTCACTTCGGAATGTCCCAGTCTCTAATGGATGGCTCCCAAAAGGGGAAAAGATAAAAATTAAGGAGAAGAAAAAGAATGCTGGGTTTTTAAGTACCCTGGAAGTCACCTCAGCGAGAGAGGGGCTAGCAATAATGAGGGTGGGGCAATAGCAATGGCCACCTGCCTCTTTGTCTGTACTTCTGTGATGAGAAGCAGCAATTAATAATCACAGCACAAATACTTGGAGGACTGGGTCCTTATTGCCCACCCTGGCTCCCACAAGCTGTATGCAGTCTTCTTCAGGTCATGGGCACAGCTGCCTGCCACAGGGCTGGGGCGGTCAATAGGTAGTTACTACTGTGCTGAGTCTAAGTTGACCAAAACTAACTGAAATTTACTTCTAAGACATTCCCTGGAAGTTGCAAGCCTTCAATAGACTCCAGAATTCCAAAATAGTTACATCAGGCAGATTCTGCCAGTGCAGTTGTTGTCTGGATGGGTAAACAGATTCCTGGAGCTTCCTATTTCAGCATCTTGCCAGAATCTTCTCCCTATGTGTATTTATTTTATCACATCTTGAGATAGTTTTTGTTTCAGAACTTTGCTATCCACTATGCTGAGTAGAACTTCAAGAGCTGTCCCTGTGTCTAATAGACTAGAAGTGGTAGATTTCAGCCTGGGAGTACACACTGCGGTCACAACCATCCATATGGCAGGAAGTAGTCTACTGAGTTTTTGGCGGCCATGATTCTTTGGCATTTCTGGTTTGGTGGTCGTTGATTCCTAAATATTAAAGTGGTTCCCAGCATGTATCAGTTGTTTGTTTGCTAAATGACCTTAAATGTTCTGATACTTGCAGAAATGAAAAAAGCTAGTTTCTCTGTCAATAAGACTCTGATCTGAATGTGAATAAATATGCATGAGCAGTAACTTAATGCACATCTGGAAAATATGCTTTGTTAGAAATCTATCACTATTTTTTTTAATTTGGAGAGTTTTTCTCAAGAACAATAGAATGTAATAAAATTTAAGGAAGTGCATTTTACAAAAAGTATCAAAGACTTTATTAAACATCAACTCTTTACTTGAAGAAATAATGTTGTTTAAAAAAATCAATCTTGTGAATTGTCTCCTGGGAAGTTTGTCAGTGATTTCTTTCTTTCTTGTTCTTTTTTGTCCTTATATAAAGTAACCAAGCTTTATTCCTATAAGCTGTAAATTTTAACAGAAAGCAGATTCACATGTATTTATTAACATTCCTAAATTCTCAACACCACTTATTAATCCCTTAAAAACGATTGCTTCTTTATATGAAGATAATGGTAGTCATAAAGACATACATTATAGTTTCATTATGATGTTTGTGCTTTGTCTCAAGTTTCTTCTGAAATGCCTCCACTGAGTTAGGTGATAATGACAGCACTCAGACACACAGCCCAGAGGAAGGGGACAAAGGAATCCCAGGAAAGAAGTAGGAAAAGGTATTTGGTTAGAATTTAAAGTCAAGTGGAGGAATCAGTGAACCAGAAAACAGACAGGGGAGGCTGCTTGTTCATCTGGAGCTTACAGCAGCAGCAGGAGTTGGAATTCACAAAGCAAATGGCTGAGATGGGGGTGCCGGAGCACAGGAGTGACAGACCAGGGTAGGATGCAGCAGCCTCTACTCTGGGAAGAGGGTCCCAGCCACTACTGGGCACCATCTCCTTTTGAGGGGTGGACCCACGCAGCATTTAAGGAGGAAGCCCAGTAGATCTGGTTAATTAACGTGGTAATGGGACTCCCTAGAATTTAAGTCCAAAGCATGGTGTGATTTTCTTTGTTGAGCTACCACATATTGAAGTTCAGGAAAGAAACCACCCAGTTGATATAGCAATAGTATACAAAACCTGCTGGATTATGAGAAATTTCCAACATTCTTTATTATGTAAGCAAACACTTTTAATGCTTAACTGTGATAGGTTTGGAACTTTTTTTTCCAAGTTGTTACACAGAAGGAAAGCAAGAAAGAAAGCATGAAGGCCAATTAGAAGGATCATTCAATATTTCTCAGAAAAGAGAATGATGGCTTAGACCAGTGGTGATGTTCAAAATCTTACAAAGGTAGAAGACTAGCAACATTTGTGACTGAATTGGATAAGGAAGTGTGTGAGAGAGAGGAGCCAAAGGTGACTTGATTCTTCCTTTTCTGGGCAAATGGAGGAAGGGAGATTGTATTTATGAAGATGGAGGTCTGTGGGAGGTTTTGTGGGGAAAGATTGGGGGAGTTCAATTTTGGACATGTTAACTTTGAGATCTCTGTTAGATGTAGAGATCTACAAGTCTTTACAAGTAGAGATGTCAAGAAAGCATTTGGATATAAAACCCTAGAATCCAAAAGGTAAAGAATTGGTTTGGTAGTTGTTGGTATGTAGATAGAATTTCAAGCTATGAGACTGGATTTGAGCATCTGAAAAAATACTCAATATCTGAAATGTCTGTTAAGTAGATCCAGAAAAAATGAAAGGACGTATTAACTAAAACATCAGTATTCAAGGAACAATAAAGATAGAATTTATAACTGGGCTTCTGAGAGAGGTGGACAGATTTACAGAAGACTGAAGCTGGGAAACACCTAACCCCAGCTAAGACACACCATGATTGTCTAATTTATGCCTGTACCCCGAATAGGTGTCAGAGTGCCTGAAACATCATAGATGGCCATTCAATATCTGACAAATGATAAATGAATGGATGAATAAATGAAGGAAAGAAAGCTTGGTGGAAGGGCAGTCAGGCTTCCTGGAGATGGGGCTGGGCTGCGGGGGGTACTATGTAGCAATTGGGTGTCCCTGGGTCTTCCCACACTGGCTGTTTTCTTGGTTATGTATGACTATTCCTTAGGCTATGACTCTTTGACTTTCTTGCCTGTGGTATGAAAATTACGCTTACTATCTACCTTTTCTTTTACAATAGGGATTCACGGATGAGTGCTTAGGAATCACTAGGCTGAGAAAGGGAAGGGTGAATAAACCAGAAACCCCCTAGAGAAGCTCAGGGAAAGTCATTATTGTAGGGTTTACTACAGTCACATTCTTTTATCTTGCAGCACAAGTTCTTGGCATAGAATACCAATGAGCTGAGGCACATTACTAATTTGCCAGATCGACATAGCCTCTAGGGAGAAAAGCAAAAAAGCATTCCTATTAACTTCAGCATTGGGATAATTTGAATCTCTCTTCTAAGACATCTTGTCTCTTTTTTGGTTAATTACTGTGGCAAACCTTATTTTCTCTTTAAATTAAGCCATGAGATGCCTTTAATTCAACTAGGCTGCTACTAAAATGTGGTTTTCATGGGAAGGAATTAGGAGTCTTTCTTTTGAGAAAAAACATATATCATGTTGACTGTTGTCTCTTTGCCACTGATGTTGGAGAGGATGACCTTATGTCACTAGCCCACACCTGTGGAATAAGACGCTCATTTACAAACCTGCTCCGAAGAAGAAGGTAAGGATGCTGTTCCTGCACAGTCATGAACGGCTGCTGTTCCTCTTGAAAACCACAACCTCTTTCTCTAGTAGCATGAAGTGAGTGCTGTTTGGGAATCTCTTTTAACTTAGAGAGCTCTCAGGCACAGTATTGGCCTGGGCAGATTTCTGTGGTTGCTGCTCAGCAAAGAATAGACAGGTCTCACACTTGTGGAGCAAGCATTGTATGATGGCTGCCTCCCAAGCACTTTATCCAGGTCCACTCATCAAACACCACAACCCAAAAGATTGGGGCTATGAATATACCCTCACTGTAATAAAAACAAGAGAATAAGGGAGTTTCAGCAATTTACCAGCTGACATGCTGCTAGTGGGGAGTAGGACTGGACCATAATCTTACCATCACTGCAGTTTTGTCCTTCCATGATCTCTAATTGAACGGTTCATTTGTTCTGTCATTTCAACTGTACTATAAGCTTCTAGAGGTCAGGAATGTTTTCATGGTGCTCATTCCAGGGCTGCGGGAAACCCCAGTGCTAAAGCCAAGCCCCACAGCTGACTGCTGAGCCTGTCCTGTGTACCAGGCTTTGGGCAGGCATCCCACCCTGTGCCCCATTCCCAATGTAACGTATATGCACTGTCCTTTCTTAAGGAAATGCTGATGGTACTACAATTCCTTTCTCTCCTCTAGAGAGAGCATTCCCCAAGAGTAGGAACCATTGCTTTCCATCTACCAGCCCACCTCTTCTCCTAACTGACTCTGGGTGGTTAACAGACATGCCACTCTTCAGGGTGCTGTATATACTGTGTACTCTTACTTCCCCTGGATCCATGTTATTAACTAGTGTGGGGTAAACAAGAGAGAGAGAACAAGCACTGGTGTCCATTGGGCAACTATTTGCACACACTTGTATCTCTCCTATGAGATGCCCAAAGAGCAGAGATCTTGTGTTTCTCTTCTTTGAATGCCGCATCTGCTAGAATAGTACCTGATACACAGTACATGCTATTTGAAGGCATCACACCAAAATCCAGATAAAATTCTTCGGATGAATTCAGTGCTGATTATTTTCCTTTTCTGATATTTTATTTCTCCACTGTGAGTGACGAAAACTAGTATCCTATTCAAGAATTATTTTAAGAGTGTAGTTAGAATGAAATGATCAAAAATGAATTCAAGACTGATGGTCTTAATCGGGGCACATTTCATAAACAAGAGCAAATAAAATCTCCATGGCAATTTTAATATTTTTTCTCCTATTGTTAAAAATTGTGGCATGTCTTAATAGGCATGCATAGATGCAATAAGTGCTCATATGTATGCAAAGCTTGCTCTGATAATTATATATTACTGAGTCACAGTGATTAGTGAAATGCACAGAAAGAACACTAAGAACAATGCTATTTCATAAGAGACTAAAGCTGCTGAACTTTTGCTATAGAACTTCTGATAAATGATGAATGATATGAATAGAATTGTAGCAATAAACTAAGCCGAGATTCTAGTTTGAGTCTTATTTTAAAACTCAATACATGACAAAAAGCACACATTGTGTACCTTTTGTGTGCCAGGCACTGAAGATACAAAGTCAATGAAACACACAAAAGCTAATAAAAAACTCAGAATGCTTAGATCTTTGACTTTCCATGATCAGGTTGGAGTTATGTAAAATAAAAGAGATAACTGTTAGAGCACAGCTCCTTTAGAAACAGCCAGGGCAGTGGTATTGTCTTAGTCTGTTTTGGAATGCTATTACAAAATATCATAAACCAGGTAACTTACAAACAATAGAAATTTATTTCTTACAGTTTTGGAGGCTGGAAAGTCTAAAAACAAGGTGCCAATAGATTTGGTATCTGGTGAGGGCCCATTTCCTGGCTCACTGAAGGCATTTTCTCGCTGTGTCCTCACATTGTGGAAGGGGCAGGGGGTCTTTCTTAGGCCTCTTTTATAAGGTCCTTAATCCTGTTCACACTGATAATTAGGAATTTGTGGGAAGGTACAAACATTCAGGCCACAGCAGGCATTTATATGCAAGTAAAGGAGTCAATTTCAATTTATTTCTGATACTCGGCTTTGTAGGAACTGGGAGATAATTCTCCAGGGGCAAGGATCTTTTCAAATGTTCTTTAAAAACATGGAGGAAAAAACAAATGAACATTTATTGAGCATCTACTATTGCATAGACAAATAGCTCACAAATGCTGGTGATAAAGATCACTAAAAGACTTGTTAACAATACAGATTTCTGGGTTCCACAGCCAGAGGTTCTGACTCAGGAGGTCTAGGAATGTGGCCTAAGAACCTGTATTATAATGTAAGTGGCCTGAGGGCGGCATTATGAAAAAATAGATGTTGGTGGAGATGAGAAAGATGAATCTGAAGCAAATGTCTGCTATTTCTGGGCTCTATGAAGCTTGGCTGAGATCAACAAAATGTGGCTTTTCATTACAAACTAGATAGATGTCTGGTCACAGACTTCTGTTTCTGGCAATATGGGGAAATAGGTACCCTGGGAACTCTCACTCTACAAAATGCCTCTAAATACTAGGTAAAATAGAACAAACACCACCTACTAATCTTTTATATGAATATTTAGCTATTCTCAGTATTGTGTAATACGAATGCAGCTTCCAACCTGATTACGGCTCCCAAGCCATTCTTACTTTAAAAATTTAGAGATTCTGGAACTACCCGTAGTAGGCCTTTTTGCCTGACTTGACTGACGTACTGACTGGCTTGGTTCTACCTCAGATGTCACCTCTGACTGTCTCCCACACTCCTTCACTGAGCTTACATGGGTCTTGTTCTGACTTTAGTCAAAGAACAAACATAAGTTTGTCCCAAGAGAGTGGCTCCCGAGTCTCTAGGTTCCCACAGCTTAGTTATTTACTTTTTAAACTATTTTCTCCGACATCCCTGCTACTTCTTTATGATTCTGTTTATTCCCAAACCTAGTTTCCTCATCCCCTCGGCTACCAGATGTCTGCTTTAGATGAAGATCAACTGTTAGAAATGACTACTGCCTCACCCCTAACTGGCTCTGCCATTGGATCCTACCATAGGTGCTTTTGCTGTGGTGTTCCCAGGCCCTCTCCTGAGTGACAGGTTCAATTCCATGTCTGCTCCTTTAACCAAAACTCTCCCCATCTGGGTCCCCAGCTAGTCTTAAGTTATCCATTCAAGCATGATGGAAGCACACCCTTTTCACCCTTTGAAGGGTGAATTCAGACCAGTGGTATTTTCAAATGAATATGGTCTCTTTAAGATAACAATAACAGTCACATTTACTGAACATACAGAGAACACATACACATACACTGAACACATATGGAGAGGTCCAGAATACGCCACTTCAAAATATGCTACTTTGGCATGAGGATTATTGTGAGCTAAAGGCAGTTGAGAATCAACACACCTAAGAAAGGTTCTCTGCCTTCCCCTTTTCTGCCTAAAAGCAGAGCCTAAATTTCCCTTTGTGCAAGTGACCTAAAATACCCCCAACCCCAGTCCCCACACCAGGATGGGGAGAGCGACTCTTATCACCACAGACAGAGAACTAGAGCTAGGTTTACATAACTGAACCTTACTAAAATAACTCTTATCTTCCATTAGTTTTCCCCCACATATTTCCTAGTTCTCTTCCCATAATTTATTGAGCCTAGAAGCCCAAACCCTCCTTCCTTTTTCTAGTCACTTCTCCACAATTTCTAACCCTTTCTTAAAATTTTATAGTAGCCCTCAAGTCTAACATTCTTTGGGTTTTTACTTCTTTTCTGTGAAGCCTCTCTGCACATAACAATATTACAAATATTGTATGTCTTTTATTAATCTTTTGTCAGTTAATTTACAGTCTACAGGTTTGAACCTAAGATGGCAGAGAAAAAGCTTTTCCCCATTATATGTATTGCGTATCAGGCACTGTGCTCAATATGGGCTAGATTTTATTTTAGCCATTCCTCACATAGCCATGTAAGGCATTTCTGCTATTAACCCCCATGGTTTTGAGACTCAGGAGCTTAACTGCTTTGCCTGAGATCAACAAGAAAGTAAACTGAAGAAATACCCAATAGAGGAGCTTTGGGTAATGGAGCACAAAGGGGCTGTGTGGAGGAGAGAGAGGCCATACAATTATTGGTAAAATTGTAATTAAATGCATATTTATAAGTTCAGTCTTGATTAGTGGCCTAGGGAATTGGGAAACTGGGAAAACAGAAGGGGACAATCAGTGTATTATTTAGAGTAATGTTAGTTGGTTAGTTGGACTAATACATCAACCCCAAAATACACATTAGATTAAGACAAGCTTGTTTCCTGCTCATATTGCAGTTCTTAGTAGTTCAGGTCATTTGGGGAGTTTGGCTCCATGCAGCCATTCAGGAAAGAACCTGGAGCCTCATCACACATGAGAAGTGTTTATAGACCAGCCCAGTAATTGGTACCTATCACTTTCAGTCACATTCCATTGGCTAAAACTCAGTCATGTTGCCCCATCTAATTGTAAAGGAGACTGGGAGATACTGTCTAGCTGAGTATACAAAAGGCAGAATAGAACATGAAGTCTGGGGTGATGCCAGCAGTCTCGGTCCTAGTCCATCATTCTGCTAGCTCCCCAAATATCCATTCATATCCTTTTGTCCACCTCTGCTCACATTCTACTGGCTAAACACAGTCATGTGACTACTGACAGTTGCAAGGAAGGCTGGGAAATGAAGGCTTTCTGTGTACCTTGAGTCAAGGCTCCTGGGAAGAAGGTAGAGAAGATATCTTCTTCTCTCCCTAGAGGAGACAATTTAAGACCTATCCTGATACCACATCAAGTTTAAAGTCCAGGTTCTCCTGGTTATGTGCAGTCTACTCTATCAGGTCTGAGGGTAGCTTTGTATGGTTTGACAAACTAAAAGACAAGTTATCCTCTTCCTATCCTGCCAGGCATCCTCCATTACACTCACTCCTAATGCTGAAGCAGGAATAAGGTAATCACAACAAAAATGTCTCTATTGAAAAAGGGAATGAATGGTTTTGCACACACAGCAGTCGTTGGTCCGTAGCAATAATAAAATCCTTACAGGCAGGAATTGCAAGCCTCTGCCCTGGCATGGGGCAAAGTTCTTGATGTAATCCTGTTTCTATGTAGCCTAGAGGGAACTTCCCTATCCATCAATTTTTGTGCTTCTGTCCTCTGGGAGGGCTTTCTTGTTCATTATTTTATGTGTTCACAGCAGAAGGGAACTTCAGAGTATTAGAGAGGATATCCTCTTAGGGACCATGAACTTTCACCGCCCACTTTCTGCTCATGTGAGTTTGAGGAGCCAAGGTTGCAGTAAGACTCAAACCATCACAGGCGTTTGTTTTTGTTTTCATTTTGTCCGGCCTTCTTGGCAAGGTAATTCTTTCAAACATCAGAAGGCTTCTGTCTAATCTGTGTGATTCCACTCTGTTCTGTGCAGGAATATAAGACTTTTCCTAGATGTAATTTTCAAGTCTGAATTTATTTTCTTCCTGGACTCCATTATAGCCTCAATGTAATGGCAGCTGCTCTGAGGCCATTTGAACCACTGGTAAGGGTAGGGGAGAAAAAGCTCCACCCTTGATCTGATACTTGCCACAGGACAAGCCACTTAACTGAGAAAATTTAATGGGTCATTATTGCTGGAAGCCTTTTTTAGTCTTTTTCCTAAAATGTGTGGTCTAGCTATTTTCTGCCCGTTTTAACCCTGCTAGACCCTAAATTTATGCACCATCTCTATTCTCTCTCTTTTTGATTTTTTTTTTTTTTTTTTTTTGCTTACAAACTTGCCAGAATTTCCCAAATTCATCTCTTTCTTGCATCATGTTAAATGCACCAGCAGGCAGCATTTTAGCTGGTTTCCCTCCTTTCCAAGTTGTGTTAAGCAACCATTTTACCAAAGTTTTTGTCTGACCTAACGGGGATGTGGATCGCTGTAGAGCTCAGGCTGATGGAAGGTCTGTCATTTTCAAAGAGTGGCTTCCCAAGGTCACATGGCCTTTGTCACTTGGTTGCAGAAGGGGAAAGAACGTGGACATGCAATATGGCAGGTTTGCAGAGGCTATGGGCGGATATGGTGTGCACCATCTCTGCTCACATTCTATTGGCTAAACTCAGTCATGTGACTACTGACAGTTGCAAGGAAGGCTGGGAAATGAAGTCTTTGCGTGTATCTTGAGTCAAGGCTCCTGGGAAACTACTCATGCCCAGTAACTTCCCACTCACTCTTGTAAAACCCGAGGCTGACTGCTTTTTAGCCCCAGGAACACATCCTTCTATTGGAGGATTCTCTCCATCCTTGCCCATTCCCCAGTCTGAATATCTCATACTGACCTACTTGCTGGCCTCAGACATGTGAAACTGTATGAGAGCTCTGAGGTCTCACAACCCAGATTACCCAAAGTTCCCATACAATCCCCTCCACCCAGCATTTTCCTTCCTGTAGGATGTAACACCTTGCAAATAAAGACTGACACATATGTTTTAGCCTCAGAATAAAATTATTTTGTACTCCGAAAGAAAATAACCTGGATTTTGCAGAGCACTAACAATGCTGACCACAATTAGAAAGAGAAGCTTGTTCTCAACACTTTTGGGTAGGGCACAGGATATCAAAGAAGATATTTTTGATCTCCTGTAGCCTTGGAGTTTTGCTTTTGTTATTTTTCTTTGTGGGGTAAGGACTGGGAAGGGGAGGCTTTTCTCCATCAAGGCTGTTCACATATATCCAGGTATTCCTCTCTGCCATTGAAGTACTGCCTGCAAATAAAGCTTGGGGAATATAATACACTATCTTCTCACTCCTTTGGGAAAGGAATTATAGACTTGACATTTGGGCTCATGAAGTTTTTAATTTCAAATGCTGCCTTTTAGAAACTCCAGGGTCAGCTGTCCATGTCACTATTATGCTAAGTCCCCCAGGAGCTGTAGCAGTAGATTAACTCTTAACCTTCCCAGAGCTCCTTTCCACTGCCACTAGCTAGCAAAGATATAAATCAAAATGTCAAGGCTTGATCCTGCATACACATCCCATTAGCACCTGCATCCTTCTTGATAAGCATTTAATTGAGCACAATAAATGGTTTAGCACTGAATCATGGCAGATTGTACACTTGGGGTCTCCTGTAAGGTATCTGAGGAGGGAAGGAGCATGGGCAAGGCATGGGTAGTGGTTACAAGCCTGAAAGATCTTCAGTCACTTCTCAGTAATGTGCTAGAATCCACTGCCAGACTCTCACTTAAGGAGGAAACATCAAATCCAAATGGAGATTTGGGTGAATCATCTAGGCTTCTTTTGGTTGTAAGAATAAAGCTTCAGTAACAAAAAATTAATTTGTGGCCTTTCCTTTAAATGCAAAATGTCTTTCATCAACAAAAAAATAAGGTTAGAAAAATGCATGACTTGGACATAGGCACAACTATTCATGCTCCATTGGCATCAGGAGTCCCATAACCAACGTCCAAGGTCAATGAGGTGGAAATGGGGAGCCAATATTTTGTTGGCGGTTTATGGGAGGTTCCTTGATCCATGTATTCTAGTTACAGGCAAAAATGACAATATATATTGGTCTCTGGTCACATTGCTGTTAGCTTGTTGATGCTACAATTTGTAGTGATAAGGTGTATGGTAAAACCAGTGGATTCCATAGGTATAAGCTCATCACACACTTCCTGCATTATAAAATGAGTTACCTGGTCAGACTTGTCCTGTGGATGGATGAGGATGAGGCCTTCTAAAAGTCCAATAGAGGCACCAGCAGAGGTATTTCAGGCAGGGAATGTGAATCCATATTCAGAGGAAGTGATAATTCCAGGGAAGGCACATACCTTCTTCTGCCCCTACCTCTTGTGATGGGGGAGGGGGTCCAATATATCCAACCAGCTGGCCAGCTGACTGCCAGAAAGAAAGCTGCTAAATTAGAGGGCTTGGTGTCACCCTCTGCTGTGGTCAGGGTCAGCACTCAGTAGATGCTATGGCCAGGTCAGCCTTGGTGGAGGAAAGCTCGTATTTTTGAGCTCACACTTGACCATCAAACCTGCCAGTATGATCACTTCGCATGCAAGTCTAGTGGGCCCACTTTGGGGAGGTGGCAAAAAGAGTGACTGATAGCCACTCATCAGGCTACCTTATTCTGCTGTTTGATAAGAGCCACCTCTACCATAGTTGGGAAGAATTTCCGAGGTTCCCAAGTCCTCATGCTCTGACTTCAGAAAGGTCCATTCAAACACTGTTTTCCCAGAGCATTGATTTTTCACTTCCAAGTCCCTGAACATCCAGTGATGCCATTGGGCGTGACCTCTCACTCAATGTGGTTCCATACCTCTGGCCCCTCTCCTTGCAGGTATAGTGAACAAACCTGGGAGGACCCCCCTTTCCACTGCCCTTGAGGTCACTCCCCTGTGGTGCTGTAGAGCTGCAGCTGCTGGCTTTCAAAGATGCCAGCAGAACCATATGAAAATGAAGTCAAGGTTTCTTCTTCTTCTTCTTCTTCTTCTTGTTCTTCTTCTTCTTCTTCTTCTTTTCTTCTTCTTCTTCTTCTTCTTCTTCTTCTTCTTCTTCTTCTTCTTCTTCTTCTTCTTCTTCTTCTTCTTCTTTTCTTCTTCTTTCTTCTTCTTTCTTCTTCTTTCTTCTTCTTCTTTCTTCTTCTTTCTTCTTCTTTCTTCTTCTTCTTTCTTCTTCTTTCTTCTTCTTCTTCTTCTTTCCCCTGGTCACTGGGAACTTCCTGTTGGGCCACAGGTGTGAGTTGTGGTAAAGGTATCAGTGCAAGAGAAGGAGGTGCACAGAAGTTGAAGCCACTTGTTTAAGCAACTTACTTGTGCCTTTAAGCCCAATTTCCCACATAGCAGTTCAACTTGATGATGGACAGCAGCTACCATGCCCAGCTTTGTGGCTCAGTGACTTACAGCAGGGCTTCCCAATCCCTGGGCCATGGACTGGTACTGGTCTGTGGCCTGTTAGGAACCAGGTCTCACAGCAGGAGGTGAGTGGTGGGTGAGTGAGCATTATCACCTGAGCTCTGCCTCCTGTCAGACCAGCATCATCACTAAATTCTCATAGGAGCAGGAACCCTATTGTGAACCATGCAAGCGAGGGATCTAGGTTGTGCGCCCCTTACGAGAATCTAATGCCTGATGATCTGAGGTGAAACAGTTTGATCCTGAAACCATCCTACCCCCTCTCAACCACTGTTTGTGGGAAAATTGTTCAACAAAACCAGTCCCTGGTGCCAAAAATGTTGGGGACCACTGACTTAGGCAAGACGCAACTCTCAATGTGCATCTTGAGCTACATAGATGCTACCAGGGCCCAGAAGCAAGTTAGGAGCTATTTCTTAAAAGGAGAGGAGTTATATGAAGGAGTGGATGATCTTATTCCAAAATTTTAAGGGATTTCCCATATGTAATCTTCTATCAGGATCTGCTAATGCCCACCGTGGACCTGCTAGACATATGGCTCCTATGTAAGGCATCTTGCCCAGTAGGCTAGATCAGCTACAGAGCCTTCTGTAACTATGGCACCCATTCATATCTGGCAACCTGATGGGTAACTCGGGAAACAGGTTGGAACAGTATGGTCAAATAGAAATTTGACCAGGAATCTATTTCACAATCTATTTCTATACATAGTCCTCAGGTTACACTCAGTGTAAACCAATAAAATTTTGCAATTATTTTGTTGCATATTGTATTAGTCCATTCTCACACTGCTATAAAGAACTATATGAGACTGAGTAATTCATAAAGCAAAGAGGCTTAATTGACTCACAGTTCCACACACTGCACAGGAAGCATGGCTGGGGAAACCTCAGGAAACTTACAATCGTGGTGGCAGGTTGAAGGGGAAGCAAGCACATTTTCACATGGTGGCAGGAGACAGAAAGAGTGAAGAGGGGAGGGCTACACACTTCAACGACATGAGATTTGGGTGGGGACACAGAGCCAAACCATATCACATAGAGAATCTCTTTTGAGATCACATTTTATACTCCTCCCCTTAAAGTCCACAGTGAATCCATAGCTGTTATTAGACTCTAATTACAGATGTGAAAGTATTAAGAGTTGGTGAGGTGGGTCTGAGGGAGAATCGTCACCCCTTGCAAGCTAACTACTTCAGATGCAGTTATTATACAGTCTTCAAGTAAGAGGAGGCTCACCTACTCTGCTTGGGGAGAAAGGGCTACTCTGGCAGGTGGAGCTTGCTGGGACGTGGGATTCAAGGTCCTCAGAATGATAGGAACAGGATCATACTGATCCCATTCTAATCTCAGGGATGTTCTTTCCTGATTAACACTTTAACTTTACGTAAGATACCAGAAAACACTGCAATTTCAATTTGTATTATAATTTGGCTACTCGCAGGATTCAATTTTGGCCTGGTTAGTTTCCCTGAGTCCTGGTTGTTCAGCTATGAGAAATAAGGGATTTCCTGAGGACAGCCATTGAACCTCTGTATGCCTGCCTTAAGATAAGAATTTAAAGTGACAAGCATGTCACTGCCTTTTCCCCAAATCTTCGTTCCAGTGAGAAATAACCATTAAGCCCCACATTAAACCTTGGACTGTTCATTTCCGTCAGAACATTCCATGTAGCAGCTGCTCAATTTCCCGTATTTGGCCTTCTATAGGCACTTGGTTCCAGGCAACTAACTGCATTTGGGAACTTCAGTGGCTTTGCCACAACATGTCATGGGTGGTAAACATCCCATTTTCCACTGGCAATAAGGTCTCCACTACGTTCATATTTGGTCAGATCTGAGGAATCCTCTGGTAAGAAAAACTGTATCCTTCAACATTCAGATAGGGAACAGAAGCCACGCTATGCTCTCAAGGTTTAGAGGTTTTAATGTAAGGAAATAGTGGCGTGCACAAACAGTTGGAAGAACTATGAGTGAAGGCTGGGGAAGCTGCCACCAGCGATCTCAAGCTGGCACACCCGAGGGCGGTTCTTAAGTGCACCCCAGGAAGCCCCATAATTCTCCAGAACTTCTAGCAAGCTCCTGCCATTCTCCGCGTAAGAGCAATGAAGTAGGGGGGTCTCCAGAAGTTGCTGTGAAGCCACTGTGAATCACGCATCTGCTCACACCTTTGCCACCAGTTGCCTCTAGAAACTCATGGCCCTTCACTCTCTTTTATCTTTGAAATCTCCTCTGAGTGCCTCTGATTGACAGTCTTACCCAGACCCACATGGAGTGAGGATTCTGGGGAGATGGGGTGCACAGCTTCTTTACTGCAGAGTAGAGGGGACCCCAGGGTGCAGCATTGGCAACAGCTAGACAACTGCAGACTGTCATGTGTGAGAACATCTCTGCTTTTCTATGGGTGGGGAATCTTGCTCCCAATTTGGATAAAGTCATGGGAAAATGGAAATACAGTGACTTGGGCAAGGAGCAATTGGCTTGCAACGGAAGAACTGAGGGCTCACACTCAAGTGTGGTGAGCTGCTCTACAGCCACAGATCATTCCGTCCTGACGCATGTCTCTTTTCCAGGGTCACTTTGCCACCTTCTCCCTTTTACCCTCTTAGGGCTCTACCTCGAGGTCTGCTGGAAGGGAGCCACTCTGGCTCACTGGAGCCTGGGCGGCTCCATGGAGGAGAAAGGAGGGAACCCAGGCGATGGCCAGTGCCACCTGTTGGACATGTGAATGTGACCATCTTGAACCGTCCAGCCCAGCTGCCTTTCCAGCTGAACATAGCTCCTGGAGTGTGCCAGGAGAAGCAAGCAGAGAAACTGCCCAGCAAAACCTTGTGGAAGCATGAGGAATGATACATCATTCTTTTTTTGAGCCACTATGGTCTGTTGTGCCGCAAGATAACCAATATACCACAGTGGGAAAGCTCCAATACAGTGCGAAGCTGGAAAGAAGAGAATGCAGAGGGTAGCTGTACTGTTTACAACGCTCCCTCTGTTTGCTAGCTTCATTTTGTTTAGTGAGTGTGCAGATTCTGACAAGGATCATTTAGATATGTTTGACCTCGTCCTTGGAGCCATGAATCGGAGACCTCTTGACGGCAGGCACAGATCCTCTATATGGAAAAAACAAAACAAAACAGAACGAAATAAACAAAAAAAACAGGACAAGAAAAAATGTTGAAAAACATATTTACCTATATTTCTCATTTCATGAAAAAGGATTCCTGCAGTTTTCTTTAGAGAGCCTTGAAAACAAATCATCACCACAAAGACTTGGTTTTATTTCACTTCTAAAATTTAAGGAGATGAAACTTCCCTGAAAAAGCAACCATCTGCAACGTCTAGCATTCATCAGTGTTCTCCTCTATTAATTATTTAGATATACTGGGCTGGGGAGATTGAAATATAATAATAATACCACCAACAATTCATATTCACTAGGTGTCAGACTGTGTTAGATAATTTACATGCTGTGTCTAAATTAATAATTGCAATAATTCAGTGAGTAGGTACTGTCATTATCTCTACTTTACACATGAGGAAACCAAACTCAGAGAAAGTAGGTAATATACACAAGGTCACATAGCTAGTTTGGGAGGCAGGGACTGACCCATGACTTTCAAATCAATAATGTGATCCCAGGTGCTTGCCCCAAGGGCTTGGATATAGATGCAATTCTGGTCACTGGGTGCTATGCAGCCTGTGTTGCTGTGGACATTTGGGGCTCTGGCCCTCATCACACTTAGATTAAAACAATGAATAAACAAAAATCAGGATGTAGATTTTCCTTTCTGATCACTCACACCATTTATCAGAGCCCAGTTTCTTTTCACTAGACCCAAAGTCTTCCCTAATATTTTTTAAACTTGCTTTTTAAAATTTGTGATTATATTTACTGTCCTTTTAAAAATATATGTAATATAAGGTATTAGGACAAGACAGAAAGTACCCTTTTTCCCCACTGCCCAAAGATAATTATGGTTACAATTATTTTGGCATCTTTAAAGATTTTGTTTTTTTGTTTGTTTGTTTTGAGACGGAGTCTAGCTCTGTCGCCCAGGCTGGAGTTCAGTGGCCCGAGCTCGGCTCACTGCAACCTCTGCCTCCTGGGTTCAAGCGATTCTCCTGCCTCAGCCTCCTGAGTAGCTGGGACTACAGGCGCCTGCCACCACGCCTGGCTAATTTTGTATTTTTAGTAGAGACAGGTTTCACCGTGTCGCCCAGGCTGGTCTCGAACTCCTGACCTCAGGTGATCTGCCTGTCTTGGCCTCCCAAAGTGCTGGGATTACAGGCATGAGCCACTGCACCTGGCCATCTTTAAAGATTTTTAAGTCATAGAAGTATATAGGTATGACATGTACGTATATCTGTGTATAAATTTATAAGAAATATGTGTGTCTATATGAATAAGAAAGAGACTACAACATAGATACAGTTTTCTATCCTACTTGTTTCCCTTAACATTACATCATATTAGTTCCCGCATCATGCACTTTTGTTTAGACATGGCTTTAACGGCTGCATGGAACTCCCCAAGGCTTTGTTGCAGTCATTCTATGATGTTTTCTCTGAGTTAGGACATAAAAGAGCTAGAGTCTAAGACAATCTTCTTGGAAATCCCATTCATGGTGGATGTCCCCATGTTTTTGACACAGGCAAGCCTCCATCTTTATACCTGTATTCACTTTGTTCCTTACGCAAAGAAGTGGGGGGTGAACAGATTACAGACTTTGAGAAAAAGGACCTGGGCTCATATCCTGCCCTGCCACAGTGACCTTGATCAAGGAGGAGAGCCTCCTAGAGCCTCTATTTCCTTGTATATCAAATGGGGGTGATTATATCTATCTTCCAAGGATGTTGTGAGAATCAGGTAATGTTGGTGCAGCATCTGCTACATAGTGGGTGTTCAGTCTCAACATGTATGTTATTTTCTACTTTCCAGGCTTATTTTCCTTGGAGAAGGGAGACGGAGGCTAATTTTTGAAAGCGAATTATTTGTCTCGTATTGTCCATAAGTATGGCTGTTTAGTATGTCTGGTGGCTAATAGGGCTTTGTGGCAGGCTCCTTTTAACAGTCGATAACACAGTAATAGCACAACAAAGGGATCAAGGGCTACAGAGCCAGCTACCTGGATTGGCTCTACCCCTTACCAGCTCTGTAACATAGGTTATTTCTCCATGTCTCAGTTTTCTCATTTGTCAAATGCAAAATCAATGGTACTTTGTCTATAAGATTAAATACATCATTTCATGTGGTGTGATATGGCAGGACATTGGGCAGCATGAAGTGCTTAATAAATATTAGCTCTTACTATTCAACATCATCTTCCAAATCCGGTAATATACACAAGGTCACATAGCTACCATGTGTTGATTTCAGCACAGTGTGCAGAAGTCCTGCATACCATCCCAGGCTAGGCCCGAAAGTGTCCACGAGGTCCTGCTGCTCTCTCCCCATCTGGTGGCTCATGCAGAGGCTGCAGTGGGGGGCGCTGCAGCCCTCAGGCAGGGGGAAGAGCCTCAAGGTGTAGAACCTGTATCCGCATTCCCCATGTGGAAGAATGTTGGCCAAACACCCTATTGAACTATCATGGATGCACAACCCAAATCTTATATTTGGGAGTTGTTACAACAACAACTTGCTTTATTAATATAGCAATCATTTCCTCATTTGCAGGGGTAAAAACTATGATAATTGCTAAATTTTTCTCAATGTAAAGTATACCGTCCATATTTTTCTCTTAAGCGATTGGCCCCTACTGTTGTCTGCTAATGATGCCAGCAAATGACAAAACTATTAAGTCATGAATGAAGATAAATTATAAACTTGAGGAATTAATTATCATTCTTAGCTCAGAAATTTGCTTTGTTGATCTTCAGGCATACTCATGGTTATAATTACAGAATGTACCAGTACCTTAGAAGAAAATCCTGGAAACAGTCGTGGAGTGCTCTTTAAAACTAGTGCATTGCCATTGCTTCTGATGGTGCAGAAGACAATTTGGGATAGAAAAAAAATCATAGAAATTGGCCAGGCGCAGTGTCTCACACCCGTAATCCCAGCACTTTGAGAGGCTGAGGTAGGTGGATCACTTGAGGTCAGGAGTTCAAGACCAGCCTGACCAACATGGTGAAACCCCGTTTCTACTAAAAATACAAAATTAGCCAGGCGTGGTGGCACAAGCCTGTAATCCCAGCTACTTAGCAGGCTGAGGCAGGAGAATCGCTTGAACCCGGGAGGCGGAGGTTGTACTGAGCCAAGATCGCACCATTGCCCTCCAGCCTGGGAAACAAGAGTGAAACTCTGACTCAAACAAAAAAAAGAAAAAAAGGAAAAAAATCATAGAAATTAATGACTCATTCAAAAAGTGATTCGAAAGAGAATTACTGTTAAGTATAAATGTTTTGAGAATAATTTAAATGGTCAGTTTCACACATATTGTGCTTTCCTTTATATCCCTTGGTGATATGTAATGAAAAATCTATGCCTAAATAAGTCTAAAGTGCTTTTTTTTACAAACTTCGAAGTTACTATTGTTTACTGGAAATATAATGTGAGCAGACAATTTTAAATCTTCTAGTAAGCATGTTCAAAGATATAAAAAGGAATGTCAAAATTAATCTCAGTAACATGTTTTTATTTGAAGAAATATATTGAAAATATCAGTTCAACATGTACTCAATATAACAAAGTTATTGAGGTATTTTACATTCACCTTTTCATATTAAGTCTTGGAAGTCCAGCCTGTATTTTCCACTTCACACTTCAATTCAGGACTGGCCACATTTCAACTATGCCAAATTCACACGTGGCTCATGGCTACTGTGCTTCACAGTGCACACCTAAGTGGGACAGGAGACTCATGTTCTAGTTTGATTACGTTTTTATTTGTACTGGGGTGCAAAAGAATGGTGCATTTTATGCTTAGTGATGTCTTAGATTAGATGAAATAGGGTAGTTTTTACCTTGCATTGAAAAGGGGATTTAAGGTAAGAAATAAATTTAGGGAAAAATATTTGTTTCTCACACATACCTACTATGTAGTTTTTGGAAGAAAGTTGTGTGAGAATGCAATTTCTTGCACAATATTCCTAAAAATGAGTTCAGTGAGTCACCATCACTGCTAGCTCTCCGTCTACTTGGGCCCACGTGGGTGGCTGAGGTCCCTGAAATGTCTTCTTCTAGGTTTTCTAGCACCCTCCTGGGCTCTCCCATACCCCCTTTAACCTCTTCATGCCAGCGTTGTTTTAAAAACTAAAGGGCATATTGCTGTTTCTATCTCCTTTTTTTCCCATCCTTGGGATGGTAAGCCAGCAATAACAAGAAAAGACATATTTTCCAAAGTCATTGATTTTTCTTTTGCTTTGACTTTTCTGATCAGCTTCTCACGGGGTTCCTCATTCTTAAGTACTGCTTGTTTCTCCAACATGATACAATGAGCTAGGAGAGTGGCTGGGCATAGAGCTTGTGGAATGTCAATCCTTCCTGGCTGCTTTCTCTATACCACATCAGAGGCACTCTTTATATTGGGCCGTGACAATCACAGAGGCTGCCTTCTTATAACAAAATAATTGTACTTGACTGACACATACAGTTCAGAAAGACTCCGGGGCTCTGGGGATTTAGAGGACTGGAAAAGCCTCTGGAAAAGCCCAATGTTAGTCTCCATAAATTTGAAAGCACAGTTTCTCACAATATTCAAAGTGCAATGATCCTCTGTAGAATTTTTTAGTGTTAGGTCAGCATCCCAGGGCAAGGCTGCTATTAGAAGACTAACACAATGCTCCTGACCAAACGCTTTGAAGCCAGTCAGAGATTGCATGTCTGGCTCTGTCATTTCCTGGCTGTGTGTCACAGGCTGACACCTAACTGCTCTGACTTCAACTTTCCTTGGCTAATATAATACCTATTTTAGAAGGTGGTCTTATGAGGATTACATGTACATCGTCTACCACAAGACCAGCCCAAAGAGTTTTCCACAGATTGTATTCATGATCAGGAGTCAGCAAACTGTTTCTGTAAAAGGCCAGGTAGGCATGGTGGCTGCAAAGTCTCTGTTGCAACTACTCAACTCTACCCTTGTAGGGTGAAAGCAACCATAGACATGTGAATGAATGAGCATGGCTGTGTTCCAATAAAACTTTATTTACAAAAGTAGGCTGTGGGCCAGCCCGTGCTCTAGGCAATGAGGGGCTTGCAAAGATCTAGTGCAGGAGGGCGTTCTCCCTGCCACATTTTGTGCACCAGGGTCTCTTGAACATAGCACTTCAGCGCATTCAGTGGGGTTGACTGGGTATGCCTTTGGTTGTGAGGTAGTTCTGTTTCTGAGTTGATGATTTTGATACGCAAATGGTATCTGGGACCCCTGGACTTACTTTTCACTCCCTCTCACTTTAGCCTTCTCTCTCTCTCTGCTGTTCACTTCACCTCCTTCCCCTAGCTCCTGCTGTCTCTGAGTGCAACGTATCTTATACAATTCCTTTCTCTTCCTCTGAATCCTCCCGGCAGCATCTAGTGCTAATGGACACCAAGTCTTCTGTGTGTGCCCCTCAGAGTCCCTGGAGTATGCGCATGCCTGGCTTCTCCGAGAGCATGGAACAATATCCTTCCAGTGATCCACTCCAGCCCTTCCCGATCAGGGCTGGTGCAGCCATGTCTACCTTTTAATTAGCTGGAAGAAAGTGGTCATCTTGTGGGGAAAGAAACACAACAACAGCATGAAGGTGGTGAGAGTCCTCTCTGATTCAGCACAGCTGTTTGAGGTGATGGATGACTCTGAATTTCCTACCTGCTCACACTGTCCTCGCATCAAAAACCCCAAAGACTTTCTTGATTTGAGGATTTCCTCACATTCTAAACAGAAAGCGCAAATGACCGAGAATTTCTTTCCAGGAGCCTAATTAACTGATTTTCTCTTCATGTCACAAGTATGAAAATACCAAGGCCAATTTGACATTGTGGTGGGTTGTAGGTGACTCAGCTGTCTTTAGGCTTTCCTCGAATAACTTATTTATGTTTTCCAAGACTTAATGCCCTGTCAAGCTGAGGAAGAGTCTCCCAAAGCCATGCATTCATCAAAATCTTGGGTTATTAAGTCAACATCAAGATTTGTTAGCCTAAATATATGCCTTTTCCACTTGATTTCGCCACTTTCATTCTCCGGCATGTGGCCATTAATCCCTGGAAGAAAGAAACCCGCCCACCTGTGGTTTTAGGCCCAGGCTGCGTCCATATTCATGGCTGAAGGCCTGCTGCTGTTCCTTCTGTCGCCACTCAGTCTTCTAATTAGATTTCAGCTTTGCCATTTGTTTTCCTAGGGATGGATTGTTATTTTGCCACTTGCTCATTTGTATGTGTAACTTCTACGAATTAAAACAAGAAACTTCTAGACAAATGAAAACATGTTTTATTTACAAGAAAAAAGTCTGTACATTGTGTATACATAAAAATATACAAAACCAAAATAGAAAATATCCAAGTGTTAAAATGTGTACAAACACTTTTAAAATGCGACTCCTGGAAAACTTCAAGCTTTAATTAGTTTGAAGAGTACACATTTCATTTTAAAAATTATCATACAAAAGAATTCCCAAAGCTGTTAAAAAAGTTCACTGGTTTCCACTGGAAGAATTGTCTAAGTATTTCATCTAGAATAAAACAGGATTTGTTATAAATGTTAGATTTTAACACCACCAATGCAATTTCTTTGTTTCCAATCTACCTAGCAAGAAGACTATTTTCCATAGAACCAGTAAATGTTTCTTCTAATCTTTGAAAGCCATGAGCTACAGCTAAGCTTCCCTTCAAAGTTCAGTGTTAAATCAGGCTTCTGACTAGGATAAAATATTAAGGTAGTGTTCTACCTTCATAGTGCCTTTTAAATAATTCTGTCAGTCCATTTTAATGTAGCCAAGATGTGCAGAGTATGAGTGTGTGGGAAGCGGTTGGCGGAGGACTGAATTTTTTTTCTTTTAACAGAAGGACATATAACATTTGCTTCCTTCTCTCAAAATATTAGTGGTTACATAATTAAAATAAAATTTATTGTAAAGGTTTCAGTCAAAAATATTGATGAAAAAGCAATATAAAACCAACCATGTGTGTAGATATGTATATACACAATTATATAACTATATCTACATGTACACTTTTCATACTAAGAACTAGATCAATGTCTTTAATTCCTTAAATGTCATTAGCTCAAGTTTGAACAGAAACATATTACATTACTTTTTTTTTAACCAAAAGGCTTCATTCATTTAATAAAACAAGAACTTACATTTTATTTCCTTGAACGGACAGAGAAATACCTTTCATTTATCAAGTGTGTAAATAATGCCCATGTGACAGAAACATGCATAATAATCTCATAAGAGAATATCCAGAGATAAAAGACAAGTTGAAACTCAGGGACATTTTACCCAAGCAATTAATTTCCAGATGGAGTTGCCTTGATCAGTCATGTAACCACTGGGTAAGAGTTCTAAACTATCAGAAAGAGTTCTAAACTATCAGAATCAAAACAGACAATACAATAGAACATACTTGGAAGCTACCTGGCCAATAGGTTCACTCATGTCTTTCTGATAATTCCCCTGGTCCCACCTCACTCCCTTTCTCTGTCTCTTACCACAGCTAAGCAGAAATTCAACCAAGTAACTGACCACATGTACTGTGTGTTGATCTATAAGAAAAACTGGAGAGAGAACTTGAATCATGGCATTTGTGCGTATGAAATTCAATCACATACTGGCACTCATCTAAGACTGATCCCACTTAAAGCACCCAAACGGGACCTACCTAATTAATTCAGGAGATGTGTTACTGCTCAGAAGAGTCAATCAGCAGCGTAAGTATGATCTGTCCAGCAGAATTAACTGGCTCATACACATGTAAGAGAGTGACCCAGCTACTTTGATTTCCTAATTTTGAAAACGCTAATGATTATTTTAGCATTTCTTTTTTTGCAGATGCTATGGCTACAATGACTGAGGACTACTGGAGAGTCCAGGATTGATTAAGTGTCTGGCTGAGAGACCAAGAGGACCAGACACATGGGAAGTGCTGTTTCTCGAAGCTCTGCCTTCAGGCAGACAAGGAAAGACCTGGTCGTTCAAAGATGTATAAAAGCCCTCCCTTGCCCATCCAAGCCTGATGCTTACATGCAACTTTTAATTGACCATCCCTTGGTCCTGAGCACAAAGTTCTCTGTAAGAGCAGCTCTATAAGGACATAGTGAGAAAGGTCAGCTCCCTGGGACGAGCATCGGTATTCCATGAGAACACCAGGTCTGTTAAAGGTTACCCGTCTGCCTGGTGTGACTGGCTGGAGAAATAAGGTAGGGAGAATCTAGATATGGTTGAATTGTCATTGCTGCTCAAAATTTGTTTCTTTGTAACAACAACAACAACAACAACAACAACAACAACAACAACAACAACAGGTGAAATTATCTTGAAATACAAAAGAACGTCTGTTGGTCCTGAGAGTGAAAAAAGGAATCCTTAACAGCTTCAGCTTGCACCAAGAGGATTTTTTTTTATCAGCTTCCCTTCATAAGAGAGGATGGAGGATTTTGGAAGAGACAGAACCTGGGAGAAATTCAGTGAGCTGCCACTTACTGTTAACTACTCCACAGAAGAACTATATGTTTATTGGAATTCAGTAAATGTGGCATGTAAGGATTTAGTCAATGTCTGGCAAAATGCTGCCACTTAGGACCCATTTGGCTAATACTAGAAGTAGTCATCAAGTTAACTGTAACTGCCCAACATTTTCTTAGAAGCCAAAGAACTTAAACTTTTATAGAAGAACGCCCAGTCAGTACTATATTAATGTGTGTATTACATTTATTGACTGTTGAACAGAGCCTGATTCCCAAGAGTCTTTAAGGCCATAATAAATGCAAAAATTGTAACTAAATTTCCTTTGTACTCTTCAGTCTTTCTTGTAACCTCAATGAAACTGAAAGTACTATTTTAAAAGTACAATGACTACGACAAAATTCCATTTAAAAATCTTTAAAGTGTTGGGTTCTGAGGCTTTTGAACTTGAATATTTACACTGACCCCAATAAATTCTCCTCTAACCAAGTTCTCATGTCAGCCAAGGGGGATTATGCTGGATAGTAAGGATGTCTACAAGTAAATCCACTTGCAAAACTATAAAAGGAGCTTCAGGGGCATTTAATGGTCTGGAAGATCTAGAAAGATCCAAGGAGGGTAGGGAGTAATATTCATCCACCACAGCCACCTCACCCACATTCCAGAGTTGCTGAAATTATTACACACATGTAAACATAAGGACAAGACAAAGTTTTTTCAAGAAATTAGAAAGGAATGACCGGGCGCGGTGGTGGCTCACGCCTATAATCCCATCACTTTGGGAGGCCGAGGCAGGCAGATCACAAGGTCAGGAGATCGAGACCACCCTGGCTAACACGGTGAAACCCTGTCTCTACTAAAAATACAAAAAATTAGCTGGGCGTGGTGGCGGGTGCCTGTAGTCCCCAGCTACTCAGGAGGCTGAGGCAGGAGAATGGTGTGAACGTGGGAGGCAGAGCTGGCAGTGAACCAAGATCGCACCACTGCACTCTAGCCTGGGCGACAGAGCGAGAGACTGTCTCAAAAAAAAAAAAAAAAAAGAAAAGAAAAGAAATTAGAAAGGAACATGGCTTAACCATGTCTATTTAGACATAAGTTAATATATAGGACAAAGTTACCTATCCCTTCTCATTGACTTAATAACAAAACTCTCAAAATGGGCTTTTATTGGATATTATTGTGATTAAAACTTTCCAATTTCTCCTTCACTATTATAGCAAGCTATAGGAGATGTCTTGTTTTCCAGCTCCATATCTGCTGAATAGACTAACCAAACAGAAGCCTTCAGTCTCTGTAAGCCATTCTTGCTCAAGAAAGTAGTCCTGAGAACAGTCTAGAAGAAACCAATCCTGAAACAAAGAAAACTTTTCCACTAAACTCTCCTGACATTCATACATTTTGCAAGGGAGAACGCATTTAATTAAGCTGCTATTGTCATTGCAACAAGTCTTAACTGTACCATGGAGATATGTTTTGGTTATACATTGAAATAATAGCATGTTTAATTAAGGTATTACAGAATGTTTCTGTTTCACTATATTCATAGCAAAAATTTTTCAATGTATCAGTGACAGTTGAGATTAAAGAAAAAATCAACCCTGAATATAGCTAACATATTGGGATGAAAATTTCCCTCTAGCTGCCTTTCCCTCTGAAGCATCTACATATTTTCCTTGTTAATAAGCAATGCTTTCACATAAATTATTTAATTATATGGCTTTGTCATGCTGCTGACATAAAACATATCTGCAAAAGCAAGGACTGGATTCCTAAATGTCTGTAGGAAGATTTAGTGAAGATTCAGTGCTCATCACTGTGGAGTTCCCACTGGCTGATAAAAACCTGCAAGAAACCTGTATAATAAAGACAGGCGTGCATCCCTAGAAGCACAGGGTGATGGCTCCAAAATCTTTCCTTCTAGTTTGGAAGGAGCAAGGTGTCTCCCGTCTTCCCCAGCACAGCTGTGCCAATTGTCAAGTGTGTCACTGACTATGCAAAAGCTGCAGGGTAGATCTGCAGGTGAGGAGGTACAAGGCAGAAAAGCCAGAACCGGGGAGTGTCCAGGGGCACCTGCAGCCCTGTGATTCTATGTTACTTGCCAGTGATGTGCCTCCTGGTGGATGTGATACTAATGTTCCTGGTTGAAATACTGCAGGGAAACAAAGGGCCTCCTCTGTGGTGCTATATGGAATTTGGCTTTTTCTTGGACCTTTCAAGATGGATGTTTTCTGGTTTTAGAACTCTGTCTTGATGCACAGAAAGCAAAGCATTCAGTGGGCAATGGGAGGCAGAGATGAAGAATGCAACGGTTGGAAATAAAAGCCTTTGCCAGGATGTGCTGGGAATTTTTTGCTGTTAAACACATCTGAGTGATAATTTCAATGTCTGTCATAAAACCTAGGATATTTAATGATGAATGCATGTATAACTGACACACTCGATGCTGTAAATGATGTCCCTCAATTTGAATGTTTCTAAACATAAACCACTTCATATGGTCAGGAACATCACCAAAACCTGTCATTGAAACCAACCCTGATGAGGGGTACTCATGGCAGAAGAATAAGTTGTTAACATTTCTGGAGGTATCATACCCATGGTCATACATGTGTTTTCTTTCTAGCTATCCTTGGTTTTGCATCTTTCTTGAGCCTTATTTTTTTAAAAAAACCATTTCTATGTTCAAAGCAGTAATACATACTCAATGGCTTAGAAAGAGAAGGATTATCATGACCACCACTAAATTACTGTTTAAAGACTCAAAACTACACTGTCTAAAATCTATCTTCAAGTATTCTTTTGTGACTTTGAGTACAACAGTAGTACCTTATTGCACATTGATTCCCAAGAAACCCTTTTTAAGAGTGTGGAATGACTGGACTTGGTGCAGGGCAGTGCACCGCCTGGAAGCCGGGAAGAACCACCTTGCCCTTGCGATGCAAATCCCCCTGCGTGCCCATGTTCAGGCGCTGCACCAGGAGCTTCTCATAGAGTAGTGGGTGGTACGCCCCGAGGGTGCAGGCTGCGTCGTAGTACAGCTCGTGGTAGTGGCACAGCTCCGTCTGCCGCACGGATGGGATATATTCATACACGTGCACCTCTCTGCACATGGACATCATTATGAGGATTCCTGACATGAAAACCAAAAATTAGAACCTAATGAACAACTCCATGTGAGAGGGATGAGTTTTTTGGGGGAGGGGTGGTGGTGATGGGATATGACTGTGGCAAGAGACACTTACTTTTTTGTTGTTGTTGCATTTGCAATGTTATAACTTCCATTAAGTGGTGTGTATGCAGTTCATGGAGTATGGGGGCATATTAAAATGTAACACTATATATATATATATCTATTCGCTCATTTAATTTATCACTGTGGGCCTGGTAAGGAGAGATGAAAAGAAGTCAGTGAACTTGAGGGAACCACACGCTAGTGAAGGACAGATTTGCAACCCCCCAAATCAGAGTTTCCTGTATCACATTCTATACACATGTCCCATCTGGTTTGCAATGATGGGACAGTTATGTTCCAAAGAAACAAATGCCATAAAAACTAAATTATAAAATAGTTGCTTGATTATAAATTGACTATAATACAGTTGTTTGAAAACTTGTAACATAAAACTGTACAATGGATCAGCTCTTATACTATAGTTGTCTGAATGGAAAGAAATGGAGTTAAAGCGACAGAGTTTAAGATTCATATTAACAAAATTATTTTTCTCACTGAACTATCAGTGTTAAACTTTTAATTTTTTAATGTTTCAAATAATCAGCTATAACAGCTAATCATCACTGAGTACATTTTATTCTTTTTTTTTTTTTTTGAGACGGAGTCTCACTGTGTTGCTCAAGCTGGAGTGCAGTGGCGCGATCTCACTGCAAGCTCCCCCTTCCCCGATTCACGCCATTCTCCTGCCTCAGCCTCCCAAGTAGCCGGGACTACAGGCGCCCACCACCACGCCCGGCTAATATTTTGTATTTTTAGTAGAGACAGGGTTTCATTGTGTTAGCCAGGATGGTCTCAATCTCCTGACCTCCTGCTCCCCCCACCTCGGCCTCTCAAAGTGCTGGGATTACAGGCATGAGCCACCGCGCCAGGCCTGAGTACATTTTATTCTTTATCTAGACTAATGGCTTTCTTTCTTTTCTCAACACCACCATGCCACTATTAACTTGAAAGTTAAAAAAAAAGACATCTCTTTTCTGAAAGGGATGTCCCTTGTTATAAAAAACATAAAGCAGCACAGTTATTCTTGTTATAGCCAATATTTATCTGAAGATGACAGTAATATTCCCTAATTAACCAACCATGTGTGCAACACAAAAATCCCATACCAGAGGAGTCCTGTATAAGGGACACTGGGAGAGAAGAGAGAAAGGGCCTAATTTTGCTGAGGGGTTCCAGAAAGGCTGCCCAAAGGTGGAGAAGTGTGAAGCTCAAGGGGCTGCCTGGTGGACAAGGGGTAGAAGGAAACAGGAGAGGGGATACTGCTCCAGAGTCAGCAAGGATAGCTTGTGTAGTAGATGTCAGAGTCATGATATGGTATCATAGTTGAGAGTAAAACACACTCCTAACAAAGACAAGGGGATTATGCACTTCAAATTCTATGCAGTCAAGTTGCTCTCAAGAGCGATGGTCAGAACCTCAAGTTACTGGGTCAATTCCTCTTGTTTTTCTCCCAGGTCCCTCTACCAGTTTCCTTCCTTCTTCCATGGCTGCCTGGCTGCTGCCCCTCCCTTAGATCAGCCTAAAGCACTGTGATTCAGGCATTCGGGTGGCACCAATTGAGGAAAAGGAAGCAGTACCCCCCAGATGCTCGAAATGTCTGCACCCATGGAGAAACATGAGTGCAGTGGTCAAAAGTCTGCCTCCTGATTAGTAATGACTGCTCTCAAACATTTTTTCTCCCCTGTATAAAATCATATACAAGGAATTCACATGGTGAATGACATCTGCCCATGGAGAATTAAATTCTTTTATTTCCAGTCACTTGCCGACATGGTGAAATCCCATCTCTACTAAAAATACAAAAAACTAGCTGGGCATGGTGGCATGTGCCTGTAATCTTAGCTACTTGAGAGACTGAGGCAGGAGAATCACTTGAGCCTGGGAGTTGGAGGATGCAGTGAGCCAAGATTGCACCACTGGACTCCAGCCTGGGCAACAGAGCAAGACTCTGTCTCAAAACAAAACAAAACAACCCACAAAAAAACCTTAAACAAACAAGAAGTGCTCTGGTGTGAATGTTCTCTGGTGGCTGAAGTTTTCCCAGAGCCTGTGTCTGTGGAGCTGAGGACGGCTTCATGTTTTCTAATCAGGGGCTACAGACCAAGTTGCTGTGCACTGCCCAGCATTGGGGGCTCCCCATCTCCTGGGCATGACATCTGCTCTGCCAGCTCTGCACAAGGAATCACGCTGAAGGGGGTGGACTTCATCACGGGCATCATTAATCAATATATTTATTACAACACTTTGCTTGCACATGGCAGGGGGGTGGCTTCAAGAGTGTCTTTTACACAAAGTCACTGTATAACCTAGCAGTGGAACTGTACCCAGAAACCACAGTTCTTTGCTACTTGGGCATTTCTATGAGCTAATAACACAATGGCGTCCGTAAGGACTGGAGTCAGTTGTGTTGGAGTTGTGACCTTTGCAACTCTGGTTCTTAAACTGGATGGTTTTCAAAAGCCAATCTTATACTTAGGGGAGTATGTTAGCTGTGCAGTTGGTCCTCCCCATAAAGCAGTAGTCCTCAAAGTTCAGCATGGAAAAGAATGACACAGGCAGCTTGATCAAATGCAGGTTCCTGGGACTTGTCTTCATTTCCAGAAATTCAGGTTCTATTGGTTTGTGCTGGGGTCCAGGAATCTGAACTTTTAACAAGCGTTCCCTTTAGGTGAAAGGCCAGTTAGAGAAAAGTTCCAACCTATCACAGACCAATGCTTTTGTAAAATACCATAATGAGGAACTACGAGAAAAATGATCAACTATTTGGATGCCATGGCTATGTGAAATTGCTATAAGGTGTCTAAATCCTTCCATTTTCTACACGAATCTAGTTGTAGACCAGTAACACACGTTCCTGGACCAGTGCTGGTCTACTCTCCATGCTTTAAGGACCAGGTTGTTTTAACACACATATTTTTTGAAAACTGCTGAGGAATCCCTAAGTTCTCTCATAGGTAGCAAGACATTCTGCATGTTGACAGCTGATCTAGATTTGAACTGCTACCAAATCCAAGTAACTCTGGGGAGCTTCCCTATACATCCTTGCTATCCTCTTAGACTCAAAGAGCTATCAGATGCTTGAATCTGATTGTTTTTCCAGAGAAAAATTTTATCCTTGCTGCTAGTTAACCGTTAAATCGTGTTATCTGCTAAATATACAATATAGATTTTGTCATAGACTATGCAAATAGTTATGCTTTCAATATATGTAAATAGGCACACTTTTAGTATTTTCTTATATAAGTACTCTATATTTAAAAAGAACTTCTTCAGCTTCAGAAATAGAGGGATTTGTCAGTTAGCTCATGGCAGTCCAAATTGAAAGCCAATAGATCCTATGAAAGTGGGTGTTTGTCCTGAGTTTTCTGCACAGTTCTTCCTGATCTTTGCCTATCAGATAGAGATTTAGCAACAATGATTTCTCCATCTTGTTTTGTAGTCTCATGAATTGGTGGCTTCCTGAAACTATGAACCATGGCTTGGAGCATCCTAAAATTAAACAGTAGAATCTACCCTGAGTGTTTAGGCGGCAGCCAGCTGCAGCCACTGATACGGAATTGGTATGGAGGCATCTTCCAAAAAAAAGGAAAAAAATAATTTAAAACTCACTGTGGAGTAGGGCGTGCAGTGGCTCACGCCTGGAATCCCAGTACTTTGGGAGGTCAAGGCAGGTGGATCACTCAAACCCAGGAGTTTGACACCAGCCTGGACAACATGGTGAAACCCCGTCTCTACAAAAATATACAAAATATCAGCCAGGCATGGTGGCTCGTGCCTGTGGTCGCAGCTACTCAAGAGGCTGAGGTGGCAGGATCACCTTAGCCCAGAGGTTGAGGCTGCAGTGAGCCATGATTGTGCCACTGCACTCTCATGCTCACTGAGCGACAGAGTGGCATCCTGTCAAAATAAATAAATAAATAATAAAACTAGTAATAATAAAACTGTGTAATGTGAAAGGCAGACAAGGAGGTTTATGGTGCCAAAGACGTAGAATATTCTTTAACATTTTAACTTTTTTTTTCAGGCAGCATGATCAATTCATTTAGCATATGCATACTTAGTCTTTTAATTTTCTTTAAGGCTGTTGTTATACATAAATTTGAGTTTAGATTCAGACTCTGTCATATAATAAATAGTGAAAATTATTAGTATTAAATTTGATTCCATCTACATATCAATTTTCCTAAGAGTTAATAATAGTACTTAGCAATACACAAACACCTGAAGAATAAATTTCTTCATACTTTGCAAAAGAGAACTAGGTAGATGTCAATGTTTGGACATACATAACAATAGCTCTTACATGGTTCAGAATGGGGTAGGTGGGGAGTAGATACTGCAGGCAGACAGGACGGGGACAGGATTAGGGAAGAATAGAGTCTTTAAGTGCTGTTTGAGGCCTCCTCAATTAAATTCAACATCTATCAAGCTGACCACGGTACTAATCATTGGCAATTTAGAGCACCTTTCTTTAAAAAGGTAAAGATATTAAATAAAACTAAAGATTTCACCTTTAAATTTAAAGACAGTAGAAGGCCCATGACCATTCTTAGGATGGCTTGAAGAAAGTATCCTAAACGTCATACTGAGAAAAATGTTTATGAACTACCACCAGATCTCTTCTGCAATGCCCCAATGCTGAGCCTTGTCATTCACAAATGACTACCAACAGCACACAGCTCTCAAATGAACTCTGAGTCACCACCATTAAGGTCCTGTGTCAGTTCCCAACACACCCCTAGGTTCAATGATTCAATAGGAAGACCCAGAATCTAGCATAGGGTTTTACTCACGATGATGATTTATACAAAATGATACGAAGCAAAATCACCACAAGGAAGAAGTGTACAGGGTAAAAAGTCCAGGGGAACCAGGTGCGAGCTTCAAGAATCCACTCCCAGGGAGTGGCACAGGGACTGAATTCCCCCAGCAATGAGTTGTGACCACTGCTACGAACTGAATGTGTCTCCATCCCCACTCACAGGTTGAGATCCTTCCTAATCCTTAATGTGATGGTATTAGGAAGTGAGGCCTTGGGAAGTGATTAGGTCACGTGAGTGGAGCCCTCATGAATGGGATTAGCGCCTTTGTAAGAAGAGATGTTGTGGAGATGATTTCTCTCTGCAATAACACCATGTGTGGAACCAGCAAGAAGGCTCCGTCTCTGAATCAGGAAGAGAGGCCAAACTGACCAGCGCCTGCTCTCTAACGTCTCACCTCCAGAACCATGAGAGAGAAATTTCTGTTGTTTAACACATCCAGTCTATGGTATTTCTTATAGCAGCCAGAAATAATGGAGACAACAACACAAATGAAATTTTGCCAACCAGGGAAGCTTTTGAGAGACTCAGTACTCAGTGTTTCTATTTGAAACTGGTCATGTCAGCAGTCTCTGCCTGGCATGTACTAAAATTCCAGACTCTCGGAAGGAAAGCAAGTATCCAGCATAAACCACATTTCTTGCATAAACAGCACACACATAGTGAACCACGCTTATCAGTTAGAGGGGTGGGAACCTTCCCAAAAAATCCAAGTTCCCAGACATCAGCCAAGGGCCAGTCTTATAAGCAGGCCTTCCTGAGGATAAGCAGTCAAGCTGGCGGTGTTGTCTTTTCTGCCCGGATACCATATATGCACAAATTCAAAGTATCACATTACTTTGTAATCATTTCCCCATGCCAGACTGATGTGGGGAATTTACATCTGGTTATGCTAAAAATGTTATTGATTCTTTTTTTATTTCCTCTCTTATGTCTGCTCAGGACTACATAAAATGCAAGAAGAATACAAATCATCTAATAACATGCAATTCAGTAAAGGACAGCTTTTAAAAAGCATTTAAGAAACTTTTATGTTAAGTAATTTTGTTTAAGAACTACAAAAAATTAACAACTTTATCACTAATGAAAGTTTTACTGCTTTCAACATGAGGCTGGACTTTTTGATAGGCAGATCAAGATTTAGACACGTTTTAATGTATTTTTTCAAGCCAATCAAATGGGTATGGGGCCAGCTGTTTTGAATCTTTAAACAGTATGAATGTTAAGTTTCTTATATGGCCAGTTTTTTTTTTTTTTTTGAGATGGAGTCTCACTCTGTCGTCCAGGCTGGAGTGCAGTCGCGTGATCTCGGCTCACTGCAAGCTCTGATATGGCCAATTTTTACAAATGAGCCTATATGAGGGATTCATTTGAAGAAAATAAGTATTAGTATTTTCTAGGCAATTGTGACTCAAGAGGCATTCATTTGCTGAACTGTATGCTTTTAAACATCATATAACGCAAGATAATTATCAAACCATTTAAAAAGCATTTCTACTGGTTTTGATAAAATGTCATGTTATATGATTCAGCATAATAAGCAGAATGGGCACTTATTTATTTGCTCCAAAACCTGAATAAAAGGCAAACTTTAACACATGTTCAGATTATCACAAATTCTAGATGACTGAGGTTTCCTTTATACATCTTTAATTGGCATATATAGATATATTTGATGTGTTATCAGAGTCTAGTATAATCATTTAGCATTTAGCTTAATTGTGGTTATGCCAAAACTATCTTGTTTTCCACTTGGCAGAATATTTAAAATAACATCCCAAATCATTGAGAAAAACAAAATTTTCTCCTTGATGAAAATAGCCTTTCATTAAATAGCAAAATGAGCTCTGGATATAAAACAGAACATAATACAAGTAACAGGAAAACTACCAGTTTAAATCAATTCTAATAAACACTTGAACATAACTCACACATGAAGTAAATTAGCAGTTTCTAAGAGTCACCAATAGAACACTGCAGAACACTTTTCCGAATGAGGGGTGAGGGTGAAAGGCTAAGTGTATTAAATATGCCAGACTAACAGAACTCTAGGAGCTGTTTTGTGGTTTCTCCTTAAATTCAATCATAAAATGGAAAATAATGACAGCTACACTTGAGATTCTTAAAGAGATAAAAGTGACTTTTTAAGTGGTAGTTCTAGAAAATATTTGTAACTAAAAGATGGTTTGGAAATTTGAACCTGATGTAATTTAAGAAGACTCTACCACCCTAAACAAAATAGTATAATGCAAGAATAATACTGGAAGGTCAATTTTTAGCTCATTTACACTGCATTATTTGTTGTTATCACACACTCAGGATTCATTATTTACAGGAAAATACAAAAAGTTGTTCCTAACCAACAAAACTGTGACACATTTGACACGATCCTAAATATAGATGTTAAGTAGCTTATTATTTTGTGTTAATGTTCTGAGTTTGGGTGACACATTAAAAAATGAGATTCCAAAAGCCAATATAAAATGGAAAAGAAAGAAGTTATGATGTGTTTTTAAGCCTATTATTCTTGTGCATCTATAAATTGGCCTGAAATTACAGTGTTTGCACCTGTAAGCTTCAGAAATATTAGTTACAATATTACGAGTAGTGTTTGCGTTCAAAAAAAAAAAAAAGGCAAGGTGGGGGTGTTGCTGGCTTCTGCAATAAAAAGAATTGGCAATTGTACCTTAAAAAGGAGTTCCACGTCTATGTGTATGTTGGGCAGAGGCCCTGGCTACAAGGCCTGTCTGCCTGTTAACACTCAGGCTGGGAGCCGGGGTGGGTGAGGCTGGTGCCTGCTGGTGTGCCTGGATGCCCTACTGCATGCAGGTGGCAAACCCATCCAGCTGTGCATGAAGACCCCAGGTGAGATCACTCACCTATAAAAATATGTCATTACGTGGGCAAAATAGAAGCTACAGGACTCCAAGTAAATTATTCCTTATCCTCAGTCAGGCACAGTCAAAATGACTTCATTGCACTGAATAACAAGATAAAATCTCTAGTATCTGACTAGGGATGAAAGAGAGAAATGCTCTTCATATGTGAACAAGTAGCTCCCAATGGGCTGAGTGTAAGGAAGCTAATGAGATGGAGAAGTTGTTCCAAAGAAACGAGTCCTTATGGATCATCTAAATTACCCTGATTCATGTTACATCTTTTTAGTTTTAAAAATACATGTGCAGTCCAATAATAGGTGTATGAATTCCTTTATTGCTTCTCTAGAGAAGGAGATAGTACATGTAACACAATCCAATATATCTACTAGTGTACTTTCTTCTGTGAACCCAGAGGACAAATATGGAGTCTAATTAGAAACTCAACTACATAATTCTTGGGAAAGCAATATGTCAGCTCTTATCAATAATCACCAGAATGCCATACCCTTTGCACTGGCACTAATACTCCTGGGAATTTATCTTAAGGAAATAGTTTAAAGAAAAGTCTATATAGTCACTTACTGCACATAATTTGTATGAGTACATACATAGAGTAATGACTTGTCAACATAATTGTTTGATAATATCAAGCACTCTGAAACAACCAGAATATCAACAACTAAACAAAGGCATATATTATGATACACCTGTTTGATGTAATTATATGATCTCTGTAATAGCAAGGAAAACAAAAGTCTATTTTCACCTTGATTATAGGTCTTAATGAAAGAACAGTCCTTTTCTGTTTGGGAAAGAGTCTTATTTGACCTATTATACATTTTCAGATGACACGCATTACAATAACAGCAAATAGTAAACATTAGTTATTGTGTTTAGGCACATGATAATTCAAAGCTAAAGGTACTATCAGTATCTTCATTTTACAGATGAAGGAACTGGGGTTTGGAGATGCTAAGTAACTTGTTCAAGGTCATATAGCTACTCAGTGGTAGGGCCAAGACTTGATTCTGGTCTCTGTAGAATCTAAGGTCTTAGCCACAGTGCACACATAAAGTGACAGGCCAGGAGGGTGGCCACCCTTCTACATATGAGACCAGTTAAATCAAAGGTGAGAGTCTATAAGATGACATCAATCACAGCCTCCCATTCATTCATTTGTTTTTTCAATCAGGGAACACCATGCACTGTGCTGTGCTGCTTCACAGTGAGGGAGCCTTGTTCATTACAACAACGTTAAAATCTGGATGTGCTCAAGATTTGGAAGGGTATACACTAAAATAAAGTCAGGATGGCAGTACCAGAAAAGGAGGTGGAGTTATTTGGTGTTTTTAAAATTGTATAAACATTTAGTTATATTACTATTTTGCTTCTTTTTATAAGGACTGCAAAGTTCTAGGAGATTATCCCAAAAGTTGCAAAGAAAAACTAATAAAGTAAGGCAGAGTCATTCTCTTCCTTAAGGTTTGGTGAAAGCTTTGGACACATACTTATGTGAGGATAAATAGTAATTCTAAACCTCCTCAGCCTTACATACGTTAATAAAATGGGATTTGTTAAAAAGCTAGTCAGGTTTTTACTGAATTCCAAGAAATAATCTTGATACTAAAAGTCAAAACATATTTGCAAAGTTATGGTTTAAGTGTTTTGAAAAATAATTATCAATAATTGATATGCAACTTTGACTCAGGTTTCCATGATTAATTGCAGTAAATAGTCAACTCTAATAATGATTCTTCAGAATATTTTGTGAGGTGGAGTTGCTCAGTAATAACAAAAACCTGATGTTAAAAACACAGAAAACAAGATTTAAAAATATTAATTTAGAAATTTGAGAGGGCTAACTTCAGTACACATTAGTTTTAAAACCTTAATAAGGATATAGGGAGGCAGAGCAAGATGGCCGAATAGAAGCCTCCACCAATTAATTGTCCTGCCAGCAGGAACACCAAAGTCAACAACTATCCACACAAAAAAAGCATCTTCGTAAGAACCAAAAACCAGGCGAGTGATCACAGTACCTGGTTTTAATTTTCTATCACTGAAAGGAGCACTGAAGAGAGTCGGAAACTCAGTCTTACCTTGCCAACACCGTGCCTCCTCCATCCCCCAGCAGGGAGGAGAATCTGTGCACTTGTGGGGAGGGAAAGTGCAGTGACTGGGAGACTTTGCAATGGAACTCGGGGCTGCCCTGTTACAGCAGAAAGCAACACCGGGCAGAACTCAGCCAGAACCTATGGAAGGAGCATTTAGACCAGCCCTGGCCAAAGGCAAATCATCCATCCCAGTGGTCACAACCTGAGTTCTGGCAAGCCTCGCCACCAGGGGCTAAAGTGCTCCTGTGTCCTAAATAAACATCAACGGCAGTCTAGGCCACAAGGACTTCCATTCCTGGGCATGTCCTAGTGCTGTGCTGGGCTCAGAGCCAGTGGACTTGGAGGCATGTGACCTGGCGAGACACAAGCTAGGGCAGCCAAGGGAGTGCTTGCACCACTCTTCCCCCAACTCCAGGCAGCACAGGCTGCACCTCTGGAAGAGACTCCTTCCTTCCTTATCAGGAGAGGAGAGAGAAGAGTAAAGAGAACTTTGTCTTGCAACTTGGATACCAGCTCAGCCACAGTAGGATAGGGCACCAGATAGAGTCCTGAGGCCCCCATTCCAGGCCCTAGCTCCTGGCTGACATTTCTAGACACATCTGAGCCAGAAGGGAACCTGCTTCATGGAGAGAAGGACTCAGTCCTGGCAGGATCCATCATCTGCTGACTAAAGAGCTGCTGGGTCTTGAATAATTAGCAGTGGTACTCAGGCAGTACTCACTGTGGGCCTTGGGTGAGACTCAGAGCCATGTTGGCTTCAGGTGACACTCAGCATTTTCCCAGTGGTGGTGGCTACAGGGAGGGACTCCCGCTTGAAAAAAGGAAAAGGAGGAGTAAAGGGCACTTTGTCTTGCAGCAAAGGTACCAGCTTGGGCAAAGTGGGTTAGAGCACCAAGCAGGCTCCTGGGGTGCCAGATTCCAGGCGTTGGCTCTCACACAGCACTTCTTGACCTGCCCTGGGCCAGAGGGGAGCCCCCTGCCTTGAAAGGAGAATCCCAGGTCTGGTAGCATTTACCATAAGCTGACTGAAGAGTCCTTGGGCCTTAAATGTACATTGGTGGAAGCCAGGCAATACTCACTGTGAGCCTGGGCTAGTAGTGGCCATGGGAGACACCCCTCTGCTGTGAAAAGGGGAAAGAACAGTGGGGAGGACTCTGTCTTGTGCCTTGGGTGCCAGGTCAGCTGCACTAAATACAATACCAGGTAGAATCCTAAGTTTCCGACTCTAGGCCCTGGCTCCCAGATGGCATCTCAAGACCCACCTGGGGCCAGGGGGAACTCACTAGCCTGAAGGGAAGGACACAAGCTGGCTGGCTTCATCATTTGCTGATTGTAGAGCCCTAGGACATTGAGTGAACATAGGCAGTAGCCAGGCAGTGGTTACCATGGTCCTTAGGTGAGAGCCAGTGCTATGCTGGCTTCAAAACTTATCCAGTACAGTCCCAGTGATGGTGGTCACAGAGGTGCTTTTGTCCCCCCTTCCCCACTCTAGGCAGCTCAGCACAGAGGGAAAGACTCTGTTTGTTTGAGAGAAAGTGAGGGAAGAGAACAAGTCTCTGACTGGCAATCCAGAGAATTCATCTGGATCTTATCCAAGACCACCAAGGCAGTACCTCTACAAGTCTGCAAGGGCCACAGTGTTACTGGGCTTGGGGTGCCCCTTAATGCAGATACAGCTGAAGTGACCAAAAACTTAGATCATAATACCATACTCAACTCCTTTCAAAAACCTAGAAAGCCTTCTCAAAAAGGTTAGATACAAACAAGCCCAGACTGTGAAGACTACAATAATACCTAACACTTGAATGCCCAGACACCAGAAAACATCCACAAGCCTCAAAACCATCCAGGAAAATGACCTCATCAAACAAATTAAATAGGGCATCAGTGACCAATCCCACAGAGACAGAGATATGTGACCTTTGAACAGAAAATTCAAAATAGCTGTTTTGAAGAAACTCAGTGAAATTCAAGATAACAGAAAGAAGAAATTCAGAATCCTATCAGATAAATTTAACAAAGAGATTGAAATAATCAAATACAATCAGGCAGAAATTCCAGAGTTGAAAAATGCAATTGACATACCAAGGAATGCATCAGGGTCTCTTAATAGCAAAATTATTCAAGCAGAAGAAAGAATTCGTGAGCTTGAAGACAAGCTATTTGAAAATATATAGTCAGAAGGGACAAAAGTAAAAAGAATAAGAAAGAATAAAGTACACCTGCAGGATCTAGAAAATAGCCTCAAAAGGACAAACCTAAGAGCTATTTGTCTTAAAGAGGAGGTAGAGCAAGATATAGGGGTAGAAGGTTTATTCAAAGGGATAATAACAGAAAACTTCCAAAACCTAGAGAAATATACCAATATTCAAGTACAAGATTATAGAACACCAAGCAGATTTAACTTGAAAAAGAATACCTCAAGAAATTTAATAACCAAACTACCAAAGGTCAAGGATAAAGAAAGGATCCTAAAAGCAGCAAGAGAAAAAAAAAACAAATATTAATAACATACAATGGAGCTCCAATATGTTTGGTAGCAGACTTCTCAGTGGAAACCTTACAGGCCAGGAGAGAGTGGCATGACATATTTAAAGTGCAGAAGGAAAAACAAATACACTTTTATCCTAGAATAGTATATCCAGCAAAAATATCCTTCAAACATAAAGGAGAAATGAAGACTTTCCAAGACACACAAAAACTGAGCGATTTCAACAAAACTAGATATATCCAACAAGAAATGATAAAGGGAATTCTTCAATCTGAAAGAAAAGAATGTTAATGAGCAATAAGAAATCTGAAGGTACAAAAGGTACTCACTATATTAAGTACATAGAATATTATAATAATTATAGCCTGTAAACTATTCATATCTTGAGTAGAAAGACTGAAAAATGATCAAACATAATAACTATAACAACTTTTCAAGATACAGACATTAAAAAAAGATATAAAGAGAAACAACAAAAACTTAAAAAGTGGGAGGACGACACAAATGTAGAATTTTTATTGGTTTTCTCTTTATTTATGCAATTGGTTTAAAATAATGAATTGAAGATATTATTTGCCAACCTCATGGTAACCTCAAATTGAAAAACACACAACAGGTACACAAAAAGTAAAAAGCAAGAAATTAAAATACCACCAGAGAAAATCACTTTCACTAAAAGGAAGACAAGAAGGAAGGAAAGAAGAAAGAGGAGACTGCAAAAGAATCAGAAAACAACAAAATGGCAGGAGTAAGTCCTTACTTATCAATAGTAACACTGAATGTAAATGGCCTGAACTCTCCAGTCAAAAGACACAGAGTGGCTGAATGGATAACAAAACAAGACCCAATGATCTATTGCCTACAAGAAACACACTTCACCAATAAAGAGACACATAGACTGAAAATAAGGAGATAGAAAAAGACATTCCATGCTAATGGAACCCACCTCCCAACTAAAAGCAGGGGTAGCTACACTTGTATCAGATAAAATAGACTTCCAGCCAAAAACCTATAAAAAAAAGACAAAGTAGGTCATTATATAATGATAAAGGGGTCAATTTAGCAAGAAGATATAGCAATTGTAAATATATTTTGGACCCAACACTGGAGAACTCAGATCCATAAAGCAAATATTACTAGAGCTAAAGAGAGAGCTAGACCCCAAAATAATAAAGGCTGGAGACTTTAACACCCCACTTTCAGCATTGGACAGGTCATACAGACAGAAAATCAACAAAGAAACATTAGACTTAATCTGTATCACAGACCAAATGGACCTATAATTATTTACAAAACATTTCATCCAATGGCTGCAGAATACACATTCTTTTCCTCAGCACCTGGGTAATTCTCAAGGGTAGACCATATGTTAGGCCACAAAACAAGTCTTAAAAAATTTGAAAAAACTGAAATTGTATCAAGTGTATTCTCTGACTACCATGGAATAAAACTAGAATTAACAAGAGGAATTTTGGAATTAAAAAGATGAATTTTGGAAACTATATAAACACATGAAAATAAAATGGTATGTTCCTGAATGACCAGTGGTCCAGTGAAAAAATTTAGAAAAAAAATTTAAAAGTTCCTTGAAACAAATGATAGTGAAAACACAACATACCAAAACCTATGAGATAAAGCAAAAGTAGTACCAAGAGGAAAGTTTATAGCTATAAGCATCTACATAAAAAAGTAGAACAACTTCAAGTAAACAACCAAATGATGTATCTTTAAAAAGCAGAAAAGCAAGAGCAAACCAAAACCAAAATTAGTAGAAACAATAGAGATCAAGCAAAATAAATGAAATTGAAATGAAGAAAATGATACAAAGGTCAATGGAACATAAAGTTGGCTTTTTGAAAAGATAAACAAAATTGAAAAATATTTAGCCAGATAAAGATAAAAAGAAAGAAGACCCAGATAAATAAAGTTAGAGATGAAAAAGGAGACATAATACAACTGATGTCACAAAAATCCAAAGGGTCATTAGAGGCTACTATGAGCAACTATAATAGTATATATTAAATTGTATATATATTAATAGTATATAATAAATTGGAAAACCTAGAAAAAATTAATACATTCCTAGACACATACAATCTAGTAAGATTGAGTTATAAAGAAATCCAAAACCTGAACAGACCAGTAACAATTAATGAGATCAAAACTGTAATAAAGTTTCCCAGCAAAGAAAAGTCCAGGATTCAATGGCTTTACTGCTGAATTTTACCAAACATTTAAAGAAGAACTAATACCAATCTTACTCAAACCATTCTGAAAAATAAAGGAGGAGGGAATACTTCCAACCTCATTCTACAAGCCGTCCTGATACCAAAACCAGACAAAGACACATCAAAAAAGAAAACTATGGGCCAATATCTTTGATGAATATTGATTTTAAAAAATCCTCAATAAAATACTAGTAAATTGAATTCAACGACACATTAAAAAACCATTCATCACAACCAAGTGGGATTTATCCCTGGGATGCAACGATGGTTCAACATATGCAAATCAATCAATGTGATACATTAACAAAATGAAGGACAAAAAACATATAATCATTTCAACCGATGCTGAAAAAGCATTTGAAAAAATTCAACATCATTTCATGATAAAAACCTTCAAAATAGTGGGAATAAAAGGAACATAATTCAACACAATAAAAGCCATATATGACAGACCCATAGCTAGTTTCATACTGAATGGAGAAAAATTGAAAACTTTTCCTCTAAGATCTGGAATATGGCAAGGATGCCCACTTTCATCACTGTTATTCAACATAGCACTGAAAGTCCTAGCTAGAGCAATCAGAGAAGAGAAAGAAGTAAAGGGCATCTAAATTCGAATGGAAGCAGTCAAATGATCCTTGTTTGCAGACAACATGATCTTATATTTGAAAAAACCTAAAGACTCCGCCAAAAAACTATTAGAACTGATAAACATTCAGTAAAGTTGCAGGATACAAAATCAACATACAAAAATCAGTAGCATTTCTATATGCCAACAATGAACAATCTGAAAAAGAAATCAAGAAGGTAATCCCATTTACAATAACTACAAATAAAATACATGGGAATTAACCAAAGAAGTGAAAGATCTCGATAATGAAAATTATAAAACATCCATGAAAGAAGTTGAAGAGGCCACAAAAATATGGAAATATATTCCATGTTCATGGATTGGAAGAATCAATACTGTTCAAATGTCCATACTACTCAAAGCAATCCACAGATTAAATACAATCCCTATCAAAATACCAATGACATTCTTCACAGAAACAGAAAAAAAATCTTAAAATTTATATGTAATCACAAAAGACCCATTCAATAGAATGACCCAGAGTAGCCAAAACTATCCTGAGTGAAAAGAACAAAACTGGGGAAATCACATGACCTGACTTCAAATTATACTAGGTTGGTACAAAAGTAATTGTGGTTTTTGCCATTTTTGCCATGCAGTTTCTCCATTAATAAGAATCTTATTAATATTGAAGTAAGCTTGTAATGAAAGCATAGTTTAATTTCATATTAAAATGTATTTATATTATGTCAATAATGTAATTGTTCGCATGTTTTAGAATTCATTTATTGTAAGGAAAACAGAATCATTGTTATCTTTGATAAACTTTCTATGTACGTAAATTGCAAACTTCTGAAATCAGGTGTTTTTCCAACAATAAAATACTTTTGGTGAAGAGGTTCTTAGAGTTTGCTTTCTTCAATGCTAGGTCAATGTGTTCTTCAAATTTTGAAACTTATTGTTCTTTCTCTTGAAGTGGAAAAGGAAGCCCTGTTATTTTCAGATAAAACAGGAAGAATTTATTTGGTTGCAAACTAAGTATTTCTGTCCAAATCTGATTTTACTAGGAAATCTGATTTTCTTCTCCATAGGAAATAATGCACAGATCTTACAGCACCAAAGAAAAAGCTCAGCCGTGCCTATGGGGTACTAGATCAATGACAATTCTGATGTCACAATATCTCCAGGCCTACTAACCAAGAAACATTCAGACTGGTGCACTGAACAGAAGTTGTTTCTATACTCCTTTTCCCTTTAACATTTATTGCTTTCCTTTTCCCAGCAGAAAACACACACACACACACACACACACACACACACACACACACACACAGAGAGAGAGAGAGAGAGATCGAGAGAGAGAGAGAGAGAAAGATTTCCTAATCCAATAAGGCAAGAACACACGATGTATGAGCCATCAAAGAGACTACTGGTACTGGGCTAGGGGTTGCTAATGAAAGTGCAAAAAGTATGTTATGCTTTTTGAGAGGAAGGTGTTGGCTGAATGTCTTATTCCATTTGGGCTGCTGTTCCAAAATGCAATAAACTGGGTGGCTTATAAATGACAAGAATTTATTTCTCATAGTTTTAGGGGCCTGAAATTCCAAGAACAATATGCAGCAGATTCAATGTCTCGTGAGGACCCACTTACTGGTTCATTGATGGCCATCTTTCTGCTGTGTCTTCACACAGTGGAAGAGGCAAATGAGCTGTCTGGGGTCTCTTTTATAAGGGCACTAATCCTGTCCATGAGGGCAGCTCCACCTTCATGACCTAATCACCTCCCAATGGTCCCACCTCCTAATAACATCACCTTGAGGGTTAGAATTTCAACATACAAATTTTACAGGGAGAAACATTCAAGTCGACCACACCAAATTGCATCTGCCCAAATGTTAGTGAGAGAATGCCTTCCTGCAATCAATGACAGTTGGAACTTTGCTTGCTTTTTGCAAACTTATACCCCACTAATCAGTATATTCAAGAATCTGGGTCCCCACTTGATAGGAACAAACACAAATGCACTTTTAAGAAAAGGATTTACAGTTCACATTGTAATGTATGTCATTTCACAAGAAGTTTTAAGGACAAAAACTGAGTTCATTAGTAAAGCAAGTAAATTTTATAGTTATGTCTTCCAAAGAAACAAAAAGAATAATTGTATTTGTAGTTAAAACATCCAATAATGCTGGAATAGGCCAGGCAAGGTGACTCATGCCTGTAATCCCAGCACTTTGGGAGGCCAAGGTAGGCTGTTCAGGAGGTCAGGAGATCGAGACCATCCTGGCTAACATGGTGAAACCCCGTCTCTACTAAGAATACAAAAAATTAGCTGGGCACGGTGGCACGCGCCTGTAGTCCCAGCCACTCGGGGGACTGAGGCAGGAGAATTGCTTGAACCCAGGAGGCAGAGGTTGCAGTGAGCCGAGAAGGCTCCACTGCACTCCAGCCTGGATGACAGAGTGAGAGTCCGTCTCAAAACAAACAAACAAACAGAAACATCCAATACTGCTGGAATATAGGATTTAATGTTACGGAATTTCAAAAGATGAAAATATACAAAAATGTTATATTTTTAGTAATACATTACATTGTTTTAACTAAATACAAATAAAAATAATTATCCCACTTGGGATTAAAGATTGCAATAAGTACATGATTAGTAGTTATTCAAGATTCCTGTGTCCTCTACTGAGCCAAATGCATATCACCTTGCTGGTACCTCCATCAGTACGGAGCCTGTGGACTAGACTTCTAAAGTTCTTAAGATTCCAAAAAGCTGAAAGAATGGTTCTCAAAGCGTGGCCCCAGGACCAACAGTGTCAGTATCACTTGAGAACTTGTTCCAAATGCAAATTCTCACAACCTCCGGCAACTCAAAAACACTAGGGGTGGGCCCGGTAATCTGGTTTACAAAACTGTGACAGCCACCCTCCAAACTGACTCCATAATGATTCGTGCCTGCTATTCATGCCTTTGTATAGTTTCCTCCCATAACAATGGTGCTGACTTGTGTATAACAAAGATAATGTAGCAGATGTGTTAGCTTATGACATCATAAAAACATTGGGCCTTCCTCCTTGCTCTTTCTCAGATCCCCCGTTCTCTGGAAGCCAGCTGCCATGTTGTGAGGATGCCCAAGCAGTGCTATGGAGAGAGGTTCATGCAGTAAGGTCTCTTGTGCTCAGCTATGCAAGTGAGTCATCTTGGAAACACATTATCCAGCCTGAATCCAGACAGTTTCATTGTAACCTTATGAGACACTGTGAGCCAGAATCATCCAACCAATCTTCTCCCAGATTACTGACCCATGGAAATTGTGTGAGAGAATAAATGCTTATTAATCTTTTTAGTATCTAACTTTTGCTTTGCAGCAATGGTTTACTAGCATACAAACCTTTTGTTTGACTCTGACACATGCTAAATTTTGAAAAACATTGAGCTAAAACATTCATTCATTCACCAAGTAATTATTATTTGTATCTGCTATGTACCAGGCTAACAGCAGAAATACAATGATGAGCAGAACAGACACTGACCATTCCTTGATGCATCCTTTTCTTTTCCTTCGTTGGACTTATCATACTTTATAATGATTTTATTTATGTCTGTCCTGCAAATTTTGGGTGGGCAGGACCCTTGTCTGGTTTCTTCACCACCAGGTTTCTGGGGTCCAGTCCTGTGTCTGGCACACAGGAAGTGTGCAATTAATATCCACATGACAGTGACCCTTACCTTCCTTTTTCACCACCTTTCGCCTATATGAAGGATTCAGGCGCCAGTAACAAGGCCTTGAATTGCACTAATAGCACTACATTTAAGGGGCTCAGTAACTTCTCCCTGGGAATCTAACTGCCGCTGGATAATCTCCATACAAAGAAATGTCTTTCGTGTTCAAAAGAGTCAACTTTTAGAGTCTCTCTATTTCAAACATGCAGATTCCTAAGCATGTATAAAGAAAATGTATGCAGTGGATGTGTTAGCCTGTTAAATGTATGCAGTGGATGTGTTAGTCTGTTCTTGCACTGCTATAATAAAATACCTGAGACTGCGTAAATTATAAAGGAAAGAGATTTAATTGGCTCATAGTTCTGCAAGCTGTACAGGAAGCACAGTGCTGGCATCTGCTTCTGAAGAGGCCTCAGGAAGCTTTTACTCATGGTGGAAGGCAAAGTCAGAGTTGGCACTTCACATGTTGAAAGCAGGGGCAAGAGACAGAGTGGGCGGGAGGTGGTGCCACATGCTCTCAAATAACCAAATCTGTAGTCCCAGCTACTTGGGAGGCTGAGGCAGGAGAATTGCTTGAACCTGGGAGGCAGAGGTTGCAGTGAGCTGAGATCGTGCCACTGCACTCCAGCCTGAGTAACACAGCGAGACTCCGTCTCAAAAAAAAAAAAAAAAAAATCAGAAAACAACCAAATCTCACAAGAACTCACTATCATGAAGATAGCCCCAAGCCATGAAGGATCTGTCCCCATGATCCAAACACCTCCCACCAGGCCCAGGTGAATTGGGAATTACAATTCAACATGAGATCTAGGTGGGGACAAATATCCAAACTATGTCAGAGGGTTTAGAAATATAAGTAATGGCATGGGAGACTATAAGGATGAACATATCAGTAAAGGTTTCAGCCAAAAATATTGGAAAACAAAAGCACTATGAAGCCAACCATGTGTGCAGCTATGTGTATATACATGTATCTAATGAGCATATCAGTATAGGAAGTGGGGCACACTGTTTCACCTCCAGTGCAGCCCTTTGTGGATCAGAACAATCGGAGGCCAGGGACACTGCCAGGGTGATCTTTTGCGATGGTGACCGTCCTGCTGACCGGTGTACCCAGAGCTGAAGATGGGACTGTGCAAACTGAAATGATCTAATCCCTTCTAACAGCTCTTCGATGAGTTCTTTCATTCAGGAGCTGACGTTAGAGGTTAGAGCACTTGGAAACAATGAGGTGCTGAGACAACAAGTCAATACCTTCTTAACATGACCTCAGAGCATGAAGGGGGCATTTGGAGAACACTTTTTGATAGCAGAAAAAAAACCAGTCATTGATTTTTAAAATTCTTACAGCAGACAGATTGAGATATGGGTGACATCATTTTACTGCTATTTAAGGATGTTGGATAAGTTATAAAACAGATTCTGGCTCTCAGCCTATTTATGATCAAGATCAAAGAAGAGGGGCAAAGACTACTGCAGTCTCGTGAGTCATCAGAAGGTGCTGGAGTTTTTCTGAGCAGAACTCATCCAAGCTGTCTCCACTGCCCATCCTTGGTGAGGGTTCTCACATGCTTCACCATGACAAGGCACAAGGGCCACAAATAAATTTAACAACGCCAGACCACATCTTCTGTTGCCTCTTCTATCCTCGCCCACCCCCAACCCTTACCCACAGAGCACAGCCTGCCCAGTGGGAACTGAGGGATTTCTTATCAACTTGCTGTTTTTCTTTCTTTTGTGACTAGCAAAACATAACAGTGCTGTCTACATAACGTTCTGGGACAATGGAATTGTTCTCTCTCTGCACTGTCCAATATGGCAGCCATCAGGAGCACACGGTGACTCAGAATTTGAGATTGGGCTAGTGAGATTGAGAAACAAAAGGTTTCCTCTTATTCAGTTTGACATAATTGAAACATAAGTAGCCATATTGGTCAGTACAGTGTTAGAAAATAATAATGCTTATTAGTATTTCCATTTCTCATCTGTGGATATTCAGGGTCAGAGGATTAACTAACTTGCCCAAGGTCAGAAAGCTAGGAAACAGCAGAGGGGAATTCAAACTCAACCCACCCTGCACAACCTCAACTTCTTGCATCAAACTGCAGCCCCTTCTTCAGGTCAAAGAAGGCTTAAAGATAATCTTCAGCTTCTGAAACTTTAAATTCTCAGTAAATAGCTTTAAAAGGAAGCTGGCTATATATGGCATGATTTCTTTTAACAAAAACAACATAGGAAAGTACTTTTTTTCAGTTATGACTATCTAACTTGAATTTTTTAAACCCCATGTTGATAATAAGTGTATCTGACAGGCCCCTCTAACTGTGCTTTAAAACTTTTGCTCTAATCAAATATTAGCCACATGAATTCATGAGAGGGTGACAATATGAAAAAGACTTTATTAAACTTCTGTCACATCCTATTATGCTGTCTAGGCATTATTCTATCCTGTTTATCCTTTGCTGACAAACTAGATTATACTTTCTTTCCTAAATCAACAAGATCCTATGAAACCACACAAAAGATAAAGAACTTAGGATTTCAAAAGAGTGATTTGGAAACAAAGAGTGTCAAAGGCATGAGTTTAAAAGGGAGAAAAAAAGCTGAGCTTAAGGAAAATAATATGCAGTCATATTGTAAATTTTGTTTTTAAATTATATGTAAAATATTTCACATTATTACAATACCAAAACCCACTCTAAAATCTGCAAGCTTCAATTCAGGATACCTGTGTGTCCTGAATTCATAACCAAACCAATGTTATCTCCACAAATCTTTCCTTTATTCATGGGGAACTACTGTGCAGCCCAAGAAAGGAAAAGGGGTGTAAATTCATTAAAACTGGGGAAGAGAACATTACAGTTCTTTAAAGACAAAACCAATATCCTTTGGTTCTTGTATAGGTTTTAATATTGCCAAAAGGGTCTAGGATATTCCTTAATATTACCCACTCGGGTAATATCAAAGAAACAATGGGGTGATAAGCTAAAACACAGATAAAGAAATGGGGTAAAACCCAAAAACTCTGAGGATCAAAGCTAGACTGGAAAACAATGTAGGCCCAGTGTGATGCTCTTGTTATATAAAACCCATCTGTAGATGAAAGATGGCATACTCTTCGGTTAAGAGAGCTAAATGAGGTACTGGAACTAGTCTCATCAAAGCCCGCACCTACTCATAATCTTGAAACACAACACACTATCCTGTGGTCACAGATTCAGCTCCACAACCAAGCATGGCATAAGCTATGTGAACAGGCATGGGTGGTGGATTCACGATGCTGCACATTCCTGGACATGCCTCCCTCACTTCCCTCAAGAGGCGGGGGTCTATGTTTTGTCCCCTGGAATCAAGTGAGCCCTGCAGTAACTCTGGCCAATAGAATTGCACATGTGATGCTGTACCAGTTACTAGGTGTTGGCCTTAAGAAACTGGCAGTGGCAGAGAAGAATTCAAATTCTTGATTTTCTGTGTTTTCAGACATTCTCCCTAGGATCCATAAGCTGCCATTTAAGAAGTCTAATTACTTTGAGACCACCATGCAAGAAAGACTATGTGCAGGCACATGGTCAACTGTCCCAGCTGAGCTGGGCCTTTAGCCATCCCTGCAAAGGGACTGGATGGATGTGGGAGTGAAGTAATCCCACAAAGCAGCTGAATACACCAGATAACCCCCATGGATGCCATATAGAACAGAAAGAACTGCCCAGCCAGGCCTGTCCTGACCCATAAAACCATGAGAAAAATAAAACGGTTCTTGCTTTTACACCTTGGAATTTCAGAGTAGTCTGTTACACGAGTGTTTTTTTTTTCCTTAGTTAACCTACCTTCCCTCCAAAGCCACCTGTTAATGGCTCTTACTATACAGGTGGAACATGCCTAATCTGAATAACCAAAAGTTTAAATGCTCCAAAATCCAAAACTTTTTGTGTGCCTACATGGCACTCAAAGCAAAGGCTCATTGAAGCATTTTGGATTTTTGGATTAGAGATGCTCAATCGGTTAAATATCTGCAAATATTCTGAAATCTGAAAAAAAAAAATCCAAAATCAGAAATACTTCTGGTTCCAGGCATTTCAGATAAGGTATTTTCAACCTGTATAACACGACTGTATATTTGTTAAATATTAGATATCATCCTGTCTGCCCCCCAATCATTCCAATTTTTAACATAACACCTACCAATGAAACCAGAAGATGGTGGGTTTGGTTGAATCTTCTCTTTAGTGTTCTCCTGGATAATATCCCAGAGCTGCCATATAAATTTAGGATGAAGAATGTAAAATGGCTGATTTGGGTTTCTCTGACGATGCTGAATATATGGAGTGAACAGGTTGTAATCCGGTTTTTTGTACCACTAAGGAAAAAAAAATCAATGCAGTCAAGTAGAAAGAACTAAACTATGAAAGGAGACAGGGCATGGCTGGTTGATTTGAGGCAGAGGGGCCAGGCTGGGGCTAGAGGATGGGGAAAGATCATGACTCATGACATCTACAGACACTTCCTCATTGGGATGAGGGGACAAGAACAAAGACAGACCAGGGCGCTAGCCCTAGCAGATATAATGCTTTGTGCTTAAGTAAAATGAGGAAAAGGGACTAGATCACGGATCAGCATACTTCTTCCACAAAGGGCCAGATAATCAACACCTTGGGCTTTGCAGGCCATAGAGTCAGTCGTCTCTACTCAACGGTACCATCGTAGCACGGAAGCAGTCATGGACAATAAATACTGAATGGGCGTGCTGTGTTCTAAAAAAACACTATTTATTAAAACAGGTGGTGGCTAGATTTCGCCCATGGGTGTAGTTTGTTGACCCCTGGGAACTGGATCAGTGTATTTCAAATATGAGTTTTCCAAATTTCATCTACAGTAACAGAAATTGTATCGTTGCTGCTTGGGCCTGAGTTGGGGCTGGGAAGATTAACTAGGATTGATTAACAAAGGAACTTTCTAGGGTGATGGAAATATTCCAGTTTTTCATTGTGGTGGTAGATACATGAGTGTATAAATTTATCATTCATCAAAAGGTACATTTATATTTGCTTACACCATGTATGTTATTGTATGAAAAATCAATAAAGATGTTTTCTAAAAAGGAAGTTTTCAGAAGCATCTCAGCTGTAACCATGACATGGATTTGGAGAGAGTAGGGAGAAGTTCAACTCATCAAACTCCCTTTAAACAGACATCAGGGGTATATAATGGGTATATATTAAGATCACAGGAAATATTCCACTAGTGAAATGGCACTGTCACTTTAAAAGCTTTGAGAATGACTGGACCAGAGTATCTTTCATAAATGAAGCCCCAAGCCATGTGGCACTGGCAAGGGAGCAAGAGGAATGTGGGGCCAGAGGGAGAGTCGCTCCTTTACCCTCCCTCCTCTTGGGGCCTCACATGGCAGCAAAGGCCTTACAGAAAGCGGCCTTGTCACTGGGATTTTAGCACTGCTGGGTGGCCAGCTCTGTGCCCTGGGCTGAGCTGCTTCTAACAGAGGAAGAAATAAGGTCCAATAGCTAGAAACTCTCAAGTCTGTTCACAAATAGCAAGAGAGCTGTGAGAGCTTAAAACCAGGGAACCTCAGGCTGGAAAGGAAGTTGAAAAGTTCAAACACCCATCTGATGCTTGATTCTCAGCGGAGGGTACATATGAGAATCAAAGAGCCCTCTCAAAAAATATACATTGAGGCTATATATATCCTCCATTTCTGGAGATGGGGCTCTGACAGATTTTGAAAAATACTCTCCAGGTGATTTTGACTTGCACTCCTGGTCAAGAATTGTAAGTAATCATATGAGGTAAATGTCCAGCCTCAGTCTCAAGGTCAACAGTGACCAAAATGCTCCTTCTCCAGGAGCCGCTTTTATCTTGGGAGGTTACCTCTCACAGAAGCAAAGATCTTTCCCTGACACTCATCTTAAGAAGGTTGCATCCTCTCTGGTCTTGACTAAACAAGTCAAAGACGCTCATTTACAGAACTGACAGCATCTCTTACTAGGCTAAATACTATCCATCTTTTCCAGCCCTCACTGATAAACAAGCATGCTGGCTTTTCATGAAAGGTTTCACCAAAAGTAGCTGGCTGCTTGTTTAGACAGGCAATGATTTACCAGAATGTCCCAAATATAACCTGTTTGTGTTTTTATGGCTAGCAATAAACTTGTTTCAGCCCTATTGCATAAAATTCAACAGATTTAGAAGCAGAGGCCAAAGAGGAACACACTCAAGAAGAGCCTGGAACAGGCCCCATTTAAATAAAAATGAGCTGTGGATTCACAAAGTTGAGATTTTCGTGCCATCACCTTCAATTTATTTCAAAAGGTCTTCCAACTACTTGAAAGGTAATGTAGCCCTATCACAATGAAACAATTCTGAGTTTAATCAGTCAACCCTTTAGTGTAACTAGAAATTTCTGAATATTTAGATATTCTACATTTCCCCCACCCGGCTGCCCTGCCCACCGATTCTGCACAAAAGCACTTTGGCATTAGATGACTAATGCTCACAAGTGTGCTATTGTAACTGGGTATCAACGTGGTGTTCACAAACATGCATTAAATTGATATTGATGGGTACTTTCATTGTCTGTCAAAGCTTAATCCTTGCCTTGCTCTTATGATTAATTAGTCAAAGCCATTGTCTGACCGTTGGGGTGGGCAAATCCAGGGAAACACTTACCAGGTTAAGATTTGCGGAATATGGGGCAGGGTCCCAGGCCACCAAAATGACGTCTTTATACAGTGAACTGTCAATGAAGTGATGGCTGGGGTTGGTCAGAATCTGCAAACACACAGAAAAACCATTTCAAAGCCAGGGTTTGGTTTTTAAAAATTGCATTTTAAAAAGAGGTGAAAATTAAAAAGAACTGGGGCAAAAAAACAGGTGGCTCAGACGTTGTATTTTCTTCTGGGGGAGGGAGAGAGGCAGGCGTTGCATGCAGAAGCACTTAAAGAATGTTTGAGGAAATTACTTTTTTTTAAAAAAAAGCACAAGTTCTGACATTTTCACCAGCAATGTACTCATGTCTAGTGGTATTGAATCCAGATCCTGAACGATGCAACTCCCTAGCTAATTCAAGCCGCACAACCTCTTCTACAATTGCCTTCACATGTAATTTGGAGACAGAGTTGCAGGTGTGGATGAAGTGAGTTCAGAAGGAGCCTCCAGGGTGCCAGCCACAGCCTTCCCTCTGTGGCCCTACCTAGTTCTAAATGAGTTCTTCAATCTCAGCTGCCAATCATCTTTTTAAAATTATTATTTCAGGAAAAAACAACATATTATTTTCCCTCAGTTTTAAGATACTTTTTTTTTTTAACCATTATTACGATGTACTTTTTTCCTTCTCATGTTAAAGTTTCTTAGTTAGAATGTATGTTACAGATGATATGTATTCTAATTTGGTGGCATTTACCTCCTCCTTTGTAAAAAGTTGTTATTAAATGAATGGCAGATTTTACAGTCAAATGACATCTCTGAATTAAGGAAATATGGTAATTGTTTCTTACCTTGCGGCAGGCTGCCTGGTGCAGTGAACTGTGCAGAAAGCTAATCTTTTGTTCTGTAAGCAACTCACCATAAATCACTCATCACCTCACTTTTTTCTACATATTTTGAAACTCCAGAAATTGTTGTGGTTTGTTCTGAGGATAACTTTGCTATAAATTTTCAAGGCATTCTCATTAAGAACGTGAAGAAACGAGGTATTTTCATTTCCAATTAAACAATTCCTTTCCATTTTTTCAAATTTCCAAATGGCAGACTAAAGTTGCAAAGATCTCCTATGAACTCAGATTTTATACTTTGCTTTTCTCCCCTTTATCCTCTGCTTTCTTTATTGCCATTTCTTCTAAATTTAACTTTTGTCAGTTCACAAAATGCAACATGCTAAGTCTATGATTATAAATATATATATTTCTATTTCTACTGATTTTTCCTTTTAATTTTATTCATTTCCTCCTATTCATGTCATGTCTAAATTCCCATTTCTCTGCAGTTTTCTTCATTAATTTCTATTAATTATAAGATTGATAGAAATAAACAAGTACCACGGTCATAATTAACCAGGTAACTTCTCTTCACTCATCCGGTTAAACTCATTTCTCTTCACTCATCCAGTTAAACCTAAGAAACATACATCCATGAAAACACTCCATCTGTCTTACCTGCGAATTAATGATGCGTATGGTGGTTTTATTCCCAACATCTTTCTCATAACCACGTGTAGGAGCAGAGTTAAATCTCAAAACCGCATCATGAGAATCTAAGGGCACATAAGTGACAAGCTTACTTTTGTTCTCTGTAGAATCACATAATCTAGGAAAAAATGTTAAAGCAAATCTTTCAATACCTGAAGCTAATTATACATCACCAATAAAGTTAAGATATGCCCACATGATTTTCAGAGAATTTACTCTTCACTGAGAATGAGATCTTGGCTGGAGGAAACATCAATATGGATATATATAGATGTAAAATCTGTTCAATTATGGGCGAGACTGTATGATCTAAGTGATATTTAGATACTTGCTACCTTTTCAACATTCTTACAAGTGACATGCTTGATGCAGCCATTCTCCCAAAGCTTCCAATACATCTTGAGGGAGACTGTACTGGAGCAGATAAAGACACTAGAAAGCAAGGGCTGCTTTTTGGTGCTGGTGTATGCTTAAAAAGAAAGCCAGCCCTGCAAGGGCTGCTTTTTGGTGCTGGTGTATGCTTAAAAAGAAAGCCAGTCCTTAAGCAGAGATTCTGCATGTAATGTTGAAGAAAGAAAGAAAGTCAGCCCTGACTTCGACGCAGCCTTACATACTGCTGCCGATGGCAAGAAGACCTGTGTGAGAGCAACCTTAAGAGCATTCTGCATTAGCAGCAATAGCCTGCCAGACCACCATAGCCCCTGAGGATGGGTGAGATGGAGAGACCACCAATGCCACCAGCTGCCAGGGCTCTTATGTTCTATAACCACACACCGTGCTTCACCAAACTTGAACTATGAATGCAACGTAAATCTACATCTCACTTCGTTCAACTTGACAGCCCGACTTGCCCAAGTTCTCTGAATGCTGGGCTGGAAGGTCCTGGATGAAAACAAGGTACCCCTATCCTGGAGGCTGACAAGGAGGTGAACAGTGGGAGGCACAGGAAAGTGGGTTCACCTGATTTAGCATTGGGACTAGGGGATATGTTCCCTTTACAGAAGGCAGCCTATAAACATACATGCGTCTTGAAATTCCTAGAAACCAGCCTGAAGCCAGAGTCAGTGAGCAAGAAAGCAATTTTCTAAGGGCCATCTTTAGCTTTAAATATCTCATGCAGATTCCAAGCTCGGCCTGGAGCAAGGACAGTGCCTGTCTGTGAGGGAGAGGTGAAAAGAAGTATTTCTGTCATGCCCAAGGGGAGCTGCATTTATAGTCCCCGAGCCCGCACAAGTGCCTAAGGCAGCCGCCTTCTTCCCTGAGTTCCTGCTATCTGCTCCTTTGGAGTTGTCTTCTTGCTCCCCAAATAGCAGAAACTCACCATGCATGCCCCCACTAAAACAATGTTTAAAAAGGTGCCTTCACTGACAAACCCTAAACTTAAAAAAATTCAAATTCCAGCTTTAGCACCAAAATTAATTCACTTTTGGAACATGTGAATGCATAAAGCGTAGGTGGCTGTGTCATCAAAACCCTGCAATGTTCTTTTAGGGGAAATTTTGCAGGAGTTGGCAAACTATGACCTTCTGGCCAAATCTGACCTGCCACTTGTTTTAGTAAATCAAGTTCCACCATAACACAGACACACTCACTGTACATGCTGTCTATAACTGCAGAGTTGAGTTGTTGAGACAGAGACAGAGATACAGTTCACAAAACAAAAAATATCTACTACCAGGCTCTGTAAAAAAGTCTGCCAATCTCTAGGTTCAAGGGGATCTATTCTTTGTGTAAATGATGCCAAAATACATGAATGCCTCCAAGTTAAAACCAGTTCTTTACTTCACAATTTAAGGATTTGTTCATACTTTATTGAGGTAATGGATTTCTTATTTATTTTTATTGAATAATGTTTTGTCAAAAAATTCAAATAATATTTGAGGTAGAAAAACTAGATTACCCAAAACAGTAGACTCTTGAAATTTATTGATAATCCAAACACTTTTTAGGCAGATGGAATATATCTACTGATATTTACCATACTAAAAGGTAAAACGGAATTTTAAAATGTCTATTAATTTATTTTAAAACAGCTTTTTTTCAATTTAAAAAACCTCTATATTTTCAAAAACCAAAAGAATACTGAGAAGACTGGCACCGTTTTTAATGTCTGCAAGTCTCTTTAAGGTCTGGTTTTTTAGAAAGTTGGTTTCTCACATCTGCTTTTGAATTCAACTTGTTGCAATATGTTGTTTTATTTGAAGTATATGAAGGCTCAGACACACTGTTGAATTGAGAGAGCTATTTAAAGAATCCTTCCAAAGAACTGTGAATATTCTTCTTTGATACCTAACAAGACTCTACGAGGGCTAGTTTCTTAGGGTTGGTTACAATTTGGAATCTGAAACCTATCAATGAACTTTTTGTGCTCTGTTACATTAAAACTTGTGGTCTATTTTTCTCTTAAAATGGATCTTTCACTCACGCATAATTGTATAATATTGTACAATGATCAGCTGAAAACTATCAGCTAGGCATAGTTATACATAAGTTATATATATATATAATATGTTAGTCAGACATTCCAAATAGTGATGCATTTTGTTATAAAGAGTTGAAACACTGGCTGGGCATGGTGGCTCAGGCCTGTAATCCCAACACTTTGGGAGGAACAGGTGGGCGGATCATCTGAGGTTGGGAGTTCGAGACCAGCCTGACCACCATGGAGAAACCCCGTCTCTACTAAAAATACAAAAAAAAAAAAAAAAAAAAAAAATTAGCTGGGCGTGGTGGTGCATGCCTGTAATCCCAGCTACTCGGGAGGCTAAGGTAGAATTGCTTGAACCCAGGGGGCAGAGGTTGCAGTGAGCCAAGATTGCACCATTACACTACAACCTGAGCAACAGGAGCAAAATTCCATCTCAAAAAAAAAAAAAAAAAAGAATTGAAACACCACATTGATTAGTATCACCATGGAGTTCCCCAGTTTTTAAAGTCTGGAAAACTTCCAAGTTCATGGTTCAAAGCTTGAATTTTATCATTGGCAACAAATACTATCAGTTATTTTCCTAAAAGTGACAGGCTCGCTTGATTCCTTTTTGAGAATATATCTGCCAAATATCCAAGTCTGAATAATTAACGTTTCTTTTCAAGTTAAAATTGTATTTCATGAAAAAAGTGGCTAGTTCGGCTCACAGTGCAATTACCCAAGGGCTTTTCCTTTGTGAACTGGCACACATAAGTGCTTTTCTCCTATTTCCCCATGTGCCCCACTGAATCTGAAAAACACGTGTATTCAAAGGTTGAGCTTTGGGTTCTGCTGCCCTGACTTGTGCTAAGAAGCCCCTGTCTCATGCATCATTCATTGTGTTTGTACCACCAGTGCAAATGTCAACAACTGAAAGGAAAAGAACTCTGAGTATACTTACCAGAATAGTTTTTTCTCATGGACCCTCGAAAGGGTCTTGCAAAGGCTAAGGGTAAGCTTAGATCTCACTGTTCCCACTGCTAAGCTAGGGAAACCCTCTGGTTGCAGACAGTGAGAGGAGACTCCACCAGCGAGGTGACTGCAGGTGCTGGGAGGGAATCAGCCCTAAGCCAGAGAGGAAGTGTGATGCCAGCAATCCTCAATCTCAGTTCTCTCCAAACCACGCTACCCACCCCTCAGACACAGCCTACCCAAGGGCCTCAAGCGGTGGGTGCATTTCTATTATTTGACTAATAAATCTGAATTAATTGCATCACCCTTGAAAACATCCCAGCATTTAAATGCCCATTGTCTTATTGTGGAGCTGTGCTCTAAACCATCCAAGGACTTCACGAGGCACAGGGCACAGAAAGATAACGCAGTGTAATTCCTTTGGAGGTGGTATTAGTCTGCAGAGTTAAAAGGCCACCTGCATGGAGAGGGCAGGGAGGCAGGGTCATGTAGGCTTGTGGCTAGGCCCAGTGCAAGCCCTCTATGAACAGCCACTGTGAGCAGCGTGGGGTTGGGATGGAAGGGGAGGGTGCGCTGAGACTGTCTCTCACACAGACACGTTCTGTAAACGTACACCTGGCTGTGCATTCCTTGATAATGCACTGTGAGAATAGAAGCTGTCCATTCATATTTAGAAAAAAAGGAATAGGTCAGACAGCAAATACAAGGGGAAGAAAGTCAAGTTCCATTTCTGGAGAAGGCATTTCCAGGCCAGAACCATGCTGTGTTGTCCTTGAGAATGGAGCCAGACAAGTGCATCCATGGAAGGAAAATTAAAGCCCTTCAAGGAGCTGCTGGGCCAGCACCCGGTCACCGCCCTGCCCCAGGCCCCATTCACCACATCATCCCCCTCTCCTACACTGATGAGAAAATTCAAACAGCAGGAGAGCAAGCCTCCAGTCACTAGAGAATGGCCTGCCTGGGATTGGACAAAGCATCGCTTTGGGAGCTCCATCACCCTGGGAGCCCTGTTTCTCCCCAGGACCTGTAACCCTCACCTCTTGATGTACTTCCCTTGCACCCTCAAGTCCAGGCTCTGGAGTGATCTCTCTACAGTGACTATCTGCAATGGCTGCACATCATGGGCACAGGGCTGAGAGCTAGTGTTTCTGGAGACCCAGACTGGGGTTTGAATCCAGACTCTGCACATGTGACTGGAGGTACCTTCATTTCCTTATCTGTAAAATGGGAACAAAGTTATCTATCACTTAGGGTTGTAAGGTTTACAACAGTTAGCACATAAAAAGCACTTTGGGTTGGGCACAGTGGCTCACACCTGTACTTCCAGCACTTTGTGAGGCCGAGGCGAGCAGATCACTTGAGGTCAGAAGTTCAAGACCAGCCTGGCCAACATCATGAAACCCCATCTCTACTAAAAACACAAAAATTAGCCGGGTATGGTGGCGCGTGCCTGTAATCCCAGCTACTCGGGAGGCTGACGCAGGAGAATAGCTTGAGCCTGGGAAGTGGAGGTTGCAGTGAGCCAAGATTGTGCCACTACACTCCAGCCTGTGCAACAGCGGGAGACTCCATCTCAAAAAAGCAAAAAAACAAACAAACAAAAAAAACAAGAGCATTTTGAACAGGGCCTTGTCTGTACTATATAAGTGGTACCTGATTTCAATTAAGTGAAGTCTAATATTCATAGAGTGGCTTGCAAGGGCATCCAGGAAGATGATCTGCCTTCCAAGCCTGCTTCTCTCTTCTGTCCCTACGAGCCCATGTACTCCCTGTAGCTCTCACCACCTGCACAACATGCTGTTTCTCACTTCCATATGATGCTGGGCCTTCAGCTTGGTCTCCTCTCCCTGGAGCAGTCTTTACCAATCTCTTCTCTCTACCAGCCCTCAGGGGAGTTAGGAATCCGTTGTCATTTCTGCCTTGTCAGCCTACATATCTCTCTGTCCTTCTCCAACCCACAACACTGGAATTGTCTGTTTACCACTGAAGTGTGCCGGTATGGATAGTTGAGCCTGTGACCTATTCATTTTTGTGTCTAGCCTAGGATCTGGTGGAGAGTTGGTGATCAATAAATAATGCTAATTGGATGAGTATATGGACTGCTTTCTTCTTTCTTGCTTTTTTAAAAGGTAACAGGACATGTCAAATCTCAAGCCCTCTCCACCAGTCTATGCATCCCACCCCCAGTCTCTCCCTCCATGTCCCATTTCCCATGCACTTGCCAGAATTCGAGTTTCAGGTACACAGATCTTGGTTTCCCACATGAAGGCTATTACTGGTGGTTCAGAGCAGACCTTTCTGCTCTGTAACATGTTTCCACATGAATGCTAGTAGCACTGCATAGAAGCAAATTATTATTGCTTATATGCATGGATGAAAACAGATCATCTTATAACTCTAGGAAAGAATGATCCAGGTTTCCAAAACAATTAGTTTGTTTTTCAATAACACATTCACAGTGGAAGTGTTTACAACTGCTCTACTTTTCTAACCAAAACCAATTCCATTGTGTGACCCAGTTCCAACAGAAGGGTAGGGGGATGGGGGCTGCACTGCCAGTGGAGCAAACACCAGGGGGAGCGAAAGGGCAGCCAGTAAGCAAACCTGAGACTGACTGGGTCTCCCTTTGACGTCAGCATGGAGAGGGCTCCTCCTGGCAGAACATAGGTAGGGCTGATAAGCAGTGATCATCTGAGACACTTCCTAGCTCTGCCTTCAATTTTTCATAAGATCGTGATCTTTGGTAAGTCTTTTGATCTTCATTTAGCCAATTCACAAGTAGATGCTTAGCGGCCAACAAGAATTTCGCTACACCATGCCCCCAATATTCTAAGCTGCCTGAAGGAATTTGCTGCCAGAGTTTGTTTGTATTCTGCAAGCCATTCATAACTATGTGGGTTTGCTTGCATATATTCAGGTGAACAGGAAGGAGCGAGGTCGGCACCTGGCATGTACACTGCTGATGCTGAGATACCAACTTATACAAATGAAACTTTTTGTTTATACAAATTGAGCCATGCTATGGTTACATGTTCTTAAAATAGTAGATACAAAATCTGATCCAAACAACCCTAGACAAAACAATAAAGAGAATTTTAAAGAAATTTCCAGGCATGTTCTTCAGTTGTGATTCTACAGTTCTAATCATAAAGGCTCATGCAAGTGCATGCCAAATAAATTAGATTTGGATACTAGAAATTAACAAAGATATAACTGGCATTTCAAGTTTCCCAGAAACATGGACTTCTCAGCGTCTTTCACGTTCTCTTCCAAATTGTAAACAGAGTTTACAAGATTCTGGTCAGGGATATTTATGCAGAAAAAAAGAACGAGGGACTGCCCACTGACATGCAAGAGCAATCCAGATCTTCACCTCTGATGCAGAGGTGTTTAAAACAAAACCAAACCGGAAGCAAGTTACTGCCTGCTTCAAGCATAATACTTAAATTCCTTCTCCACATTATTAATATTGGCTCTCAGAAATGAGAAAGAACTGTGGTGTTATTTCACCCCGGGGACCTCTAAACCACTGCTTCTTCTTAATAAATTGCAGGCTGCTCTGCTCTGGCTTTGGCTACAAGCTTATATGACACATGGACTGTGTTATTATGAGCCTGCTGTAATGTCAGCACAGGGACACAGGTACCCCAGACCTTGATTCCAGACTCACTGTCTTGTTTTTTTTAACTTTAAAAATATTTCTCATTCAGCCTCATGCCCAAGGACTTCTGCTGAGCTGAGATCTGGGCTTCTGAGCCTGCCTACAGTGGCTTCACCCTATTCCGAGAGAACTCTGGAACATAGGCCACTCTTCAAGGACACAGAACAACTAATGGATCCGCTTAAAATGAAGACAACAAAGATTACTTATTTGCAAAGAGGGAGCAACACTCCCGGAATGTCACTTCCAGACCAGTTATGCCCTAACAACGCCTACTGTGAGAGTGTACAGGACATGATTGTTTTATATCTGGACTTGAGGCTGACGCTGTATTTGACTCACATTTGTTTTACTGCTCCTCGTACAGAATCAAGCACATATTAGGGGCTAAACACATATTTGTCAAATGAATGAGCCTAAAGGGCCAAGCTGCTTGCTGACTGGTCTAGCAGTGGAATTAGCCTGGGAAGAAGGGGGGTTCCGGGAGCAAAGGGATCTGAAACTGCTGAGGGAGAGCCCAGCTATGGCAACACAAGAGCCTGGGTATCTCTGGCAAGACAGGGTGAGAGTCTGGGGCAGGTGGGGAAATGAATGTGATCCAGCGAGGAAGGGGAATTCTGAGGAGAGCCAATGCAGGCCCATCTGGTGCAGAACCTACACCACTCTGCAGGAGGGAAACGTATTTGAACCCTGCCATGGCCCCATCAATCAAAAAAGATTAGAATTGGTATTTTACTTGAAAACTAGGAAGAAATAGTGATGGCTAATGTTGTGTGCCATCTTGGCTAGGCCACAGTGCCCAGCTGGTTGGTCAAACACTAGTCCAGATGTTGCTGGGAAGGTGTTTTTAAGATGTGATTAACAGTTAAATCACTAGACTTTGAGAAAAGCAGACGACTCTCAAAATGCAGGTGCGCTTCCTCAAGCCAGGTGAATGCTTTAAGAACAAAGACTGAAGTTTCCTAAAAAAGAAACAATTCTGCCTCAAGACAGCAACACAGAAACTCTGCCTGAGTTTCCCATCTGCTGGGCTGCACTACCTATTTCAGACTTGCCAGCCTTCACGATCATGAGAGTCAAGTCCTTAAAATAAATCTGTCTCTGTATAGACACATATCCTCCTGGTGTGAGTCTCTGGAGAACCCTGACTGATACAGGAGCTGGGAAACATGTGCTCCAGGGCTCTTGACAGGGATGTGAAGGCAGAGCCTGGCAGGGAGGGAGGAAGCCCAGGTGTTGCATGTTATTTACCATCTTGGAGAAGGTCCCTGGTAGGTGCACTGGCAGTGCCCCAAAGGTTGGATTTGCGCCAACAGTTGGGAGGCCGGAACTTATTCTCCCATGGGAAAGATGTTCCCAACAGCAGCTGGGCTCTTCTCAGAGCTCACAGTAACCAATATTATCTTCATGCACCCTGCTCTTTGGAGCTGACGCCCTGATTGGGCAGCTTCTGCTTTCTTGCCTCCTCCTCTTGTTCCCTTCCCATATTCCCACTGCAGGATGGGTTCACCGGGCTTTCAGGGGCCACAGCCTGGGGGCATATCCATGCAGACTGCGGTTTCTATGGGATACGAAGTCTGAACAGTGAGAAGGACGCCGGGGGCAAAGGGCGGCGCTTTCCTTCCACTGCCTACTGGCATCAGCTATGGGGAGGACCCTTCCTGCTCCCTAGCATTCCCCAAATCCCTGCTCTAAGAGTCTCCCGAAGAGTACTTCTGCTGTGACCCCAGGCAGACTCATTCTGTGCCAGCAATGGGAAAGCACCTGAAGAATCTCCAGCTAATATTAGGAACACCTGGTGCGGAGACCCCAGCTTGCCCCGTCAGAGATCCAGAGGCGCGCTCAGAAAGAACCGGCCCCCAGGGACACACTGGCTCAAGACAGGGCGACCTGGTCCCCCCGCTGAGACCTACCTATTTCCTCGCCCAAGGAAGAGTTGAGGATTGCGCCTGCAGACATGACGACAGCGCAGCTGCGCAGGCCGCGGGGGTGCAGCTGGCTCAGGGGCACGGCGGGCACCAGGCGCCGCCAGCCCAGCGCAGAAAAGGGCGCCTCGGTGCCGTCCAGCGTCCGCACGCGCGCGCGGCTCCGCAGCTGGCACAGCAGCTGTGCCCTGCTCAGCCCGGCCTCCCGCTTCCCGCGGAAGCGCACCCCGTGCTTGTTGGCGGTCAGGTAATCCTTCATCGCCTTCTGCAGGCGCGGGTTCAGCATTTTGGAAGAGACGTTCCCCTTCCAGAGCCGGTACAGGAAGGCCCTGGACATGGAGGAGTACAGCCTGTCGCCGTCGTCGCCCTCCTCCAACACGTGGCTCCTTCTCTGCCTCCGGTGCCTCTTCTTCACCCGCCTCCTCTGGACCTGTGCAGCCGGAAAAGCCCCCTCCCGTGGGCCTGGCTCCCCGGGGGAAGGGAATCCCAATGTCCCCTGAGTGTGGCTGTGCCACCCTGGCTGACCAGCAGCAAAAAAGTAGTCGTCATCCTCCGGGTAGAAAGCACTTTGAGATTTTCTCCCCACCTGGGATGAAAAAAACTCTTTATGTTCAAACCCATCTTGGGACTGGGCCCATTTCTGCAGGTCTCCAGGCCCCGCATGAAAGGAACCGGCTGGGTGGGCGCGGGGCAGCGCCTGGCGTGCGTCCAGGCCCCCAGGCGGGGAGGGCTCATGTGCGGCGCCCATGATGGCCCGCTGCTTCCCCTGCACCGGCAGGAGCCTCCTGGTCTCCAGGAAGGAGAGGGAGCTGGGTACAGGCTCAGCGGGGTTGCTGTCGGTGAAGTAGATGAAAATCAGCAAAAAGAGGAGCCCCCAAGCGAATATTCCGAAAAGCATTCGTTGTCTCCATTGCTTCAAGTGTGGTTTCATGGCAGGTCTCTGCGGTCAGCACCTTGTGTCTTAATGCAGATGGGTGGCAGAATGAACCTGAAAAACAGCCAGATGGCAGTTAGCCAACATGGGGCATCTGCTCAGATGCTGCTGGGGACATTCTATCTTGAGCAGTGTTTCTGTAGGTGGTGGGGTGGGGTTGTAGAAGGGGCACTAGAAACCAGAATCATCCAGGAGTTTTAGCTAAATCCAGGTGTCATATCTGTCCCCCTCCCCGCCCCCCACCTCCCACCAACCTCTGCAAAACAAGGGATCTCACCATCTCAGGTGAGTCTTTGGAGAGAGGCGATGGATGGGTGTATATTTGCAAAATCCTCCCCATGTGACTCAGGGACACGTCTGCCTTCCCACTTTGATAGACAGTAGTGCCCCTGCCCACAAGTTCCCCCTACTTCTGAGATGATAAAATTCCAATTTGATAAAGCAAAGCCAGAGAGGTAAGCATGGTTTGCCCCTTTTGTCTGCCTATCAGACCACCGAAAGCTCAGAGCTCATAGATTTTACAGCAGCGCTGCTGTGCACTTCTAAGGAGTGACAACCCTATCTGATTCTTCCTGTTCTCCCCATTCTGGAAGGCTGCCTAGAACATACCAGAAGTCCACCGATGGCACTGAATAAAGCAATGCTTCAGTGACTGTGTCTGTGGGTGAATGTTATTTCAGGGTGCCTGTTGTCTTCAACAATGTCCCCAAGACTACCCTCCTACTTCACCCTTACCGTGAACTTTTGGTGAGATAAGAGGGAAGTACATTAAAACTTGAAATAGGAGGAGAGATGGGGAGAGAGCTTGCTGATTCTAGATGAGACTCAGAGAAAGGGTAACAAAAGGGGCAGAGATGAAAAGTAAGATACAATGAAAGAGAATGAACCTCTCCTCTGTACAGCATTGCAACTAATATGTATTGCTGTGTGGGAAGCACACAGCACTTAGTACCAAAGGAAACACAAAAACATTAATAAGAAATGCTCCTAACTTCAGGAACTTAAGCAAAGTCCTGGAAAGGGAAAATAACCTAAGGTATGTTTGTGGAATAATAACTAAGCTTGCTGGAACTTCAAGCTGAGCACTAAACCAAGCACAGGCAGATATTCAATAAATATTGGCTGGGTAAATGATCTGAGCTTGTGTTTGTGTGTGCGTTTTGCAGAGGGCCTTGTGTGTCTGTGGCTATGATGGGTGTTTTGGTGGGGGTGCTGGAAGAAGAAGCAAGACCATTTGGGGAAAACATAATTGGAAAGCTATCCTCTTCCAGCTGTGGAGGGTCTGGAGTGCCTACCTGGATGTCTGGGGCACATGCTGTATAAAAAATAGGGAGAGAGTGAAGTTCTGAGAGCAAAGGAGTTATGCATTGGTTCCATGGGCTTTCAGGAGATTCCTTGGTGGCAAGTAAGGTAGAGAAGAGTGCAGGGAGGCAACACAGACTGCAAGGAAGTCGTTAGTAGAAATCAGATACTCAGAAAGTAGGGTGATTCTGAGGGGAGGGTCTGCCAGGGGAAATGTGTGACCCCCACGATCCTTCCCCAGTACAGGCTGACCAATGCCAAAACACAAAGGCATGTAGGGCATGGCTGTAATACAATGGTTGTGTTTTCACTAAAAAAGATAGGAACTGAAATCAAAATGAATGTTCCTACCTCAATGTGGTCACCTTGGGAAGTCATACAATGTCGCTGGTGGGAAAGGACGTGCTAAACTAAGAAAACTACATTCCTTTTGTGGCTCTATGGCAGGTTAAAGGTGGACACAGATTCTGTGACCCTCCACCCAGAGAGAGGCAGATTCTGTGTCTCCCCCTATTAAATAAGGACAGGCTCAATGACTGCTTGGACTAGTAGAATATGGCTGTGGTGATACTATGCCAGTTACCAGGCCCAGGTCTAGCATTTTCCACTTTCTGCCTCTCAGGACATTCACTCTGGGGGAAGCCAGACACCAGTGAAGACATATCCCTAAGCTTAGCCCAGCATGCATCGAGGAAGCCCAAGCTAGGAAAGTCCACGTGGAATGAGAGATACCCAGCCAGCCCCAAGCTGTTCCAGCCGTCCCAGCCATCCCAGCCATCCCAGCCCAGGCACCAAATGTGAAGCGCGAAGAAGTCATTCTGGATGTCCCGTCTGTTGCACTTCCCGATGACTCCATCTCCAGCCAACATCTGACTGCAACCCCATGGAAGACCGGATAGGAGAGCCGGTCTAGCCCAGTCAGTCAACGGTGAGTGATAATGATAGATTGTTGTTCTAAACCACGAAGTTATTTTTTATTTGTTTTGTTTGAGATGTGTATAGATGTGTATAAATACATTTATATACCTATATATGTATTTGTTTTAAATTTTAGATTCAGGGGTACATGTGCAGGTTTGTTACAGGGGCATATTGCATGATGCTGAGTAAACTCCTACATTTTAAGGTGATTTGTTACATCAGAAGATCACTGGAACAGGTTCTAATGGAAATGTTAAATAAGTTCCAGAAATCATCAGTAACATATACAACTATCTTATACCCATAATAATTAAAAAGAAAAATTAAGCCAAAAAGAAGAAGTCCTAAAAATGCTTCCAACAACTGCAACATTTTCAGATAAGACTCTAGCATCTCAGAGGGATTCTACAAAATGCAACATTCGCTTACATGTATAAATTGTGGCTTTTAAACTGTGTTTACTTTATTTTGTATTCACATGAGAGCAAGGCTATAGATTTTATATACAGTAATACATCAAACCTACATAGACAGAATATACTTTAACCAAGCCGGAACCACGGATGCCAAGAAGCGAGCGTAGAAGAATTAATACCCGCAGTTAGCTTACTATATATACAGGTCTGTGGTTAGCACTTGTTCTGGATTATTTTATTTGGTCTTTCCAGCATCGAATTAGATAGGAAATACTGTCATATCCATTTTCTAGATGAGGGAACTGAGTCCCAGAGCAATTAAGTAACTTGCCCAGGACCACAGAGCTAGCAAGCAGCAGATATTACATGCAAATCCATCTGCTTCATCCTATGGCTCACACCTTTCACAGTAAGTTCTGATTCCATCTGGTCATACCAACCAAGGCTACATTTTCTAAATTTACACTCCCCAAACTATCTGTGGTGAAGGGTAATTTTTCCCCCAAATTGTCACTGTGTGATATTTTAATATTTCCATTTCTGAATGTCTTGGCATTGTACAATTGCTATAAAAGTTTCTAAATGCCTGCTCTCAAGTTCTGTAAACATCTTACCAGGAACTGGTAATGAACAGTTGTGGATGTGCATTAGTCTGGGCCCACACTTTGAGTAGCACCTTCCACATGATCTGTCTAACCTGTCCACCCAGGGACAGTGCTTTGAGCTGTAATGACCAACATAAAGGTCTAGAAGGTGTTTCTAATATTTCAAGAATTCTATTAAGAAATTGCAAAATTATCCTTAATAACAGTTATTCTGTTGCATCCCATTGGGTGCACTGCAGTATAATTCTGACACTTGCTACTGGGAGTTAGTGTAGACCCCATGTGTTAAGGGCTCAGGCCTCCAGGAGACTGCCCTCGTTTCACATGCCAGCTGTGTGGATTTGCATGTAATTATCTGCTGCTTGCTAGCTCTGTGGTTCTGGGCAAGTTACTCACAAGTTACTCAAAGCCACTCACACTTTTAACTGTTCAACTACCAATCCCCAGACTCTAGGACACCCTTCAGGTTCGATAATTTGCTAACATGACTAACAGAAGTCAGGAAAGTACTAGATTTATGGCTATAGTTTTATTGTAAAGGATGCACACAGGGTGAGATCTAGGGGGGATGCAGTTCCACCCTCTTTCCCTGTGGAATCTGAGTGTATCACCCTCCCAACACATCAGTGTGTTCATGAACCAGAAGCTCCAGTGAACCCCAGAATCTAGAGTTGTTATTAGGGTTCCCATTAGATAGGCATGATTGATTAAATCACTGGCCATGTGAGTGAACTTAATCTCCAGTGCCACTCTTCTCCCTGGATGCCGGGCAGCCCAAAGTTCAAAAAGTTTGAACCCTGTAATTTCTTTTTCTCTTTCTTTTTTTTTTTTTTTTTGAGACAGAGTCTCGCTCTGTTGCCCAGGCTGCAGTGTGCGGTGGCACGATCTTGTCTCATGGCAACCTCTGCCAACCGGGTTCAAGTGATTCTCCTGCCTCAGCCTCCTGAAACCCTGCAATTTCATCTGATTGATCTTTCTGGTGATCAGAGCCCAAGCTGAAGCTATCTGGGGACAAAGTGAGTTCCCTCATTAGCAGAATGAAAACAGTCCTATCGCTAAGGAAATTCCAAAAGTTTTAGAAGTTCCATGCTGGGAATACCAAGGCTGCAGCAGCTGATTTAAAAGACAGTCTTTTTGTTTCTGACTGGTAGTCACCATTTCCTGGTTTCCCTGCACTGAGCAACAGCTCTGGTGGGCAACTAAAAAATGAGAAATGCAGGTTTCTGATTTCAGCATTTGCTCCAGAAAATGTTTTTTAAAAACAGAGGCAAAGATGAGATGTGTGCACAGTGGTGGGAAGTGAAACAACAAAAACAAAGCTTTGACCTGTTGGGAGGAGCTCAAAATCTCTGGCCTAGAGGGCTTGGGGCTGAGAGCCAGTGCCCCCCCACACCAGATAATCTAATATGACCTTGGTTTGACGAGTCAAGAAGCCGCAGGAACTTGAGCTGAGAAAGTGAACTTGGGAAATTTCATGGCAGGATTCAAATTATCAGATGTAAAATTAAATAATTCAAAATTAAAATAATTCAAACTTAAAGCTATTGGAACTCAAAATTATCTTGAGCCTTGGGAGGAATGTGGCTATGTAGCCTGCGTCAGACAGCTGCAACTTCTGCCTTTTTGTTCCTGCAAATAATTAGAAAGACCAAGCAGCGCCAGAGATAAGACCCTCTCAGATCACTGCACCTCCTCATGGAATAATAAAGTATTCTTGCTTAAAATGGAACAATCTGTAACCAATCAAACAGCTGTGGCATATATACCTGGTCTTGTATGGAAAATGCTGTGATTCTGCTGGAACTTCTCTGACTCTGCCTATATAATCGAAACTTTAACTTCTCCGTTTTGGAAACACTGACCCCATTCATCTGCAGTTGGTGCTTTCCCAGGTGGCCAGCCTCAAGCTTTGCGCTCAAATAAACTCTGTACTTAATCATATTTCCTGAACCTCATTATTTAAGGTTGACACAGATGTAAACTGAAAATAAATTCCTAAGCGCCTCAACTGACCCAACAGACCCCCTCATGGCCAGATGGACCCCAGAGAAACATGAAAAACTGAATTTCCAGTCATGACTGGAAGGGAGGTCAGACAGGCCTCCATATATTCCCTCTCCCTTTGATATGTGGACACAACTGACCAGGATTAATATTAACATAGACATCATAAGCTGACCAAACTCTTTGTGGCGATAAGATGCCAAATTCCAACCTGACTCTGGTATAGCATCACGTGACAGTTAGAAGACCCTGAAGGAAATCAAAATATTTTACCCCAAAATATATTTCTTTGACATATGTTGAAATGGCCATGCAAAGCTGTCTTTTGTGGGGGAAATTTGCATTGGTAGAGCATCTCCATTAATGCAGCCTACCTTTCCCCTTCTAGGCCTTTCCTGGACCTAGGAGAGATTAAATGTGAGTGTAACACCTTTAAGTTCCCAAAAGAGACATGTACCATCTATCCTCTCTGAAGGACACTACCTATGAGGCGTCATCTCTATAACAAGAATCTTGGCTTCCACAACCCCTCTTAACTCAAGCATTTATTTCTATTGACTTCAAGCCTTGAGACAAAGCTTAACTCTTTCAACCAACTGCCAATCAGAAAATCTTTGAATGTACCTACGACTTATAAACCCGCATTTCAAAATATCCCACCACTTTAGGCTAAACCAATGCACACCTTTCATGTATTGATTAATGATTTTATCTACAATGCCTGTCTCCCTAAAGTGTGTAAAACCAACCTGTGACCCAGTTGCCTCGGGCACACGTTCTCAGGACTTCCTAAGACCATAAGCCTGGGCCATGGTCACTCACATTGGCTCAGGTTTAAATATTTTACAGGGCTTTTGTGTTTTTCTCTGCATCAACACAGACATAGCCTCCATTATATGAAAACGCCTAGTTTCTACCCAGAAGAAACTACCCTTGTTTGTCATGGGGAGATGACATATGGGAAAGGAAGGGAGAAGAATGAGAGGATGTCAGAGGACACAAATAAAGAGAAGAAGCACCTGGCAGGATAGAGGGGGCTGCGTTGGTGCCAGGACCCTGTGGCAGAGTTTGCTCTCTCTGCCCGCTGTGCTGGGAAGTAGAAAGAGGCAGGATTTGTGAGGCTCTCTGAGCATCTTTAAAGGAGTATTACAATGCAAAGAATGAAGACTCTTCATTAGGTGGAGCTTAAGTGGCTCCTAATGCACAAGAATAATAGGAAGGAGTGGATTTGCTGCACTGCCTCAATTTGTGATTAGGTCTCAACTTTTAATAATCCAAAAGCCTCCACTGCAGCCTCTGGAGCTGCAAACCTTCTGCTGCCAATTGAGAGAACATTCTCCAAAATGATTAAGTCTCAAGGCAATGTCAAATCCTCTGCTAGCAAAATGCTACAGAAATCACGATCTGCATCATGGGTCTCAGTCATCAGCATATCTGTAACAAATCCAGGTTAGAGAGAGGCAAGGGACATCATCAATGTTACAGCCCTGGATCATCGTTTTCCTTGAAATGACCATAAGCCTAATAGGAAGGCTCGGCTAAGCAAGAGAAAACACATCTTTTCCTCTGATATAGTATATCTGAAATATTATAATTATACAACTTAAAGAAAGTCGTCGGTAATACTCACTGCCATATCCCATCATTAGCTGGTGTGATATAAATGACATCGGGGGATATAAGAGGCCCACCAGGCAAATCATCTGTCCCCAGGCACCAATGGGACAGTGCTCCTTAATCACACCTTCACATGTGCTTTGTCTACGATGGTTTAAGTGACTGGGGCTGTCGAGTTCTTGCCAGTTTTCCCCTGGGAAGAGCACTGGCAAGATTATACTCATACTGGATTGGGTGTGACTTTCTTTTCCTTTCCACTGCAATTCTAACATTATTACCTGGCAATGCAAAGGTCTGAATTCCCAGTGGATGTTCTCTGCCTATTTGGACTACTTTTTTCTATTTCCATTCTTTCTCCCTGTTCTCTGCCCTTTCTGGCCAGGCCTCTAGGGAACTTCTATTTTTAGAGGCAAAATCAAAAGTGCCTCACTGCTGGAAATCACGGTGATTGTTCCACTTGCTTAGGAAGGTCAGTGCCCACATCTTAAATACTAATGCCCAAACAAAGACACGAGTCACATTTCTTAGGGATAGTTAAAGTAGCACAAAAGAGTGTTTAAATTCTCCTTCAAATTCTTCTGAGAGAAATGACATTTTCCAAAAGGCACAATTTATTACGAGTTGTCAGATAAAACTATGAAATGTAAACGCTGCCACAGAGGAACATTACACTGCAGCTTAAGGTTAATGCAGCTAACTTCTTATTTTGTTCAAGGGCAAAGAGAAGTTAATTCTAGGTCTTACCACTTTAACGATGTCCCTCTTAAGCCTTGTGGTTGACAAGCTTTATTGCCCATTTTCTTGACTGGAGAGTGTTTTTCTTTCTTTTTTTTTTTTTTTTCACATTTTGATTGATGTGTCTGCTATTAATTGCCAGCTGGCCAAGTTTTCTGTGGGTCTGAGACACACTCACGTCCTTTTTTTGTGTCAAAGAGTTGTCTGGACTAATGCTAAGTCTAAGTATTTATTTTAATGTTGAAATAATAAAGAAGATTTAGCATGTGAGCTGTGGTGAGATACTCGTGTATCTTAATGGCCTTCAGCAGTCATTTTCTTTCGAGAATCATTTTTTCTAAAATTAGCTCCCGTCACATATCCAAGAAAACATCCAGTCTGCAGCAAAGAGGAAGATACCTCCCTCAGCTGGAATTCTTTTATCTCTTAACACCCTTATTGGCACTTTTTACAAATGGGCCCTTCTCTTTTCTTTGCTTTTGGTAAATGTGAGAAAGTCTCCAGACTGCTAAAGGCAGAACACCAAAGAGGCACTCCCTTATTCATTATCCCTCTAGTTTCTGCCCATTCTTAAGCTAATGTCCAGAAGAACAGAAAGAAAAAGGTCGGCCAGGTCAGCGGAGCCTGTGGTAGCGGGAGGACATCCCCCTCTCTAAGGAGTACAGTCCTGCGGGATTGCCAAGTCCTTGCCTCCTCAGAAGGGCAGCCCCCCTGCAGGCAGTGCCCCCTCCTTGTGATGGCGCTGTTTGACACCAGAATGCATGGAGCAATCCCACCTGCTAGGAAGGGCACTGCTAGGGCTGGCCGACCCAGTGACCTCGCTTGGTTGAGGCATAAGTTTAAAACACTGGCGGCTGGGCTTCCGGATAATGTAAAATTCAGATGTTTGAGTAACCCACAATGGGGATGCCTGTAAGGTTCCCGAAGGTGGGGACTACATCTTATTCATTCTTGTATTCCCACCAACCAACATGGGCTGGCCTGTGGAAGGTTCCCAGTAAATACTCCTGCAATCAATGAATGTCTGAAATTAAGAAAATAAGTGGGGGGAATGTACTGCAATGGCATTGCCTGACCAGGGGCTGTTGGTTGGTTCAGGAGGGGAAGGGTTCCTCATTTACTGTGCTGCTCAGCCTGGCAGAGGTGTCTGGGTGGCTCCAGGCAAAATCATGGTTAGGCTGTTGTAGGGTTAGGCCTGAGTCATTAACAGCAGTCGTGGCAGGAGTCAGGGGGCTGGTGGGTGCACGAGCAGCGAAGGTATCCCAGGCTGCCACTGGCCAAATGCCTGTGCTGTGCTGGGCACTGTATCTAGCACCTCACTCACATTGTCTCGATTCCTCGTCTCAGTTTAATCTTGACAACAAATTCCTTAGTAAACATTATTTGTCTCCTTAGGCCTATGAAAGCTCCGAGTGGTTCCCTTCTGGTTTACTGTCCCAAAGCCCCTGTCTTTTTTTCACTAGAACACGAAGCCAGAAAAAATTGCTGGGGTCAACTCAAGCACCAGCCTTAAAATTTTAATAAGATTTATTTTTCCTTTTGGCCACAAAGTACTATGTCTAATTTCACTCCAGCTCCCTACATTTAGCAGAACAAGTGATCCTCTGACATCCGTATCTTTGTTTGCTGGAGTAAATGATGTTCCCAGTTAGGCTTTACAATCCATACTTTCCCATGCCCCGCCTTCGTCAGAGATAGCTTAGTTTTTGGACAACTGCCAGGCGGATTTTGCCTAGGCAGAATGGGCTACCAATTTACTAACATTTCCAAAGAGACTACAGGTGTTAGGCCCATGGTTGCAGGGGTTTTCTACCTCGGTAGGAAGGCAAAACAGTTCTGCCTTTGCTGTTGCATGGTCCCAGGACTGCTGAATAAATGACAAGCAATATGGATTAAAGTAAGCCTGGAAGGCTTCAAGCAAGAGGAGGTCCAGAGCTGGACGTCGAAGGATGCACAGGTATGGAGGAGAATCAGTGATTTCAAGCCAGTGGAATGCCTGGGCCCAGTGTGCCAGGGATGAGAATGTGTATGCTGGACAGACTCATGTGAGCTGGGGCTGGACAAGGGTGAGCTGCTCTTAGAAGATGATACCATTATCTTTCTGGGTCAGGTCATTCCAGCAGTACAGGGTTTTTGCTCAAGAGACAGGGCAGATGGGAACTAGTTTAAAAGGCAAAGATTCACATATGTGAGCCACTCTGGGCATCTCCCAGTTGAGGAAGGGGGAGGTGGAAATGATTCCAGACGTCTATCAGTGATTGTGCAGAGACACAACACAAGCTGCCTACTAGTTAGGGTCTGCTGGCTTCCAGAAACAGCATTCATCTGCTTTGGACTCAGTGGCCTGTTTGTTTTACAATAATTAGCATTCAAATATTTATACTTCATACCAGAAATGTGCCAAGGCTCATGACTGGAGCTGTAAATTCGCTTCAGTCCTGATGGCTAATACTAAGAAGATGGAAGATGTATACCTGCCATTGGGACTTGAAAGGTTAGGTGAACTCCTAAAATGTGAAGTGGGCTTTGAGGTAAAAGCACAGGTGGCCAGCAGATGGCTTTTACAAGGAGGCTTCTGTACCAGCAGAGGCCACATTTCTTTCAGCGGGTGTTACAGAGTGAGATAGATAATGCCACCTATTCTGAGGAGTAAAGGCCATGCACGGTTGACCAGAAAGCCCTGTTGGCACCTGCATAATTTTGGATAAGCCTTAATTTCGGATAAGCCTCAGTTTCATCAAATGTGAGTTGTAAGATCATCACTGCTTTATGAGATGAATGAATAAAGTAATGTGCTTAGCACTGTGCCTGGCCCAAAAAGAGAGCACAATATTTTTCAGTCCAAGTTTTGAAATTCTGTAAAAGTGGAAAAGGTGGCATAACACACATGGATTTCACTCTATATTAGTGTATTGTATTGTATGATATAAGCATATATTATACTAAATAATTTAATATCTATTACATACAGTAATTTAATTTATATGTTGCATTATATGTATTATAATACACCATATTGGTGCCATGTGTATAAACTTGATGGTTTCCCAGGAGGCACCTCTCTTTAACTGACAATAAACTAACACGCCCCGGTTTAGATAAACACGAGTGTCTGACTCAAGCTAATAAGCACAGAATAAGGCCTGCCTAAATAGTTGTGACTGTCATTAGTGTACCCATCATTAAGTAACCTGAGTGTTTTTACTTGCAAAAATGTTATTTATGGCTTATTTTATTGTATAAAGTGGCTAATGAAGTATTCTCTCATGTTTTCATGTTTCATGTTTCTCAAATCCTTTTTTAAAAATATAAATAAATATACTTTAAGGAATTTTTTATTATTTTTTCCAAAAAAAAAAAAAGACCTCTCTCTAGTGTCTCAGTCATAAAAAGTAACCCTGTCAGGGACTGAATACCTGACAAATGTCTTCTAATGGGTTCACTGTGTTAATGAGCTTATTATAATTTATGCTGCTATAATTCAGCAAATATTTATTAAGTCTATCATAAGGTGGCATATATAGCACATGATACCTTGCCCCTGGAGAAGTGACTTCATTCTTGGGAAGTATTTAAATGCTTGAGTAACAAGCATGAACGAAAGGATACTATAGATTCAAATTCCAGAATCTCTCTTCAGTCCAGACCAGTGAGGCCTCTCACAAGAACCCAGGGAAGAAAGGGTGCTTAGGGGCACCCATTCAGAGGACTGCAAAGGCCCCACATGGCATTTGTTTCTCTCTTTGGAAATGGTGTTTTACGTGGTAAGAGCTACACTTAAAAAGATAAAGCAAAGCTAAATCTCTTAGCTCCATCTCTGTGGGTAAACTTCCTGTGTAACAGTTGAGAGAACAATAGAGGCTGCAAAACAAACATACAGAACTAGGCCATTTATGTAAAATGTTTAAACACATAATATAAATCACCTAGTAGCTACCTCTGAGGACGGAGGAAAGGGGTTTGGATGAGTGAGAGAGGGGATGCCTGCTTCATTACTAAAGTATTCCTTCCTTATAAAGAAAAAATTGGAAGTAAATATGGCAAAATATTAATATGTGTTACATCTAGGTACATAAACTCTTATTATATTAGTTTTTCTATTTTACCACATATTTAAAGTATTTAATAATTTTAAACAATGAAAATTTATAAAAGTAAAGTTGTAATAAAAGTTGTAAAAAGTTCTAAAATAAGACAAATCATTTATATTTACATCTCTGTTTCCAAATCAATCCCCTTAAGTGACAATTCTTGCTGATCTGGTAACACAAAACATACATCTAACATTTTACACGGAACTCCAGATTTAGTTAAAGCTTTCTTCTGGTCTTGACATGACCAGTCAAGACAAGAATTACTGAATGCTATAATGCTTTATGAAAGCTTCACAGAGTGCTGAGCTTCCGGTGGAACAACGATTACAATCCTGACTTTTACTATCCATGTAAACTTGGACAGGTTTCTTTACCTCTTTGCACCTTGGCTGCATCTTCTGTAAAATGAAGAGCATCCCAACCTCACAGAGTTGTCATAGAATAACATATTTTAAAAGAGAAAATGCAAATAAACTATAACTCCCATAAACAATAGATACGTAAAAATCCCAGCTCTGCTGTGTGCCTGCAGGCTGAGCTAAGCACTCATGTATTCCATCTTGGCTCCTAACTGCCTAGGATAATGGCATCTCTCCTCTTTCCATGTTGAGGGACAACCCAAGGGTAACAACCCTGGCTTCTCACTCCACCTTTTAATCCTTCCCACAGAAAAGGAGTCCCCAGTCCACTGAGAGACACGGATCATGGTGTGAGTCTCTGTAGACCCAAACTGTCCCTCAAATGGGTTTGTTCAAGATCTAGACTTGAGTGTGGAAGGGAAAAGGGAGGATTGGCTACCCAAATTGTTGCTCATCTCCAGGACAAAAGCTTCACCTGGCTTTTTCACTAATACCCTTGAGATTTTACCCTCCTCTGTTTGACATTCGTGGCACCAACTATGGTGTTGAGCAGTTACCATTTCAGTTTCCTTCACATCCTATGATTGAGGAGCTATGATCAAGCCCATTTTATGGATGAGAAAAATGAGTGACAGCAAGGTATTAATTACTTAAAAGCACTGCTTGTTACTGTGTGGTGAAGCTAGGACAGGACCTGGTATCTTTGAAGGCAGTCAAAATAAGGACATTTGACAATGACATCTGCTCTCATCACCTCCCAGTGTTGTTGAAAATAACCAAGAAAAAATGCATTGGCAAGAACATTTTGAATTTAGATATTCTACCAATTTGTTCAATTTTCATGACATGAGGAACAGTCAATATTTAGATTTAATAATATGCCACAGGAATCTGGGTCAATTTTTGGTTTCATAAAATAAGTGTAAATGAAAAGATGATCCTGGTATACACAAAAATCACCTTGGCAGATGCAGAGGTGCCAGTGAAAGTCATAGACAGGTAAGCATTTTTCTGGGCATGTGCAGATGGAAGCTGTTTGCTTTGCAAGGCTTTGTAAAGGCTGTGGTAGAGTAGTATCGACATTACTTAAGTTTTATTTTTGAGGATGGAATTTTAAGACCTTATTCAAAGAAAATGCCAAGTTGCTAAGGACCTAACATCTTGCTTTTTATGATGGGATACATTATCCATAGAAGTGACTGGAAAAGCCAGCCATGAGGTGTTGATTTTAATAGAAGACTTGGGCTGAGAGAAACTCATTAATTTTTATATTAGAACACATAATACGGCCAGGCACCGTGGCTCATGCCTGTAATCCCAGCACTTTGGGAGGCCAAGGTGGGAGGATCATCTAAGGTCAGGAGTTTGAGACCAGCCTGGTCAACATGCTGAAACCCTGTCTCTACCAAAAAATACAAAAATTAGCTGGGTGTGGTGGCAGATGCCTGTAATCTCAGCTACTCGGGAGGCTGAGGCAGGAGAATTGCTTAAATCCAGGAGGCTGAGGTTGCAGTGAGCTGAGATTGTGCCACTGCACTCCAGCCTGGGCAACACAGCAAGACCCCATCTCAAAAACAAAACAAAACAAAACCAAAAAAAACCACACACATATACACACATGTTCTGGAGTCAAATATAAAATCAACTTGAATATTTAATACAAAATATGGCCCTTCAAAGAAATTTCTTAGTGTAGGGTTTTCAGCTCTGCCCTCTGATCATCTTGACCTGAGTGTTCTCTGTCCGTAGAGTGGCCTCTTTGGGCAGGTGTGAGCAGCACGGCCGAAGGAGGTTGTGGGGTGACACTCAAGAACAATGCCTCGCTGCTGACAAGAATAACCTACACACAGGTCAGGTGTTTTCTCTCCAGTCTACTTGTCCAGTGCTCACTTTTCAATGCCAGTAAGAAAGATACTACTAGATTATGAGCAATTTCTGAATATTACAAAATAATTTTTGAGGTTTCTACCTCTGAGGACTAGCTTGCTGTCACATCTTCTTCTTAACAATAAACTCCAGTCATGGCCAGTGAGTCACTGTTCCCTTGTGAACAGCAGCATAAAAGCTTTTTTGTATATGTGTGCATGTGTACACATGAGCACAGAACTGATCATGCACTACACATTCACCTACTTTACTCATTTTACTTTTTTATTCACTTTACTCATGTTTTTTACTCACTTTACTCATTTTGCAGACATTGGAGCACCTGCTCTGTATTGAAGTCTAGGTAAAAATGCTGAACAAATCAAAAAGAACTTCTCCTGCACTCAGCTGACAGTAATGTGGCAAAGAGAGAAATTACACAAATTCTTCAGGATACTGTGTAGTTTTACTTGACTTTTTTCCATTCCCTTTTACCCTACAACCTTCCTCCATTCACAGTGATAAACACAAGACTCCCCAGCCCTAAAGGATAATTGGGGCAAAGGAATCAGAGGAGAGTAATGTCAATTCTTGGCTTTTAAGTTCAAAAGCTGTGTTTCAAGGAGTGAAGAAGGAAGGTCAAAAAATGGAAAGAATACTTGCTAAGCCAGTTTCCTTTTGGCCAAGGGAAGATAAAAATTATCTCTGGGCTGATGGAAAACAAGAGTGGGAGTTGAAGTAGATGAGTTAGATACCAGCAAGCGTCTCCAAAGAGGATTCCCATATCCTGTCAACACCAAACCCTCTTGGGCTAGCACCAAGAGGAAGAGGACACTAGAGCCCTAGGTAAGTTTGGGGATTGAATGTAGAAGGGATCGTGATCCACTCTGCACCTCTGCATCTTAGATGTGAGGATCTTGCAGGAATTCCCCACCCCACTGGAAATGGAAGCACTGTGATGAATGTGTGAGCCAGAGTTGTCTGTGCTCAGAATGGCAAGGGAGGACAGCCAGATGGGCCCCAAAAAAGGAAAAATCTGCACAACTAAAGAAGAAGGTGTGCAGGCATGGGAGTGGGGGCAGGCAGCAGATGGCAGCACACGTTGTAATGCTTCACAAAGCAGGAGACCAGGCTGGCTGCCAATGCTGCGACAGTACAACATATGTGCAAGTGGATGCTAACTAAGGACTAGACAATCTTCCTGATGTCATGAGGCTGTCTATGCCCCCAGGAGTTAGAGGGAGAATAAAGAACCTATGTTTACAATGTCAACTTTATTTAATCACCTAAAAGGGTTGGCTGAATTGACAGTAAAACTTCCCTGTTCTCAGTGGAATGGGGTCTCAAAATATAGCCTAAGTTGAACTTAGTTAAAGTTCCATTTTTTGAATACTTTTGGAAGTGGATGGAAAATACACATCTGCTACACATATGCATAGTTATAATTGTGCTGTGTTCTCTATATACTGATGTTGATATCTATACCCTTGGTTTCTCCCCTGGACTGCAGATCCACATAATCAATAAACTATGTGATATCGCCACTTAAATGTGTTCTGAGAATCTCAAACTTAATGTCCAAACAAATATTTGTTATTCTTCTTTCCTTCCTTAGTCTTCCCCATCCCGTAAATAGCATGGCCAGTCACTCAGTTGCCCAGGTCTAAAACTCTGGTGTTTTTCTTGATTCCTTTTTCCACTTACAACCACATCCAATCCCAACCACCAGCAAACCCAGATAACCCTAACTCCAAAACACATCTAGACTCTGACAACGCATTGCCTTCTGTACTGCCCCCATGTGGACCTAGTCGCCTCTCACCTGAACTATGAAGAACTTCTGAACTGGTTTCCCTGCTTCTATCCTGTCTTTCCTCTGTAGATGCTCCATGCAGCAGTCGGAGTGACACTTTTCAAATGGAACTTTAACATGGCCAATTCCTGTGCTCAACCCTCCATTATTCTTCCTTATACTTCAAATTAAAAAAAAAAATTACCCTTTGCCGTGGCCTACAAGGCTGTGTTCCTGCTTGTCTCTCTGCTCTCCTCTTACCCATTGCTCCTTGCTCCCTCCTACCCGACCCCTTGCTGCCCCTGAGTCAGCTCACACAGCTCCTGGCCATTTGCTTGGGCCCTTCCCTCTGCCTGGGACAAGCCTGCTCTAGAACCCGGCTTGGCTTCCTCCTAGTTTTGTTGAAGTCTTAGCTCAAATGCCACCTATTTAGTAAGGGTTTCCCTCCAGCATGTTTGCATCCCTTTCTCTCTACCTCTCTTGGACATCTTTGTTTGGATTTTTGGTACTGATGCCACTGGATATGCTTATTTGTTTACTGCCTTTCTTCTCTAGTGAGCTCTAAGCTCCTGCAGGGTGATCTGTCTTTCTGGCTGACCATGCATCCTCAGAGCCTGGAACAGTGCCTGGCATACAGTAAGTACTCAGTCAGTCCAGGAAGGAGATTGAGGAGGAAATGCTTAAGGTGCTGTGGTGAGACAAAAGACTTAGGGCATAATTTCAATGGGGGAGCCTGGGAAGGTCTTTTGCAGGCAGAAAAATTTAAGCAGGGAACAAATGGCTAGTGAGGGGTTAGGTACTTGGGGATGGAGTACATCTCACATGGAGGAAACAAGAGCTGCAAAGGGCAGGGCAGCTGAGAGCTGTACACCACGTACTGCAACACGGGCAGGTACATGGCTGTATCACAGGTCCTCTTTATAAAGATCAAACCACTTGTTACTGACTCCATAAACACTCCATATCCATTGTGATATGGAAAGAAGCTTCTATGAAATAGACTAACAACTTTTGAAATATAATTTTAATGTTTTTATCACGTCTAATTACATGAATAAGGTGCAATGGGCTTCAGCATCCCCATCCCAGATCACTAAAGGCCTTCCCTCACAAATGGTTTTGGCTAAAACTCAACCATATACAATGGATATGGAAACTTAGAAGTATGTCTGAAAGTTTATTTTGTGTTGCATGGAACTAGAAAAAGAGAAAAGTGAAAACAGTAACATAGTTATACCCTCCCTGCTTTGATTGACTGCACAAAACTTTTGCTGCCTTCAGCAGTTTTACAGTCTAACACACTTAGGAGGCACCCCCGCCAAATGCCGGAAACCTGAATCTGCTCTTGAAATGTCAGTGATAAAAATTAAAAGAAGAGTAGAAGAGTGAGACCCTAATTGTGGCTAAATCATCAGACTATGAACATAAAACTAACTAGGATGACACAGGAAAATAGCACAGCAAAGGGGAAGAAAAACACCATCTAAAAATTGTGTGTCTCTGAGATGACACCAAGAATCACAAAGCCTGAGGAATTCTGCTTTAATATCCATATTAAACAAGTAATCTGTTTATCTTCTCATCTCAGCCCATCCTGGCCCTTTTTCCTTACTGCCCTAACCTCTCTTTGACCTATAGAAATCTCTTTCTCCCAATTTGTGAATAAGTCATGGCATATAAACTGCCAACCTATCCCTTGATGAGAATACCCATTTTTATATTTAATTGTGTGTCTGTGTGTGTGGATTAGACATTTATTATATATCCAGGCACTGTGCTAGATGGTGGGGATTAAAAAGACAATACAACATGTTCTTATCTTCCATGATCCTATAATTTAGTGGAAATAACTGGTGAAGTCTTCATTGTGCCTGTGTCAGCCAAGAATATTTCATTACTAAATAAAATAGATGTTCATTTATTCTTTCTTTTTTTTCTTTTTTTCTTTTTTTTTTTGAGACAGGGTCTCACTCTGTCACCCAGGCTGGAGTGCAGTGGCCGTGATCTCGGCTAACTTCAACCTGTGTCTCCCAGGTTCAAGCGATTCTCCCACCTCAGCCTCCCGAATAGCCGGGATTCCAGGTGTCCGCCACCAAGCCTGGCTAATTTTTGTATTTTTTGATGGAGATGGGGTTTTACCGTGTTGGCCAGGCTGGTCTTGAACTCCTGACCTCAAGTGATCTGCCCGCCTTTGGCCTCCCAAAGCACTGGGATTACAGGCATGAGCCACCAATCCATTCATTCTTACTGGCATCCAACCTCATTCATTCTTATTTCATACTCTTATGTAAATATACAAATGGAATTACAATAAGGGTATCTGCAACTAATTTCCACGCTGATTAAATGACAGTTTTGTATCACAAAAGAAAGCACTAATCAATCATTTATTCACTCAACAAACATCTCTTGAAGCCACACAGTCAGACATGAAATTACGAGTGATCATTCCGTATATGATATGCAGCTTAAATGAAATGCTAATGCTGCTGCACCAGAGTCGTGAAGCAGTACCAATCTTTATGTTGCCTCTCACTCCAGTGTGCTTTTGCTCATTTTATTTCTGCTCTTGGCAAGATTTAAATAAAGGCTTTTTTTCTTTGCTCTACAAATGTTTGCAGCAGCTATATTACACTGACTTAACACAGCATTAACTACAGTACAAATACATACTCCCTAGATTGCTTTTCGAGAAAGGAAAATGTTTATGATCTCTATCAAACAAACACTGAATTCATCAGTCTGAAATTTATTTAAAGTGTCAGATGAATTTGACAAAAATCTATACCTAGAATTCATTTCTGAACAGCGTAGGCTTATTACTTTGATTTCGAAGAAAAAAAATACCCTAAAAATGTTCTGGCTCTCTCAGAATGTAAAGTTCAAGTTAAGGCATGTATGGCTACTATGGGTTTGCACTGAATTATGTGAAGAAAAAAAAAAAGCATTTCTGTCTTGGTTGCTTAACTCAGAGTAAAATCATTAGTCCCAATTCTGCAATAAAACAAAATATCAGTCTAAGTGAAAACAAGTAAGAAGCATGGGCTGAGAGGATTTTACTTTTATTAGGCTTTACTTTATGACCCAGGCACCAACCTGAGGCAGGGCATAGAAAAAACATTTCTAGACAGGGACAGGGCAAATCAGCCAAGAAAATGACTAAATGCTGGAGAAAACAAGTCATTGAGCTATTTTAAATCTAATTAATTTGATAAAATATGTTTCTATTTTTCCCAACCTAAAAATAAATGATTACAATAATAGAATCATGAGTGCATTGCTTATAATGTAAATGTCTTTTTTTTTTTTCTATTAGAAAAGCTAAAGAACATGGTATTCCTGGGGATATTTTTCTCCCTTGGTGGTTTGCCATCATGTGCGTTACAGCTGGGACAGGCCTTACAAGGACTCCAAATTTCTTTCTACAAATGAGGAGCCCGTGGTCTGGAGAAACGAGGCGAGTTACCTATGGTTACAAAGCTAGCTGGAGGCAGACACAGAATGAGAGGACAGGTTGCCTGGCTCACGTTTGCTCTCTTGTTCTCTGTCATTAAGTGATGGAAAGGGACCGAAATACTTAACAACCTACAGAAATCTATTCCACTCACGATATGCTCCTTGTCATCCAATGATACAGAACAGATTGGATCATGGATTTTTGCTTCTTGAGTGTTTTGGAGTTCTGTAGCTAAACAGGATGCTGCAGAAACTGGGAATGAGGAATCTCAAGAACAAAACTACACACTGTAAAGCGTGTAGAATCATTCCAACGGGGTTCAAAATATTTTGGGGGAGCACAGGTGACCCCCCCGTCTAACGCACAATGTTTCTGAGGCTGGTTCCAGAGCAGACCATGATGAAGTGGCACCTGTAGAACGTGTAGGCAGTAGCCACTATGGGGCACTGTGCAACCAAGGAAATACACCTGCAAAACACTGAGAAATCCGGGTCCTCCGTTTGCTAAAGGTAGGACCTGGCACTACTTAATTAACCTCTCCCATCCCCAGTTCTCCCAACTGTAAAATAAGAAGAGTAATTAACTGCTCTGAACATCTCACAAGGTAATTGTGGGGATCGATAGAGACTGGGTATAAAAGGTGATGTGGAGCTAGGAAGAGATATTATTATCATTACATGCATGTTCTTTCCTCTTACTTGGGAAGACAGCACAGAAGCTACAAAACAATATTATTTCTGGAAGTGTGGTGCCTGGTGCTGCCTCAGAACCTCTAAGGAGGTGTGTTTAAAACGCAACTACCTGGGTTCTATCCCAGACTCACTGAAACGAAATCTGGGTGGGCATGGCCCATGATCCTGTCATGTCAAAACTTTCCTTTGGATTGCATGTCCCTAGGACTGCACTAGAAGGGATCCAGGGAGTAAAAGCCAGAGGAGGCTGGGAAGATGGGCAACCGCATTCCACAGAAACAATGTTCAACCCACTGGCTGGAATCTCCAAACTACCCACAGATGTCTGCCTGATCACAATCCTGTAATTCTTGTTACCTCTACCAAAACCAACCTCTCTCCCTGCAGCCCTGGAGACTACAGGCACTGCCAGACACACACCTGCAAGCCTATGCAAGGGTTGTTTTCTTAAGCCTCCTGCTCTGATGGCCCTTGGTCTTCTCCCCTGTTCCTGCAACACTTCATAGGTAACTATTCCTCCCTGGGTAGAACCTTTCCATGACCAGTGATTGGCACATTTTACTTTCAGCGTGTGATGTACAAATACTTGAATGAAAGACAGAACATGGAATTCATTATACTCACAAAAATCTTACTATAGCATTTAACATTATTCTTTTTGCAAAATGTATTCACATTTCCCATTCGAGAAGGCAAAGATAATAAGCATTTGAGTAACAAATACCTGGATTCAGATACATTTCCAACATAAGTTTTTTTCATTTATTAGCTGTATCAACTTGGGCAGGTTATTACACCTCAGATCAGTTTCTTCAACTGGAAGACAGATGTAATATCATACAACCTAGCCCGCCTTCAGGAAGATTTTAATTGGGCTCCACAGGAAAGGCAATTAATGTATCGCCAGGCACAGATGCTCAAAGAATCTTCATTCTCTTCTTGTCCTTTTCCCTTTTCACACTTTCTAATGGGTTCTCTAATAGTCTGCAATAGCCACAGCTTTTAACAAATCTTCCAAAAGGAACTCCGACAGTAAATTTGATTCCTACTCAGTAGTGTGCTATTAAATGTTTTACAATAATCTCTCAGGGAGGGGGAGTGGAGGAAGAACCCTGATTGTTAGTGTTTGCCCATTCTATGGTGTAAACGCTTCCACTATAGCCAATTTCAAACTACCAATGGGATGTTACTGAACGGAACTGGGATGCGATGTGCAAGAGCTCATCATTGTATGAGTATTTCCACCACACAGATACAATAAAAGTAAATAACTTCCGAGAGCGCAGATAATATGAAATAAATTGCAAAATGAAATAAAAGAATCAGAAAGTGATGAGTGTGAAGTATTTGCCATCTTTGCTTTTAAACTGGCTCATAAATCTCCTGAAAAGGTACAAGCCAACTCCAGCACACTACTGTATCTTACTCCATCAAGAAAACTCTGCCCTTAGAAGGGTACTAATTGCAGGCATTTCAGCCTACCTAGAGAGCTTTATTTATGCAGGACCCTTTAAACAGATGCAGAGAGCACATGCTTAGAGTTTCTACAGGGGTGAAATGTGGCTACAAAACAGTATGTGTCTACGTGATACTGACGTGCTGTACATGTGCATCAGTTCTGCTAGGGAAGAGCCTTGTCTGGGGAGAAAGAAAGCTGTACAGTGCTTAACACATGAAAACACCCGGTCAGCAGGTAACAGTAACAGGTAGTAAGCAATAGCAAAATTCGTTACACCTCTTCTCTCCATCTCATCCTTATTACGAACATTTATTTATGTGGCTTAACTTTTACCTTAGGTCCATCCTCGTTGTAAGACACTAAGCCATGATGTAACAATTTTTAGGGCCCATGTCAGACATGTGTGACACTCTCACTTTAGACACAAGGAAACAAAGGTACAGAGGAGGAAAGCAAGTTGCCCACACTTAAAGGGATGTGGGACTGGAATTCAGGCCTTATACTTTTATAAAATGGATTAGTTCTCCAAAGCCTTTTGGCTACTATGTTTCATTTGCTTATTCATTTGTACACTGTTTTCAAGAGATAATAAAATATATTTGTGACTTATAAAATTTTGTTTGCAGCCTGCTCAGTTCCAGAGGTGACATTTAATGACCCTGACTTGCATTTGCATTAGGTTGTCTTTACCACAATAGAGCCATCACATTGGAAAACTTGCTCAGCAGTAGAAGTGGCAGGAATTAACTTTTATTAAAGGCTTATTAGGTACCAAGAATATTAGTAATAAATTATAAAGATGGCTTCATTTAAACAGAAGAACAACCTACGAGTTAGGTAATATTATGGCCTCAATTTTATGATGAAGAAATGAAGACTCCTTGAGGTTAAGAATCCATCAGAAGTTTCTAGGGCTGGCTTGCTGGGCATGTGACTGTGCAGTCATGTGGGACCCGACACCCAGAAGAGCCACACTTGTTTTAATGTTCTCCTGCCACTGGCCTGAAGTTCTCAATAACTCTGTCTTTGACTTTGTGTGCTATACCTGAAGTCAGATGGGAGAGAGTGGAACGATGAAGCAGGCATGGGTCATATGTGTGCCACATCCTGTCCATCGTTCCTTGCTGCCCACTTAAAGTTGTCTAACATTCATGATGCCTCATGAGCACAGGACTCTGGTGAGGTCACAATGCTTGGGAGTTCAGCAGGACTCAAAACGAGTGCAAGGTGAGTATGGTACCTCTACGACAAGTGGAGGATCCCACAGCTCCCAGAGGCCATGCTTTCTGTCAGAACCAGAACTAGCTTCAAACACAAAAGTAAGGCAATTGTACTTTAAGAAACACAACCGACCAAGGCCCCTATCATGTCCTTTCTTATTTCCTTATATTGGCCAAACACTTGTGCTCCAAATGGTGACACAGAAGGAAATCCCTGCCTTATTCATCAGGAAGCTGAAGGTAGAATGTGTTGGTAAAACACGCATGTATCAAGAAGTAAAATAAAAACAACAGAATTAGTTTTTGGCAGTGTTTCCTCTGTTCTGGTCAGAAAGAAATACATAGGAATGTAACAGCTATGAAATACAAATTGTGTAACTTCAGTGATTATGCAAACAAGTTAAATGCTTTTAAATTTGCATTTAAAACTGGCATTGCACGAGTTAACAATAACAGAAAAAAACATACCAATAATTACATTTTTAATTTTTCTTTACTTGGAACATTAAAAATACTGTGACAATTCAAGAGGCAAGGAAGAGAAGGGAAAGGAGGGCAGGGAAGCAGTGGGAAGGAAAGGGCAAAACATTTTGTTTTAGTACCTTGGAGGGCACTTCTTTCCTGTTTTTTGAATAAATGGCTCCACATTCTAATTTCGCACAGGGTCCCACAGCCAGCCCTGGCTGTCACACAACGTGGAAGCATCAGAGTCAGTATCTGAATCCAAACTGACTCCAAAGCTCCTTTGCTTTGACCCCATTTTATTCAGCCTTTTATTTTAAACAACACGGCTCTTCAGTTTCAGAAAATTTTTGTCATGATTCCACTGTTGGCAATCTGGACATGTGACAATTGTTTATCCCTCTTCCTTTTTCTTAAGTTTTTCCCCTTTCTCTGAATCATTTCAGCTGTGCTTTCTCCATTCATTGAACAAGTATTCACTCTGTGCCAGGGACATCTAACTCTGTTACCCGGTGGTGCATCGGCAAAGCCTATGATTTTGGAGACAACAAAGGCGAAGTCATTTCTAAGAACCTCAGAAATCCCAAATGACGAGGTTTATGCAACTTCAAAGTCCTTCTGCTTTTTTTTTCCTCCTAATACTTGATTACCTCTCTAAGCAGAGGCTGCACTTCATGCAGGTCTAATCTTTCAGGGCACAGTGTGGTTAGGAACCCACCCCCAGCCCGACCCCCGCCGCCAAAATGAGCACTGGTTGTAAGTAGGCATTCAGTTTCAAAGAGGGTTTGTTCCACTGAACACCAACTGTGGATTAGAAGCAGCAGATTAAAATTCTGTTTGCTTGTGTCCCGTGGAGGACTCAAAGTCAGGGGATTTCTATCCAGGACTTTCTTTCTTTTCTTCCTCAACCTCTCCCTCCCCCCACAAAAGCCACTGTCTGGGTTGTAAGTTAAATCAATCATAAGTCATCTCAAAGAATAAGGTATTATTATATAAGAAGGTAAGGCAAGAGCGAAACTAACAAACAAAACCCTATGCCACTTACGCTGCTTAAGAAAGAGCCAAAAAATGTACTAGACATGACGCCAATTCTATTTCTTTTAATTCTTCTGTTGTGTCCTAATGATACTAGCCACAAATACTACCTTTGAGCCCAGCACAGTTGTGCTGGCTGGCAATTTAAAATACTGTTTGTCAAAAGGAACCAGATCATTTACGCTCACTTTACAGGGGAAGGAACGGAAGCCTGGAATACGGTTAATTTTTTTCATGGTTTGTTAAAACAGAAGGAAAAGAAAGAAGGAAAGAAAAAGGTAACTCATACAAATCCCCGGCAAGGTGCAGGGCCTGGAATTTGAGACTAAATCTGTGGACTCCAAAGCCCCAGTCTCTCCTCACAGGCTGCCCTCTACAGCTTACAAAGTGCATTCATGCACCGCGCATCTCAGTGCCATATGGATGTCAGATTAAATGTCCAATGCTGACCTCAGTTTTACTGAAAATAAACTCTTCATAGGTCATAAATTTTTAGAACCGGCCATAATAAACTAAATATCTGTGTACAAGTCCCAAAGCAAAGATCGCTGCACCGGAAGCCTCTAGCAGTGCTTCAAACATGCTTGCTGCTAATACTTAGAACTGCCGTTATCAGAGACAGAGATGGGAGATGAGAAAGAAACAGATTGGGAGACTAGAAACTGAAGAATGCCAAGGAGAGAATCCAGTATGACAAAACTGTCATCAATCTACCATCTGTGTAGAGTTTGGGGGTTTCAGAGACAACATCATAGGTCAACTTGCTTTTCAAATGTCTGAAATTGTGCCCCCACATGTGTGAATTGTGGCTAGACAGCATGAATCACGGAGTGCAATACAAAAAAGAAAAAGAAAAAAAAACCACTTATGAAATGCATCATTGAGGGAGTGTCATTACATTCTGCTCTAAGCTGGTGGTAAGATTCAAAGTAGACTGGTGGTGGGCCATTGCTAGGTTGTAATAAAGCCACATCTATGGTGAAAGGAGTTTCTTTTATTTAACAAACATCTATGGAAGACATCTGCTAACCACTGGGGATACAAAGGCAAATGAGATGAGCTCCCATATCTTAAGAACTGGTGGCAGGGGAGGGGTGGTGGGCTTTGGAGGGGATTTGGGGAGTGGTGAACAGAATATTCCACAAGTACAAGACAGATACTCCAGGAGAGGAAGGCCTGGAAGGGAGCTGCAGACTCCCTAGAATTCTTCATTTGGAGGGGAGGGGCACCTTTCAAACAGGTACAACCAATGGGGAAAGGGGTGTGGGCCTCTGGCAGCTTCCTTGTGCACAGAGCTTGTCTTCTTCCATTGAGATATTTGGACAAAAACCAAACTAGGGCTACTCTGTCAATTTTCTGCAGCAAACTGTAACACATCTTGTTTCATCCTTTCATCTTCTCCCGCAGGAACTTCAAAATATCGACCGCCCTTTAAACTCAGGGATAACTGCTCCCATCCTAGGAAGCCCGCAATTTGGAAATGGGGCAAAGAGGCTCCAGCTCCCACCCAGTCAGGGAGGGCATGGGCTGACTGTTTACAAAGTGCAGACGCCCCCTCCTGCTGCTGCTTTTGCTCTCTGGGCAGAAGCAGGGCCTTCAAAGCTGTCAGTCAGACCTTTGAGAACATGAAAGAACCCTGGGGAGGGAAGAAAGGGTTTGTTTGTTTTTAAGCTCTTCTCATTAAGTTGACTGATAGGGAGGCTCACACACAACAGTGGGGGGCATCCAAGTCTAATGTTTAAGCCTAGACAGCTCCAAGGGGACACCTGTTGGCTGTTCTCCCTCGCACCTGCCCAGGTGGCTGGGCCTCCGACTGTCCTCTCTGCACCTCACCCCTTCCTGACACCAAGCAGGACTGAACAGAGGGCCCTGCCCACAAGGCACCTGACCTTTGAGCCAGGGAGACAGCCAATCCTAAATTGTGGAGACTGCGATGAGGCTAGCCACTGCGCTGTGCCACTTTCCACTTCAGTGGTGTGACGGACCAACACAACTAATGAAGGTGACGTACCTGGGGTCTGTCTGCAAGATGGCCAGTGAGAGGAGGGTGGGAAAGCCAGCTCTGTACAGGCAGTCACCTGGGGGATGGGGGGCGCTACAGTCTGCTGCTTTTTGCACAGGAATCATCTGATACCCACAGAATGAGATTCTTCCCACCCTTCATTGGCCAGAGAGAGTCCTGGAATTGTGCAGAGCCCCCAGCCTGATGCTAGCCTTCTTTTTCCTGGACACCAAGAGACAGCCTTTCTTCCCAAAAATGAATAAAGATAGTTATTTTGATGTATAAACTGAATGTTTAATAGTAATTCACTAAGAGGGTGAAAAACGTGAAAACTTCCAGTTAGCTCGGATAGTCATGAAATGTAAACAGGTAAACCCAGGCCACTTCTTCTTGTTAGATCCATATTATTTATTACCAGTTTTCTAGGAAGCCACAAAATTGTGTTTACTTTCATTGCCTGAGAGTACACGTTCTCAAGGAATATAAATCAGTTGAAAAAGCAATCTAACAAATAAACAAGCAGAACACCAAACTCATTACCAAAGGTGTGCCCAGGCCAAGTTCATCTCTTCTCCCAAAAGCTTGAGATCCTTTCAAATCCAGTGCCAATATCCAATGATTATGGGTTTCCTGAAGAGTGCAACATTCTTCAGGTTCACAGGTTGGTTTGGGCACAGGATGAGGGCTTCCTAGACATTAACATTCCGGAATACAGTCACAGACCTTTCTAACCACATCCAGTCATCTAAAAACTTCTCCAGGACAACAATATAATTAAAAAGTGCAGAGAAACCAACCAGCAATGTAAACCCTATTAAGATGGCATAGCACGGCTCATAAGGAAAATGAAAAGGGCTTGGGGGTGTGCGGGGATCTAAGATCATTAAGCAAAGTGAAAGAATTTTAACAGATTTTTAAATTTAATATAGTCATGCCATGCTAATGACAGAGACACATTCTGAGAAATGCATCCTTGGGCAATTTCATCGTTGTATGAAATCACAGCATGTACTCACAAAAAATCTAGATGGTACAGCCTACTGCACACCTAGGCAATGTGGTATGGCCTATTGCTTTGCTCCTAGGCTGCAAACGTGTACAGCATGTCACTGTACTGCATACTAGGCAATTGTGACACAATGGTATTTGTGTCTAAACATATCTAAACATAGGAAAAGTACAGTAAAAATATGGTATAAAAGATTTAAAAATGGTACAGCTGTATAGGACACTTATCATAAATGGAACTTCCATGACTAGAAGTTGCTCTGGGTGAGTCAGTCAGTGGTGAGTGGATGTGAAGGTCTTAGGACATTACTACTTGCTACTGTAGACTTTATAAACACTGTTCACTTAGGCAAAGTGTAAGTTTACATGAAATTTACAAAAAAAATGGTTTTCTTTCTTCAATAATAAATCTTAGCTTAAGATTAGTAATTTAGCTTAGTAACTTTTTAACTGTATAAACTTTTTATTTTCTTAGAACTTTGGACTCTTTTGTAACACTTAGCTTAAAACACAAACACATTGTACAGCTGTACAAAATATCTTTATATTTATTCTATAAGCATTTTTCTATGCTTAAATTATTTTATTTTTCATTTTTTAAATTTTTTTGTTAAAAGCTAAGACACAAACCCACAAATTAGCCTAGGCCTACACAGGGTCATGGTCATCAACATCACTGTCTTCCACCTCCCACATCTTGTCCCACTGGAAGGTCTTCAGGGGCAGTAACACGCATGGAACTGCCATCACCTATGAAAGCAACGCCTTCTTCTGGAATCCTCCTGAAGGACCTGCCTGGGGCTGTTTTACAGGTAACTTTCTTTTTTATTAATTAGAAGGAATACACTCTAAAAGAACGATAGAAGTATAGTACAGTAAAATACACAAACCAGTAACACATTTATTACCATTACTTTATTGTTTATAATCATTATCAAGTATTATGCCCTGTATATAATTGTATGTGATAGACTTTTCTATGACTGGCATATAGTAGGTTTGTTTATACCAGCATCATCACTAAAATACACGTAATGCAGTAATGCACACTGCAGTACAACCTTACAACAGCTACAAGTCTCTAAGAGATTGGAATTTTGCAGCTCCATTATAATCTCAGGAGACCCCTGTGTTATATGTCGTCTGTCACTGACTGAATGTTGTATGTGGCACTTGACTGTATACTATCTGAAATAACAGCAATGCTGAAGTGCTCTAGGAACCAACTTAGGTTCCTAATAGAAGATCAAGTTTTCTTCTTTGCCTGGTGCATGAGTCCAGGGCCAAACCTGAGTTTGTGCTTATGTTGTGGAAATCAGGAACAGCCTCAGGCAGTGGTGGGGACTGCCAAGCTGACACAGTCAGAATAACAACCACTAACAGTCAGCATCCATGAAGTCACTGAAGTCCTTTTAAGTTGCTTATGAAGGTGACTTAAAATGATTTCCATGGATGTGAGGACATCCACACTTAGGCTCTTCTTTCCTCACTTGTACGAGAGGTCCCTGTGTCTAACGTAAATGGAGAAGTGACATCATTTATTCAAATGCCCCACATACATCCTTTTGTTATTTATTTATTTATTTATTATTATTATTTTGAGATGGAGTTTCGCTCTCGTCACCCAGGGTGGAGTGCAGTGGCATGATCTCGGCTCACTGCACTCCCGGGTTCAAGAGGTTCTCCTGCCTCAGCCTCCTGAGTAGCTGGGATTACAGGCGCCCGCCACCACACCCAGCTGATTTTTTGTATTTTTAGTAGAGACAAGGTTCCTTTTGTTTTAAACTTCATGTGCTTTCATTACATCCTGTGAAGTTCTATTTAATACTGAAGATCACTTAATGTTCCTAACTTCAATCGCTGGTAATTTTTTTTTATTTCGATTCTAGTACAGGTTCAGAGTAAGGAAAAGAGTCCTTTTAATTAACTGACATGTGCCAGGCATTCCCTTGATTTTAGCCTTGCCTTTGGGAGGTTGCAAAATTTCAAAAAACAAAATAAAACTAAACAAAACGCTCACTCAGAAGGATGTGAGTCTGGGAAGAAATTCTGAAAATATACAAAGTTCCACATAAATTCTAATGACCCCAAATGCTCACTAACCCTTCATCTCTCTCCGTAGATGTCCCCAGCCCTGTGGCCATCTCCTGCAGGGAGCGATGGCAGAATGAGGTTGTGGCCATGCATCTGATACACACAGGTAGGGGACAGCACAGCAGCTTCCTGGGCTTTAAGCTAAAGGTGTGTGTTAGTTTCTCCATCTGCAATGGGGTTGGGCTAAACCCAAGATCAAGGCCCTGCATTTATAATTCTTCATGGACAACTGATGTTGTATACTCCCCCTGGGGCAGAAGTACCTTTTTCAAATTTCATAGATGATTCTTGGGCAGGCAGCATAATAACAAAACACTGCTGAGCCCATTCGTTCTGGAACGGCCTTATTATCACACCAGGTGCTGAAAATGTATATAGTTCTAATTGTAGGATTTGACAACATTTATGAATCCAAGACAAAGTGCTTTTATAAATTCTCCATGGACAGATCCAACCCAATATATTTACTAATTATTTACTGATTACACATGTCCATTAGTTCCGAATGCTTTGCTGAAGGAAGAAACAAAGATGCTGAATGCTATTTTTAATCATTTTCAACAGAAATGAGAATTTCAGGTTTTCTCTGTGAGATTCACAAGTGGCACAAAAATTATGAGGTTGAATGGTTTAGCAGTGATTTCCTAACATTGCTAGTAAATGTGTTTCTCCAAAGTGATTAGTGGCAACTCTGAAGTATAAGACAGTGTATGTGCAGAATGGCCCATCTGGGCCATGGTCTCTTGTCCTTAGAGAATGTTCTGTTTATAAATAGATCACTAGAATTTGAGGAGCTCTATTCATGGAGATTCAACTTGAAGAAAGAGGGAAAAAATCCAACCTACTCTCTTTTGTTTTAGAAATCACATTTAGGGAGTGGACAGCCATCCTTTCAGTCTAATAGGACTCTTAGATCCATCCATTTGACATAGATTTATGAAGAACCTCCAGGGCTCAGTACCACACAACATGCTCGATAGCTGGCACACGGAGTTCTGGAGGCTGCCTGCAAGGAACTTACAGTTTAGCAGGGATGGGAAGGGAGCAAAGTCAATTATAACAGAGTAGCAAGTGTAGCAACAGAGAAATGATGCTGTGCTGCAAGTAGGGACCATTAAATCATGTTAGGTGTGTGTGTGTCAGAAAAGGCTTGCTGGTAAGTTAATGGGAGTTGGTGGAAGTTAGGGGTTGGGAGGCGGGCAGAAGGAGAGGGAAGGAACCAAGTCCATAATAATCGGGTCAAGGAGAGATCCTGAAGGTAGTTGTGGCTAAGAGGGGAGTAGGAAAGTGGAGACCATGAGCTTGGATCCAAGCCAGAAGCACATGATGTTCTAAAAATGGCAGTGTTCGGTATGCAATGGACGACGACTGGGGAATCTAAGGAGAAGAGAATGCAGCACAATCGAGCTTAAGGTTTGGAAGGAGGACTCTTGGCCAAAGCGGAAAGGGATGGGTATGCAGGAGGGGCAAGAGTGTATGGAGACATCTGTAAAATAAATTCTAATATAAAATGCTCTGTTAGCTATAAGCAGTGCACTGCTTCCCCTCAATTTTTTTCTTAAAGAGTATGATAAACAGGTGATGCTGAAGCCCAAGAAACACTTCACCCTCTAGAAACTGTATATGTCACTGTTTCCATAAGGGCAGAGACTGTGGACAAGCACATGAAGCATAAACACATATTTTCAAGCCACTTAAATAGTGTGTGCCCAAGGGCACATTATAGACAAGCCAGCATTTGCAGCAGCAGGTAGCAGAGGCAGCTTCCTCTTCAGGAAACAGACACCAAATCATTAGAACCTTAACGCTGTGTCAACTTTGGCTGCCAAATATGCAGCTCCATACCAAATGGTACCATTTACATCTGGCTCTGTATCTAAGCCAACTTCTTTGGCTTTAAGAAAATTCTGAATTTATACAATATAATATGAGTACATCTGATTTTCATTAGGCAGTCTGCCTGTTCTCCTTTTTCACTTTTGAAATCACATTTATATTTCTTATTCTCTTCCGTTCTACTAAATTTTAAGATATCACTTTACTTTTTTTGTTTCTTTTTTTTTTTTTTTTGAAATGGGGTCCCACCCATTTGGTCATCCAGCCTGGAATGCAGGGTGTGATCTCAGCTCACTGCAACCTCCGCCTCCCAGGATCAAGCAATGCCCCCAACCTCAGCCTCCAGAGTAACTGGGACCACAGGTGAGTGCCACCACTCTTGGCTAATTTTTGCTATTTTTGGTAGAGATGGGGTTTCGCCATGTTGCCCAGGCTGGTCTTGAACTCCTGAGCTCAGGCAATCCACTCATTTTGTCCTCCCAAAGTGCTGGGATTACAGGCGTGAGCCACTGCACCCAGCCCATTCCACTTTTTCTTTATATTCCTTTGAACTTTAGTTTTTGGTATCATGGACACATCTCTCAAAGCTGGTCAGCACACTCCAAGTACAGACCAGCAACTGATGGGGTACGGGAAAGGCCTGGATTGGGTTTTTATATTTACATTCATTGTTTCCAAATTGCAATGCAGAATTTCTGTATAAGAACAAAACTACAAGGAATCTATATGACTTTAATCTTCCATGTCCTGATGAACTTTTCCTGATGAGCTAGTTCTTTAAAACATCTCCTAAGAGAATCTAATTATATTATGTAGAAAAGCTTCTAAAACTGACCATATAGGAAGCTTCCATATTATAATTGGGATAGAAATATATCATCTAGAAACAACAGAGATTCCTTGGGCTAAGAGTCCTATATCAATGTCCACTTGCAATATTAAATTTTTTCCAAATTCACAATTCAGAGGCTACAAGTTAAATGCCAAATAAAATTAAACTCAGTTAGTAGATTTCTTTTTTTGTAAATAGATGAGGTCTCGTTCTGTCCCCAGGCTGAAATGCACTGGAACAATCATAGCTCACTGCAATCTTGAACTCCTCTAGGCTCAAGAGATCCTCCTGCCTTAACCTCCTGAGAAGCTGAGATTAAAAGTGCAAGTCACCATGCCTGGACACAAATTTCATTTTTAAAGTGTGTTTTTTTTCATATAAATATTATATGTCCAGCATTATTTTTAATAAACTGGAATATTTTAAAATACATCTTCAAGATTTAGAGTAAAATGTACTGGCTTGTACTACATTTTAAAATTTACTTTTGGTCTTCTGGTTATAGTCTACTGAAGGAAGATCTAAAGCACTGAACAAATGGCAAAACTAAGCTCTTCTGTTATAGCAATCCTGGGGTTTTTATAACAAAATGAACTTCAGACAGCATGAAAGTTTCAATGATGAACAAATATTGAACTTTTGTATTTTAATAGCACAACCAATACTTCATTCCTGGTTAACTTTACCTTATTTTTTAAAAAAGATAAATTGTTTAAAAGTTATTTTGTTTAAACTTTAAGTATAAACTGGTGAGCAGGTGACACAAAACTAATCTACTCTGATATAAATCAGAATAGTGAGTACCCATTGGGGGACAGTGACCAGAAGAGGGCATCAGGAGGCTTCTGGGGTCCTGGTAAGAATTGCTTCTTGATGTGCTGGTTATATAGGTATATTCAATTTATGAAAATTCATCAAACCATACGCATGCTCTGTGCAAGTTGGCACTGGCAAAAGATTTAATAATTAATTTTTTCATGTAGCAATTTTCTGGTTAAGGTATACAGCTGAAGAAAACAAGACAGATAGGGTAACTGCATAAAAGCCGGAGTAAACCTGTGCCTTGGAGGTAGCAGGCGCCACAGCTTCCTCCCTCCGCATGTGGACAGAAGCAGCACATTGGTGAGAAAGACATGTGCTTAGAGAGGCAGAAAATGAGGAAGAGAAACGTTCAGGACTCCAAAGAGTCTATTTAGAGGAAAAAAAAGGTGGTAGGTGGGGGAAAGTAAAGATGACATGTTTCTTTGTACCATTTTCTCCTCCCACATTCCATTTGACATCATGCAGAGATGTTCATTTGACATTTCTGGGTTGAAGACTATGAGGGGAATGCATCCCATGGACCAGTGGTTACTGACTACAATACCACCTTCAGAAAGTTTAGGAAATCCTCTTATGGCCTTCTGTGATTTTCAAGTTGGGGATATAGCCAAGATGGCTTCTTGCAGACCTTCGATCCCAGAAGGTGGTTTGGGGGCAATATTCCACCTCAGTCTTTTGTACCTGAAGTTGATGAACTCTGACATGTGAGATTACATGGAGCTGACAATGTCACATGAAAGTAAATCTGGATTAAAATATTACATATACATGTATATACACACGATAGAAGGCCTGCGAGCTCCACACCTTCGTTGTGTGCAATGATGTCACTCGCCCAAGCGTCTGAACACATCAGCACCTATGAGCTTCTTTTGGTAAAATTTAGTATCTACCTCCCATTCTACCATCATAAACAATGGGGCCTGTGACTTAGTCTCTATTTCTCCCCCACCTTAGAGACTGTCAGTACCAAATGAAGAAAATTTTATTTTGAAGTACACAGTTGAACATGCCAAGAGGCTTAACCACATCTCTATAAAAATATTTGGTTGGCACCTACACAAGATAAACAAGAGTGCTCAAATACCTTACTGCATTCATTAATCCTTATTTTCTACCCACCATATATACATAAAACAAACAAACAAAAACAGGTGTGAGCACCTTCCTACAATTCTGTTCCCTACAACCTCTCCACACACACAAATCTGAATGTTACTTAAAGGAGAAACAAACCAATCAATATGGGTATGCCTTTCAGTTCAGTGAGGAACAGTTCTAAGGAACAGCCTTGTGACCAAGGTCCTACTGTCTGGGTTGAGCAGGGACCTGAAGGGCTGCACCCTGGTGCCTGGCTGGAGGTTGTGCCCACCACCCTGAAAATTCAGTGGCTATTGCTTAGGTGCTGGATGCACACAGTAATTCCCAAACCAAATCTGTACGCCCGTCACAGTTAACCCTCTGCATCCGCAGGTTCCACATCCACAGATGCCACCCACCACGACTCAAAAACATTTGGAAAAACAAATAAATACGAATACAACAATAAAATACCAATAAAAATACAGTATAGGCTGGCATAGTGGCTCATGCCTGTAGTCCCAGCACTTTGGGGGTTGAGGCGGGAGGATCGCTACAGACCAGAAGTTCAAGACCAGCCTGGGCAACAGAGTGAGACCCTGTCTCTCCAAAAAATTTTAAAAAGTAACCAGGTGTGGTGGTGCCCACCTGTAATCCCAGTTACTCAGGAGGCTGAGTGGGGAGGATTGTCTGAGCCCAAGAAATTGACGCTGAGGTGAGCCATGATTGCACCACTGTACTCCAGCCTAGGCAACAGAGTGAGACCCTGATTGTAAAAGACAAAGACCAGGCTGAGCGTGGTGGCATGTGCCTGTAATCCCAACATTTTTGGAGGCCAAGGTAGGAGGATCACTTGAGTCCAGGAATTCAAGACCAGCCTGGAGAGAACAGTAAGACCCCTATCTCTCAAATAGAAATAAAAAAACAAAACCAGCGTAACTGTTTAGATAGAATCTACATTGTATTAGGTACTATAAGTAACCTAGAAACAATTGATTTAAAATATACAGGAGAATCTGCCTAGGTTATGCAAAGATACTATGCCATTTTATATCAGGGACTTGAGCATCCATGGATTAGGGTATCCATGGAGAATACTGGAACCAATCCCCTAAGGATACTGAGGGATGACTATATTTCTACATCATAAACCCACCTCTCATTTTCAACACAGTGTGGTAAGAACAAGATTGAGCTAATTCGGGCAATTGAAAGACAGGGATCGACATGGAGTAAAATGAGTTTGTTTAGTTTTACCTGTAAGACACACACATTAAGCACTTGATTATACTCATGGGCTTCCAAATTATAATTGGGATAGATACACACCATCTAGAAACAACCAAGGTTCCTTAGGCCAGGAGTCCTTCCATTACCCCTTAAGAGGCACATTGTGTAATACAGTCTAAAGCTTTCCTTTCACCCACTTCTGGTTCTACATCGAATACCGTGCTTAACAGTCATGAGACAATACTGAAAAAATGCCAAACAAAAAAAATTAACCCTGCCTCTTCTGTGTATGTATCCAATGGTGATATATGGGGTATTAGTGGGATATGATGATAATACAGCATGATGTGTTTTAACTCTGTGGGGCAAAGTGTAGAGTGAAGCAAGTAACAAATGTTTAGATTTAACTTACGGAAGCAATCACATTATTTTAAAGCCATACCTTTCTGACACTTTCCTACTACTATCAATTCAACTTTGGAAACTCTCCCACCTCAAATAGTTAATGAAATAACCTACTTAAAGGCACCCCATGAATGTTATTCTAACATATCAAGTATTGACTCAGGCCAATTACTTAATTAGTTCAACTTTCCCAGCTACTAATTTTGAACATCAGGCAGAAGAATGTTTTTTAACTACCCTGTCACTCAGAGGGGGTAAGCTGCCCTTTAAACAACAGAAATTATAGACCAATTATATATATATCTATTATAGACCAATTATATACGTATCTAATGTATATAATAGAAATTATATATTAGACCAATTATATATTATTATATAGACCAATTATATATTATTATATAGACCAATTATATATTATTATATATACATATAGACCAACTATATACTATTATACGTATAGATCAATTATATAGACAAATTATATACTATTATATATAGATAATTAATCTATATATAATCTATAAACTATAATATATACATTATACATATAGACCTATATATACATATAGACCAATTATATACTATTATACTTACAGACCAATTATATACTATTATATATATACATATAGACCAATTACATACTATTATATACACATATAGACCAATTATATACTATTATAGACCAATTATATACATACCTAATGTATATAATAAAATTATAGACCAATTATATACATATCTATACATATATTGACATACTTTTAAAAGAAAACCATATTACACTTGTCTATTTCCCATTTATTCATAAATTATTTAAAATTTACCTTAGAAATTAGAGCATATAATTTTCTTTTAAAATAACTCTTAGGCTTATGGTTTTAATTATTTTGCCTATGTCTATAGTGATTAAAAGACACTATAATTCAGGGCAATTCCAAATAGTCACCTGCTTTCCAGAAAAAAGATTGAATAACCTATAGTATTTGGTGAACTTCTGGCTGACCTAAAACATCTCAAGTGGTTCATCTCTGTCATCACAGAGAACAGCTAACCAATATGTAGGATTCCAGTCATCAGCCTGGGGCCAGGTTCCCCGAAGGACCTGCCTGAGAAGACAATCTCAAAAGTTAGTCTCAACAGTCAAATGCATTCTGCATTTCACCAAAGGGACCAAGGGAGTAGAGGTTCTTGCATGTTGAGCATGATGTCTGCTATTGTCATAAAGAACATTTACACAAACATTCACATTCACATATATGTACACACATAAGTATGTTTTCCATATGTATCCTATTTATAATAAACTAAGAGAAAGTTTAAATCTTAAACATTTTTGTTGGTTTCTCACAAGCCATGTAATTTGGAAGATAAAATTTTCCCAGAGATAAGCCACATAGGAAAAAGAATGTTCTTCCTTCAGTTGGAAGGGCTAGGCTCTTGTCCTGACTTTGTTAGTCAATAGCCATGAATCCCAACAATTAATGCTGAAGTATCCTAATTCAAGTTCCCACTCCTGATTGCTGATGTAACAACACATAATGCAGGAATTTATTCCTCTGGTACCTACTTGCAAGTGTGTGAATGTGTCTGTGTGTGTATGTGTGCACATGTGTTCTTTTGAAAGACATTCCTCTTTTTCATATGAAAATTTCTTTTATTTATTTCTTTATTTTCTGAGATAGGGTCTCACTCTGTCACCCAGGCTGGAGTGCAACAGAGTGATCATGACTCACTGCAGCCTCAAACTCCAGGGCTCAGGTGATTCTCCCAACTCAGCCTCCTGAGTAGCTGGGACTACAGGTGCATGCCCTCACACCTAGCTAATTTTTGAAAATTTTTTTGTAGTTATGGGGGTCTTGTTATGTTGCCCAGGCTAGTCTTAAACTCCTGGGCTCAAGCAATCGCCTGCATCAGCCTCCCAAAGTGTTGGGATTATAGGCACTGCACCAGGCCCATACAGAGATTTCTAATGGGGTATAGTTTCCCTAATTTTAAAATATAATTTACATAGCAAGATCCCTCTTCTAACAGTACAAACAAATCCATTCATTTAATCCTAAATGTACAGTTCCATTTTGTAACTGGGTTAGCTCTATCATTTAGAAAACAAATCCCATATTAACTGTACTTTTTTCTACCCATTTGAGGTCAGTGGCACAATTATGGGTTTTTGGCACATAGCAATATACTTACATTTCAGAAAAGTCATCATTACACTTTCAAAGAAGCTACTTTTACATTTTACTTCTGAATAATGAAAGCTATTGGATTATCTAAGAGACTTACCCTTTCCCATATTTAATTTAAAGCTAAGTCATTTTAGAAACCACAATTACCAACATGCAAGAACCTCTACTTGAAAAATTTGTAGAATTTGAACATGGAAAACCAATTGTTTTAAATTTAATAAAGCATTTTTCTCTCGGGCTCAAACAGTAGAAGCAGCCCAGAGTAGAACTTAGTGTGAATTATAAACTTCTGAAAACAAAGACTTATAATCAAGATATTGCAGAGTTTTTCTTTACAGTGTATTCTCTAATGCTTTAGCCAATGTATTTTTAAATGTCCCAGGAGACTACTTTTTGAACTTGCTCTCCTTACCAACCCAGTAACTCAAAGCAGATGGATCATTTTCTTGAATCTTAGCCTAAATTTTTCCTTGGAAATTTCACTTGATATGACATGCTTCGTATCAGCCCAAATTTCATTCTAATAATGACTGCCTGGATATTCCACATTTCATAGCCCATTTTTAAGTTGCAGCTTAAAACCTTTTCTGCTTCCAGGTTCTGATGAACACATGCTTTCTGTATACATGGGCTCCCTGACATCCTCTTCCATCATATACAATCTTCCCCATCCAGCAGGCTCAGCCTGATTTGAGGACATGAAAACTGATAGTCTTAGTTGGTCTCTGGCCCCACACAATTACAGGAGTTGTCATTCTTGTTTTCCTCTGTTGAGGGGATCTCAGTCTAATAGCATGGGTTTTGGACACCCAGACACAGGTTCAAATCCCAGTTCTGCCAAGGCACTTTACCTTCCTGAGGTTCAGTCTTCTCGCCTGTAAAATGGGCACAATGATACCTCCCAGGATTGTGGCTAAAGTACACTTTGATAATCTGTGCAAAGCAAATGGCAGGATGTAGTACATCATAAGTGCAAATTAGTTACTATTATTATTCTTTGAATTACTACCATCTCCTGAGGCTGCACAGGAATTAGCTTTTAAGTATGCCACAACTTACAATTATCAGTTTTGTGGAATCTCACACCAGAAGACATGTGGGAAAGGATTTAATATAAGCCTTCCTTTTCCAGCCTTGGAAACTGAGCTCTGATAAGGCTGTCTTTCTCCAGTGCTGGTCGCTGCAGAAGCACTGGCCAATAGCTTTCCTTTGCTCTCTAAGAAAGTCCAGTGCAAAACTACAAACCTAGCCTTCACATGCTTCTAGCTTTGTAAAGCCACTGCATGCCTTCAATTTGGACTTCTTCCCTAGACAAGACCACAGAGGGCAGCAGAAGCCAGGATGGCACAGAACAGTTCCGTCCAGATAGAAGTCCTCCGCAGTGGGCAGCATGCCTCTGATGTCATTTCCATACACAGAACAATTCTCCCAACCAACCAGTAGGCCCTGGGTACTGTGGGATAATCAGGAACCTGCAGGTGGCAAAGTGAAGATAATAGTCACAACTGCTGGGACCCTGCTTTCACCAGGGCTAGGACCAATGCTGGAGCTGGACCAGATCACCAACTCCTGCAAAGCCTTAGGACTGCCCAGGTCATACTTCATCCCCTTTAAATGTATTTCACCTGTGGACTAGGTAGATGCCAAGTATTTTGAATTGCAACTGTTCCCCTATCAATTCAATGGGAGGGGTGGGAGGTGGCTGGGACCAAGCAAGGGTAAATTTCAAATTTTGTAAGGGGCATAATAAATCCGTGTTTCTCTAACACTGATATCTTCGCATTGTGTACTTAATAACATTTAGAAAGAAATTTCTCAAAAGTTGGAAGGAGAGCTTTCGGAAAAATGGTAGGTATATTAAACTGAAAATGTGGTAATCCACTAACAGTGGCTGGTCATCTACAGCCCATTCAGTGTTTGGCATTGATATCAAAAATTGGTGTAAGAACATTGAAAATTTCTGTGCAAATATGCATCTGTGTTTCCCTTCCACTTTCCAAAATTAGTATATAATTATATGCAATTGTTACTTTTATAGTC